>NC_000006.12:28241818-28544848 GCF_000001405.40 Homo sapiens
TTTACTTAGCACTTCTTATTTGTATAAGCAGATCCTCAGAATCCTAGGAGTTAAGTTGTCATTCCTACCTTTTTTTTTCTCTCACTAAAGGAAGAGGCAGAGAAAGTCTTTTGCAGAATTATATACGTCTTTGCCAAAATTAAGAACAAATCCAAGAGTGCCATTCATCAAAAGCTTTTTTCATTATAACCATTCATTCTATCGAAGTAGAAAAAGTGCTATAACCATTTACTATTCAAGCAAAGGGAGAAAAAAGAAAATAGAAGATTTCTGCGCTGCTTCAGTTACAGAAATGAAATAGAATGGCAGACTAGTCACCACTAAAATTCCTAAAAGCAATTTAAGAAAATATGAAAAGTGGCATTTTATTGTGCTTTATATACTGCTTATATCTCAACTAAGTAGTTTACTTTACTAGATCTAATTTCATTGGAAAATAACTTTTTTGGCCATCCTTTCAATAGGCTACAGATAAACTCATTTTATAATTCAGCTATTTATAAACACATACCACTGTTTTATAGAAAAGTGGAGTATCTAAAAGACTGTAAGCAAAATGATTTTATTTGATATTATATAATACACCAGATAAAGTTTCCTAGATAATATTTTGATTATAAAATATCATGGCTCCCCAGTGCTTACTGAATAAAATTTAAACTTTTTGCTCTGGCACTGAAGGCCCCTACAATGTCCCTATCTCTTAAAATTTGCTTTATTTACTCAATTGGACAAAGTTGTTGTGAGTCCATTCAGCTTTCTAACATGTCACCCTGTCCATATAATAACAGCTTGCACAGCTGGAAGCATCCTTTTCCTTCTCTGAATTTCTACAAGCCTCAGTTTACCACTCATAAGGCATTTATCATTACACTGCCTTATTTGTGTGCAAGTCTTACCAACCTGACTGTACTAAAGACCTAAGCCTAAGTGTGTATACACACACACACACACACACACAAATAGAGGCTTTATTTCTTCCCTTTTCTAGCATAGCAGACACTGAAAAGTACTTTTCTACAATATTTCCCTCCTCTACAGAGAAGACTTTTAGGCTTGGAGGCGCAGGAGTGAAAGGAGGCACAGTGGTCCTTAGTTAATCTCAGGAAGTTATATTTGTATAATGCTTTCTGGTTTGTAAAAGGCTTTCACATATATCTCTTCATGTAACATCAGAAACAAATATCACAGAAAAGTTAACAGAGTTGTCTGTAATGAGTTTGAGTGTGTAAAATCAGAGCTATTTAGCAAATATTTAGGAGAAGTGAAAAAGGAGAAAAGGAAATGGCTAGCTTTGTGGAAATAACATAAATAAAGCTGATTTTAAAGAAATTTGAAAAGGCTAGAAAAGATTGAGCAGAGAAAGTCTACAGAACTTTGGAATTCTAAAGAAGTTTTAAATTAGACTGAAAAGGAGATAATGAAGGCAATAAAAGATTGTAGGGAATTAATAAAGGGAGAGCTCTACGGTTTTGTAAGTCTCTGGTCAGCCTGTGGTATTTCAGAGGAGAAATCCAGAAAGGGTATTTGAGGATAGACAAGAACACGATGCTGGTGACTGAATAAAACATGGTCAGGGATTTCATCAGAAGCAGAATCCATTCATGACAGTCTGGCAATGCTGGAAGATGGTAATAGGCACTTGAGCACTTCGGAAGAAATCAGTCTTTAAGCATCGCAGGTGATTTGGGTGAAAGCAGAAGATATCAAAAAATTCTTATTTCTTGTGAATAACTCACAGCATTGAGCCTTGACATCACATATCAACACTTTGGATATTGTACAATCTTTTTCATCAGATACCTAGGATTCCCAATGTGCTTCTGAACAGACACATTTTCTTTTCTTTTTTTTTTTTCTTTTTGAGACAGAGTCTCACTCTGAAACCCAGGCTGGACTGCAGTGGCACCATCTCGGCTCACTGCAACCTCCACCTCCCAGTTTCAAGCAACTCTCCTACCTCAGCCTCCCAAGTAGCAGGGATTACAGGCGTGTGTCACCATGCCTGGCTAATTTTTGTATTTTTTGTAGAGATGGGGTTTCACCGTGTTGGCCAGGCTGGTCTCAAACTTCTGACTTCATGTGATCTGCCTGCCACAGCCTCCCAAATTGCTGGGATTACAGGTGTAAGCCATGGCACCCAGCCTGAACAGATACATTTTCTCCTACCACTCAGATGTGAGTTTCTATCCTCATAGGCTGCCTCTAACCTGATCTTCCTGTCCCCAACTGACAGGGCAGTTTTGAAACCATGAATAATAATTATAAATATTTGTTATGAATCTTCGGACCTGGAGAAAGTTTAAGCTTAGCTGGCATAAGCCTTGATGCACAGTCAGCTATAAACTGGGGAAGAGGGACACAGATGACGTCTTAGCACTTGGTCGGCCCAAGATAACTAAAAGGTAAGAAACAAGATGGTAAGTGTTACAGAATGTGTTCAAAATTCATAATAATCATTTTGATCTAACTCAGTAAGTTGATTTTTATTTACCTGAATGTGAAAGACTCCCCCTAAAGAGTAGCAAAATTAATGTAAACTAACATAATTAACATTGACCAGACAGTGGAGTTCTATGGATGGAGCAATCTCACAGTGTCTTAATGATAAAGAAGCTGTTTAAGGCATTCTTCTCATCTCTACTATCATGGTAGAGAAATATGGATTCCCCCACCCCAATTCTGAAAACAGTATGTACGTGGCAACAAATACACTAGATTGGCCCAGAATCTAGAACCTCAGAGAATAATACATAAATTCAAATGGCATAAGTTAGAAATTTCTCAGAAATATAGACAACATCAAATTTTTGGTACAAAGGCCATTTTACTGGTACATTTAATAAATGTTTATTAGCACCTATCATACAAGGCACAAAGAAGAGTAAAAGACCTCATGGATCTGACCAATTTGTGAAAGATTCATTAGAGGCAAAATGAATGGTCAGAGCAGCAGCCCCCCACATCAGAGCCATCCAACCAGATGTCCTAAAGTGCTGGCTGAGGGCAATTAACAAGTCCAGAAGGCCATTTAAATACACTGGGTGAGAACAAACTATTTTAGGTCCTACAACTTCCAGACCACTCTCCCATGGCCTCTTATCAAATGACTTCTTCCAATCACTTTCTAGAATGTAGAAGATAACTCATCGTCTCAGCCAGACTACATTTTCTAATACCCGATGATGTATAGTGGTAAATAAAGCCCTGGTCCACAATTTCTGTAACCATTAAGGGCTCCAGGGTGGCTTCAGTTCAGTGACAAATGAGCACCAATGTTGGCATGAATACCATGGGTCACTGTGAAAGAGTTTTTTTCCCTACATGGCTTCTCTGATGTTGAACAAGGTATGAAGTTCGAGTGAAACCTTTTCCACATGTGTCACACTGATAGGGTTTCTCACCAGTGTGGATTTTCTGATGTTCAATAAGACTTCTATTCCGTGTGAAACTTCTCTCACACTCATTACATTTATAAGACACGGGAGCCTCAGTATTTTCCCACTGGCTTTCCGTCCTACCCTGACTTTCCCAGGACTCCCCGTGCTCAGGATTCTGAACATTTTTATCACCATGAATCCTCTGATGTCTCAGGAGATGTGAATTCCGCCTAAAGGCTTTGCCACACATATTGCACTGGTATGGCTTCTCCCCAGTATGAATTTTGTGATGTTCAAGGAGGCTGCAGCTCTGGCTGAAGGTCTTCCCACAGTCATCACACTCATAGGGCTTCTCCCCAGTGTGGGTTCTCTGGTGTTTGATAAGGTTTGAGCTGTGACTGAAGACCTTACCACATTCTTCACACTCATATGGCTTCTCACCAGTGTGGACTCTCTGATGAATGACAAGGGCAGAGCTCCCAATGAAGGTCTTTCCACAGTCTTCACATTCATAGGGTTTCTCACCAGTGTGGATTCTCCTGTGTTTAGTCAGGCCTGAACTTTGAGCAAAACTCTTTCCACATTCATGGCAATAATGTCGCCTACTCCCTATGGCATTTTTCTGCTTTCTTTGTAACCTGCCCTCCTGTTCACCAGCTTCTGCATGTGTAGGAATCTGGGCAATGTCTTCCCTCAGGTGGCATATCTTCCCATGCTCCTTTTCTGGAAGCTTCTTGACTGGAGGCAAGTCCCTGCTCTTAGTCTGTATTTCACCACCTGAAACAACAAATGGCCGGCAACTGTGGGTTATGCCCTGCCATGGGAGGAAAGCTCTGTGATGAGTACTAGGGAGACAAGAATTACAGAAGTCTATATATGCCCAGGATGAGGATTTAAGTGCTAGAATAAGAATGGGAATAAAAAGGGAGAACAGGGGTGCTGGGGAGGAAGGAGGCCTGAGAATGAGAATGGGGCCATTGGAAGGGTACAAACTGGGAGTGGAGGGAAAATGGTGAGGACCCAGGACTATGCAGGGGACATATGTGATGGTTCTAAGCTCTAAGAATAGTAAGCAGGGCCATGCACCTAGGATTAGATTTTGAAAGGGGTGAGCAGAGGGTGACAGTAACAGGGCAAGTGGAAGGATTTCTGAAGCACCTGCAAGAAATGGCAAAAGCAAAGAAACTGGTGACTGGTGATCGATCAATGACATGGACCGTCATCTCTAACTGTGCCCAGGCAGAGGCAAAGTTCTCAAACAGAACTGGCATTGGCGCTAGGAGTTCTGAGGTAGAGCCCCCACTGTGCCACAAATAAGCTATGAGATTTCAAACAAGTGAGGTAATCTACGCCTCTGCACCCTCACCCCTAAGGTCAGGGTCTGTAGTTGATGTCTAAGGTTGCTTCTGGCTCTCACGTTCTGAATCCATGGCCCATTTCCTGAAGAGGCCCCCCCCTCCCCGCAGCTTTCCTCTTCAGTCAGGGATAGGAACAAGAGGACATCAACATTTACTGAGCATCTCCTATGAGCCAGACCTGTACAAGGAGTTGTATCAATTTCACCCCACTTATCCTAACTAGAACACTGGCATGACAGAGGAGAAAGCAAGGTCAGAAGGAGTAAGGAGCTAGTAGTCAGTAACAGGCTTTCAGGAATGGTGATTCTGAATCCAAACATAATGGGGGCTTAACAGCTTCTAACAGCCCAATAGGTTCTAATACGCAAAGAATGCCAAGAAATCTTAAGACAAATTAGTGTCTCAGTCTTACCAAGGGAGACCAGGCTGCTATGGTTCTCCTGCTTTTCATCTCTGTAGAGGTTCACCTGAGATGAATCCAGCTGTGTCCACCCAGGAGTGAGGGTCAGGGCCACATCTTCCATTTTCAGCAAACCCTAAAACAATAGGTAGTCCTAACTAGCTCCTCTTGCCCAAAATTACCCCCAAAGCAAAGAATGAACATCCCCTTTAAAGAGGCTCTTTAAAAAGGAGCAAGTGTGGCACACCTACACCAATTTAGCTTTATCTCTAATAACATCTTAATCAAGAAAACCTGCCAAATGAAAGAAATATTACACACATTTTAGGATAAGTACTTTCATATAAATATCTAAACAGTCCAGAAAGTAAAAAGGTTTGGAAGACAAGGGTCAATGCAGCAAAAGGAATGGAACTATGTCCAAAATTTTCAAAAGATTTGCAGTATGCTTTGGCAAAGTGAGAGTAGGGGTTCATTTACATTAATAGCTTCAAAAATACAATGAAATCTAGAACTGAAGTGAGAAAAATTAGGGGAAAAAAAGGATACTACACAGCCTCAAACACTGAGATCTTCAAGCAGGACAGGAAAGGCTGAGTAGTAAATTGAAATCTAGGTTGAGAAAAGATTGTTCATATTGTAATATAAATAACTTCAAGATAACTATGCCTTATCTGACCTTTCAAGTATAAGTTCTTTGAGGGCAAGGGCCAGGCCTTTATATCCCTCACCAACAGCACAGCTTATTGTATCTTAAAAAGCAAAACAGAATGACCATCCCAACAAAACCTTCAGTTTGCTTTTGCGGAACTGCCCTTGTTGAAGGAGAAAAATCACATTGAAGAAGAGGCTGACCGAAGAAATGTAGGAGGAAAGATCTGAGAAGTACAAAGAAAACTCCAAGGTTGTTGTGAAACAGGAAAGTCCTCTTAGGTGGGCACCAAAATGAAGGTGGACAATTATATGCAACTTTGGGATAGATGAGAAAACTCAAATTCATGTAGATCTAGGATAGGGGTGGGGTAGGACTGGGGAGGGAGGAACTTAATGCGGAGCCCAACAGTAGTGAAAGGTATGGGGCGCTGGGGAGGGAGAGGAGCTCCAGCTCACCTGGGACCCTGGAGTGAGCCTGGAAGCTACCATTGCATCTTCTCTGCAGCACCCTCCCTGGGCAAGCCCAGGAACCTGGAGAACTAAGAAAGAAAGAAGCTCTGGATGAGAACTACCCTAGTATTCAGCCTCCCCACCTTGCAAAATCCAAGTTCAAAAACTGGGGCAGTAAGTTCTTGCCAATAAGTTTATACAGAATGTGTTCCTTTCAAAAATGCCTGATTCCCACCAGCTCCAGCCCTAGGGCCGAAAGAAGTCTGGTGCACTCTGCAGATATACAAAAACCACGTGCAGAATCGTTGGTAGGAGTGGTGAAATGAATGCAACATAACAAAGCTTTCCATTTGAAGACCTTTGGGTTTTGAATTTTGCTAGGAGATGGGGAGTAAAGAGGGTTTTTTGTTTTTGTTTTGTTTTGGTTAAAATGTCTTTAGTAGATATTAGGATGCTTTCCACTTCAGGTATGAAAAACTAGGAGGAGGCCAGGCACAGTGGCTCATCCCTGTAATCGCAGCACTTTGGGAGGCTGAGACAGGTGGGTTGCCTGAGTTCCGGAATTCGAGACCATCCTGGGCAACCTGGAGAAACCTGTCTGAACCAAAATTACAAAAAATTAGCAGGTGTAGTGGCATGGGCCTGTGCTCCCAGCTACTCAGGAGGCTGAGGTGGGAGGATTGCTTGAGCCTGGGAGACAGGTTGCAGTGAGACAAGGTCTCACCACTGCACTCCAGCCTGGATAACAGAGTGAGACCCCCATCTCAAAAAAAAAAAAAAAAAAGAAAAAAGAAAAAGAAAAACTAGGAGGAGTCAAATAAGGCTGGGTCCAGAAAGGAGGCAATGGAAGACTGGAAGACTGCTTAAATAGAACTTGCTCAGACTCAGAAGCAGAAGAAACCTTAGGTTTCCCTACAATAAGTCAATTTGCAAGGGGCAGAAAATAAGTTGGTTTAGGCCAGAAACTCTGCTGAGAAATAAAGATTGCATGTTGGATGGCATGTCCAAGTGTTGTATGTCTTAGGAATCGGCCCAGATGTTCACAGCAGATGAGGAACAGCATGGAACACACAGCTGCTTCCTATTAAGTGATTTTCACTCTTCTAGTCACAGGCTTTACAGGGTTTAGATTTACACTCTTCTATTTGCAGCAGTCCTACTATCTCTGGAATGTTCTGGCTGGCTTTACAAATTCTGCCTTATTTTCTTCATAGCACTTAACAATATCTAAAATTATATTATTAATTTATTTTCTATCCTCCCTGCTAGAATGTAAGCTCCATCAAAGCAAGAATTCTGTCTTATTGGTGGCTCTCTCCCCAGTGCCTACAACACTGGCTACCATAGATGAAGGCTCCCTAAATATATCTAATGAATGGAGATCACCATGTTGTTTAAAAAACCGATTCTTTCTAGACATCAATTTTAATAAAATCAGATTTACTATGTCCTAGTTTGGTTAGGAAAGTTTTTCACCATTGTTTGAAATTTCTCTTAGTCTCAGTCTTAAAATACAGCTCTCTGTGATGAGTATATAAAGTAACTGTAAATGGATCTTTTAGGTGATCCTTAAATGAAATTGGATGAAGTCTATAGAATTCATACAACCCAGAAGAGAATACTCACCTCTATCGTGTAAGGGCTGGGATCCCAGAGATTCATGCTTGAACAGAGCCTTCATTGGCTGGCACTGGCTACTTTGAGACCCTTGAGTTTGTGTCAATAGTGCCATCTTGCAACAGAGCAGTTCTTGCCCCTGGTCACCAACGGGAACCTAGAAGTCACGATTTTTAGTTATCTACCCAACATTTCTATGTTTTCCATGTGCAAGTGATTTCTATTTTCTAGGCACTGTTTCTACAAGCCTTATGATATTAACACAATTAATATAGATAACAACCCTGTGAGCTATTATTTTGGATTTTTATGATAAGTTGCTGAAAACGGAGATGTGGCCCGGATCCTCTCTCCTGAGTGGACAGCATTTTTTTTGTTGTTGTTGGTTTTTTTGTTTTTTTTTTTTTGAGACGGAATTTCACTCTTGTTGCTCAGGCTGGAATGCAATGGCATGATCTCACCTCACCGCAACTTCCGCCTCCGGGGTTCAAGCAATTCTCCTGCCTCAGCCTCCCTAGTAGCTGGGATTACAGCCATGTGCCACCACGCCCGGCTAATGTTTTGTACTTTTAGTAGAGACCGGGTTTCTCCATGTTGGTCAGGCTGGTCTCGAACTCCCGACCTCAGGTGATCCGCCCACCTCAGCCTCCCAAAGTGCTGGGATTACAGGCGTGAGCCACTGCACCCAGCCAAGGGTGGACAGTGTTTAAGCAGCTTGCCCATGTCACCCAGCTAATAAGTGGAAATGCTAGGATGGGAGCTCAGACAGAATGACTCCAGATCCCGTGTTCTTACCATTACTCTAGGCTCCCTCATTATATACATCTGTGTGTTTACGAAAACCCTTTGGACACTGGTGCTAAATTCTCAATACTAATATATTTTCTAATCTGAAAAATGAGGATAATAATTTCTACTTTATGAGGTTTTGGAGACCAGTAAATAAGATCACAGTATGTGACATCACCTAACACAGGGCCTGGCACATAGTTATGTCCTCATTAAAAGCAGGTTTCCTTCCAGACATTGATAGTTAAATTACAGTTTTCAAGTTACTGTCTCACGTGCAGCTCAGAATTTCCCACATATTTTATGAAGAATGAAGCTAAGAGATTTGCAATGACTTCCCACTGCTACAGGGCTTGCGTGCAATAGACCTAAGTCAAGAACCTTGGTATCCAGCTCACCAGTTAGAAGATTTGGCCACACAGGTCCTCTGAAGTTGTGTGCACAGGGACACAGGACGATGCAAAGAGGAAACAGTCCCTCATAAAACAGGGAAGAACATGGAGGTAAAAATAGGCCCACTTTCTACCAGAGGTTCATAACCAGTGGTCCATGGACTTTCTCCCAAGTGGTCCATGAACTTAGAAAGGACAAAAACTAATCTTATTTTTACTGGTCTTTAAGAGAGAGTTAACATTTCCTTCAATTATGAATGGAAGCAACAAATCAAGGTAGCATAAGCAGTACCCAGGACTTTGTCACCAACAAAACCTGCACGTTTTCACACCACATTACAACCAGGCAAATAGATGCTTATCGCCATTTTGAAATTGCCAATTATAAGCCCTGTCCCTAGGTCTTATTATTTAGTGCAGTAATAAAAATCCACATATATGACTTTAATACAAATTTAATTCTTTGCTAACTGTATGTCAATATAGTTGTGTTCTTTTGTAATCCTTTATAGTTTCTTTATATATTTAAAAATATAATTCTGAGAAGGAGTCCAGGGACTTCACCTTACTGCCAAGGAGGTTCACAGTACAAAAAGAGATGAAGAACTCCTGGACCTTAAAGGAATGCCCCTCGCTCCGATCTGGGATTTCAGGAGGAAACAGACCACAGCGCTCAGATACTAAACCTGTTCTTTCTACCTGCGGCGCCGGCTCATCCAGCTGCCTCTCCAAATACTCCAATAGCACCACCACCTCCTCCCCGCTCTCTGGATGCTGCTCCCGCACCCAGCTCTGCAGATTCCCCGGCAGGATGGTCAGGAACTGCTCCAGCACCAGCAGCTCCAGGATCTGCTCCTTGCTGTGCATCTCAGGCTGCAGCCATTGTCCGCAGAGTTCTCGGAGCCGGCTCAACGCCTCGCGGGGGCCCGCAGCCTCCGGGTAGCGGAAGCCTCGGAAGCGCTGGCGGGAGCGTTCGGGGCCCCGAGCAGGGCTGCAGGGTGCTCTCACCTCCGCCGTCAAGGCGGAGGCTTCCTCCTTCTCCACCTTCACGGTCAGGAGCCCCGTCTGGTCTTCTGCAGACTGGGCGTCCAGGGCTGCGTTTTTTCTCGGTTCTCTAGCCATTCTGACCCAAGGCAGTACTCGGGTCTCACTCTAGTTGCGACCTGTATATCTTCAGAGGATTCTGGAAGGGTGGTAAATTTTCCAGTAGAACTGCAAGTGGTCCCCCTCCTGTCATGCCCAGGGGCCCAGGACACCCCCTGAGGCGCAGCTGCACAGATCTCTCTTATAGTCCGTGCCTTTGCAGGGTCGTCCTCTGCACCCCACTCTGAATCCCACAGTAAGTATCACCAAAGGATGTCTTTGGGAGTGAAAGTGATCACTCTCCAGACATAGGAGGGAAGTTGAGGCTGGGGCACAGGAAGTCTCGATGGGAACTAAGGCCACTTCCTGGGCGCTCTAGGAAGCTTCTCTCGGTGGTTGTCTCCGAATTAACCCATTAGCTACCCTGTCCTTACCTCCACGCAAGGGAAGGCAGTTAAGGGATAGAGAAGGAAAGGATGACAGACCTTGGATCATAAGAAATAGGACTGAGCCTTTAAATCCTGGAAGGATGCCGCTGCGGCTCATATTTCTTTCCTATGTAAAGCTTGCTTAAGCAGCTGGCATAAAATTGACACTAAAATTGAGCTGGAAAGCAGGGGTTCCCCAGAGCCCCAAGAACCCTGGCAGGGGGACCTTTAGTCTCTCTCAGAAACATCAAAGCAGCAGAACACATCACCAGGCACTTGCCTGGAGCGAGCAGTGGCTGCCCTTGGTCCTTCCCCACTCACCCCCTTAATCTGTCACTTTTTTTCCTCCTCCTTAAGGCCAGACTACTCCTCCCGACCCTGACTGTAGCCCTCACCTCCCACTAATCCTCAACACACTGTCCCACTCCCCCACTCACCACTTTGCACATTCCATGGCTGCTTCTCTGGCAATCAGGCTTATGCTGCTCTCCACCTCCAGAAACTCTCTAGTCTCTGGCTTCAGGGACCCCATTCTCTTCTGCTTTCTTCCTTCCTGTTTCTTCCCAGCCCCCAATCACAGTCAAGCACAGTGGCTAGATACGCAGGTAGCCAGGTTACCTGTGTAATCCTGGCTTACCCTCCCTGTGCCCGACTTTTCCAATCTGTAAATAGGGAAAGTAATAGTAGATAGGGATGTTGTAGGCATTACTAGGGATTAGATAATGTTGTGAGCACTCTTGTGTAAAGTGCTTAGAACAGTGCCTGGCATGTGATAAACTAGGCCTATCCTATAATAGAAGAAAGCCCTGAGAATTCTTTGAACTAGATGGGACTCGATTTTAAGCCATAATTGACTGTAAGTTATTTGACTGGACACTTCAGTAAGCCCCTTTCTGCCCAGTGGAATGGAGAAGCTACAAAATGCAAGTTCAGTAGTTTATGAGGGGAAAAAATATCATGTCAGTACTTTCTTGAGTTTTTCTTTCTTTGCCTATGCCTCTACATTCCAAGGATTAAGAAATAACATAACTTAAGAAAATGAGAAGTCCCAAAGACTGTTGCAAATGAAAAATACTACAAAATATCTTTCTCTTGATGAGCTACCACAGAAGGTAGGGGGCACTGCCCATGAAGTATCCTTATAAGTGAACTTGAATCTAAGTACTTTTCTAGATCCAAATATTTACAGAAATAAGTTAAGTTAGCAGTTTTCACACTCTGTGTCACACAGAATCACTGGGGAGCTTTTAAAACATCCTGATACCTAGGCTGCAACCAAGATCAATTAAATCAGAATGTCACAGGATGGGACTCAGGCATTAATAACATTTTTTGGTTGTTTTTGTTTGTTTTGCGACAGAGTCTTGCTGTGTCACCCAGGGCTGGAGTGCAGTGGCGCAATCTTGGCTCACTGAAACCTCCACTTCCTGGGTTCAAGTGATTCTAGTGCCTCAGCCACCCGAGTAGCTGGGATTACAGACATGCGTCACCATGCTGGTCTCAAACTCCTGGCCTCAAGTGATCTGCCCACCTCAGCCTCCCAAAGTGCTGGGATTACAGGTGTGAGCCACCACGCCTGGCCAACTTTCCTAGGTGATTCCAACATGCAGGTGAGTTTGAGAGTTAAGGAATTAAATGACACTTTAAAAAATCAATCAGCCAAATCCAACATGTGGGACATTCTATAGAACAGAATGATGCAGGACAAGTGAGCCCCAAAATTAGGGCTTAGCTCAAAAGGATGCTTTGCTTCGCCCAGGGAAGAGTTCAAGGGCAAGCCAGTGGTATTAGGCAGCAACTTTTATTGAAGTGTCAGTGTACAGCAGCAGCAGAGGTACTGCTCCTTACAGAGCAGGGCTACCCCCTAGGCAGTGTGCTCAGACTAGCAGCTCAAAAGCAGTTCTGCAGTCACATTTATACCTACATTTAATTATATGCAAATTAAGCACCAGATTATGCAGAAATTTCTAGAAAAGGGGTATTACCTTCTGAGTCACTTGGTCATGGCCATGGAAAGGGGTGGCAACTTCCCTGTGTTGCCATGGCAATGGTAACTGACATTGCACACTGGTGGGTATGTCTGGTGGAGAGGTGATACTGCCTCTTCCCTCTTTTAGCTAGTCCTCAATTTGGTCAGGTGTTGGAGCCCCACTTCTGGAGTTGAATTCTGCCTCCTACCTCATTCCTCCCTCAGGGATTAGATATGCCTTCTTAATTTTAAGCAGGCTGCAGAAGGGCAGTGGTCCATCTTCTGTAACTGCTTCCTGCTTAGTTTATGGGCATAGGCCCTGCCTAGCACTGGAAGAGTAAAAATCTCTGGATACCATATCTAAAGGCGGGATGCTTTTATTTTCTGGGTCAGTAGATGGGATGGGTTGGAAGCCCTGCGACGGCATTTTCTTTATCTGGAACTGTTGTAATTTAGAAGACACAGATTTTATAAAGACGTTAAACAAGCAAGGGCCAAAGATTAGTAATAACAAGATGGCTATTAAAGGTCCTAGGAGAGATAAAAACTAGGTGAGACTTTGTATGGCACTTCTGATAATTGACCAGATATAGTTGGGTTCAGTGCCCTGATTATAGATATGTAACCCGGTATCTTGCTTATAGATCTTGTGAATGTTAAATTCAACCTGTTCAGAGTTGTTACTACATGTGCAGCAGGTTTTATTAATAATTGCACAGACTCCATCTTGTTTGGCTAGTAAATAACCTATACATTTGGGCTGGCAAGTCAGGGGCTCTTCTCTGGGCATTCCAGACACCCATCTTGTGACACTATTTCAGGATGGGTAACCCTCAGGGGTCAGGGGACTTAAAGCATTTGCTAATAATTGCACTTTTTGGCTATTGTTAAATCTCTTTTGCCCTGTCCCTATTGTTGTAAACTTTAAAGGCCATATTTAAATGGCTCATAGGGGTTTGAGGTCCTATTGCTGCTTTTTATAGCTTTCTCCTAGGATAAGGGGCAGATTGAGTAATAAAATGCATACCTAGGAGAGCTTGTCCTTTTTGGGAGTCTGAGTCTGCATTAGTATATGTCCTGAGTGTTTCACCAAAATGACCCTGAAATAGAGTGGGATTTTCTCATTTTCCCTGAGTTATTTCTTTAACCTTGTCATAAATGACTGGCTTAACCACACAATTTTTCCTTACCTTTTTTCTTTTCATGGCACAGCAAGCAAATGACAATACTTGCAAGTCATGACAAGTTAAAGAATATGGTAAAATGTATAAGCCTTTTTTTTTGATTCTCTGAAAACTGGCCAAATTTTTCCTTGTATAAAGCCAAATTAGAGATAGACAATGCCCCATGTACTCTAAGTGTTCCTCCATTTCCATCAGCTACCTCCTGCAATGGACATAGGTTTGACTTTAGGGGCTTATATGGGGCCCTACTCCTGGTGGTCCTGGTTGGGCTTACTTTTTTGGGCCCTGGGGGGTAAAGGCTGGGGGTAGTTGGATAAGGGAAAGGGGTGCCTGATGACCTTGAGTTAGAATCCTTCATTAGAAAACTAATGGGACTACTCTCAGAATAGGATTAAGGAGACTTCAGACAGGGCATAGGATGATATTGTGATTATGAAGGAAAATGTCCTTTTTATGCATTCATGACTGAAATAGTTAGAGGTGAAGCATCATAATGTCTGCAATTTTCTTTCAATTGAGTAAGAAACCAAATCGTAACAACTAGTGAATCTAGGTAAATGATATATGGGTGTTTGAACTTTTCTGTAGGTTTGAAAGTTTTTAAAATAAAAATTGGGAGCTGGGCATGGTGGCTTATGCCTGTAATGCTAGCACTTTCTGAGGCTGAGGTCAGAGGGTCACTTGAGCCCAGGAGTTCAAGACCAGCCTGGGCAACATCTGTCTAGAGACAGGGTCTAGTTCTACAAAAAATCAAAAATCAGTTGAGCATGGTGGCACACAGCTGTGGTCCCAGCTACTCAGGAGGCTCAAATGGAAGGACCACTTAAGCCCAGGAGGTCAAGGGTACACAGTGAGCCATGATAGTACCACTCCACTCTAGCATGGGCAACAGAGTAAGACCCTGTCTCAAAAAATAATAAAATAAAATAAAAACTAGAGGAAAGATTTATGAAAAACAATTTTGAGAAATTTTAAGAAAGGTAGTAAAAGGTTACCTGTGAGAACAATTCCATTTTAGCTGAGCATTCAACATCTGGTACTTTCCTTGATAATTAAAATGTATTGTTATTTCAAAAACTGTCCCTATTTTCTTAAAGTTCTTCAAATATATTTCTATGCTGTATGCAAATGAACATTTGCTCATCTATAAATAAAATTTAGAAAATAAAAGCCCATCCTCCCATTAAAAAGGTATGGTAGGCATTTATTTTTATCCCTATAAGCATACTTTTTGCACCACTGCTTTTTCTGCTAAGTCAGGGGTTAGCAAACTGCTGCCTACAGACCAAAATTGCCCCATGGCCTGTTTTTTAATGGTCTGAGTGAGGAATTATCTTTATATTTTTTAATGGCTTGGGGAAAAATCAAAAGAATAATAAAATTTAGTAACGTGAAAATCATATGAAATTCACTTCAGTGTCTATAAATAAAGTTTTGTTGGAACACAGCCATATTCATTCACTTACATATTGTCTATGGCTACTTTTGACCTACAAGGGCAGAACCCTAATTAAGCAAAATGTTATTCATCCAAAAAACAATTTCATTCTTCCCATTAGAAAATATGCATTGCAAAATTATACTCAATTATTATAGTTTGAATAATAATATAATTATATTGCATCAATGAAAATGTGCTTTTTCTTTTGTTATAAGTATGTAATATACACCATGGAATACTATACAGCCATAAGAAAGGAATGAGATCATGTTCTTTGCAGGCACATGGATGAAGCTAGAAGCCATTATCCTCAGCAAACTAACACAGGAAGAGAAAACCAAACACTGCATGTTCTCATAAGTGGGAGTTTAACAATGAGAACACATGGACACAGCGAGTGGAACAACACACACAAGGGCCTGTGGGGGGTGGAGGATGGGAGGGAGAGCAGCAGGACAAATAGCTAATGCATGTGGGGCTTAAAACCTAGATGATGGGTTGATAGGTGCAGCAAAGCACCATGGCGTGTGTATACCTATGTAACAAACCTGCATGTTCTACACATGTATCCCAGAACTTATAATAAAAATTAAAAAAAAACAGTTATCTCTTCCTTGGAATAATTGAACAAATTGTTGATTATGCTTTATCATTTAAAATAAATGTATATTTTGTCTTAAAAAAAGTATGTAATAATATCCTCAATTTTGCCTCTTGGCCCACAAAGCCTAAAATATTTACTATTGGCCTTTTGCAGAAAAGGATTGCCAGCCCCTAGTCTAGGTCATAACTTTTCTAAAGATCAAAAATATATTCTAAATTTCATTTTCCTGTGTCGCTACCTGAAAGAAGTATTTCATCAACCAGCTTTGTAATTCAAGTCTACATCAGATACTAAATGGCTTAAATTTACAATTATCCAAGTAAGACATATCCATTTCATTGGCCTATCAAGTAGTTTATAACTCCAAAAGAAAATTTTCTTTACTTACACAAACTCTATAGTACTCACCCTATCCATATGATATTTTCACTATACATGTGACCATTCACATATAATACTCCCTGCTGTTTACCAGTTCCTAAATTCATATAATTTATGTATGGAACCAATTCTTATCCCCTTCAATCAAAGTACTAAAATTCTACTTAGAGCAAATGATATGATTTGGTCTTATTCAATTTAATTTCCCCCATTTTGTTGTTTAGAGTTCTAGCATCAGGAAGGCATCATTCTTAAGTTTTGACCTGGCTGTCAAACAACTGAGCAGATCAACTTAATTAGAGAGAACCAAGATGATGTTAATGCCTATTTACATTTTAAGATGAGAGATAAATGATCTTGCATAAAACGTTTATCATTTCTGAGAGTGAGATCTAATGTGTATCGAGAAAGTGGTTTCCAAACTACAAAGTTTCTGAAGAAGTCTCCCTAGATAGAAAGACATCTGTCTACAAGATCGAGTGGGATGCTTCTGTGTGTTTCTAGGGTGGAAAAGTCTGTGAATTTAATAATTAAAATCATGACTCTGGGCCGGGCATGGTGGCTCACACCTGTAATTCCAGCACTTTGTAAGGCTGAGGTGGGAGGATCGCTTGAACCCAGGAGTTTGAGACCAGACTCAGAAACAAAGTGACAACGGTCTCTACAAATAATTATTAAAAAAATCAACCTGGCGTGGTGGTGGGCACCTGCAGTCCCAGCTCCTCGGGAGGATCTCTTGAACCTAGGAAGTCAAGTCGGCCCTGAGCCATGATCGTGCCACTGCACCCCAACCTGGGCGACAGAGTGAGATCCTGTCTCCAAAAAAAAAAAAAAAAAGTACGACTTTGGCCTTCACCTAGCTTAGAGGGTGAGCTCAAACTGATTCCAAAAGAAGTTTTGGTTCTTGCTTCCAGTGGTAACAAGGGGGGTTGGGAAGTGATTAATTAAACATATTTCCTCCACGAAGAGGGTGGACAAGTTCCTTTTTTAGGAAGGAAAAAAGGAGGAGCGTTGGTAGTAGGGATCTTCCACAGAGGGGTAAAGTTAAGGAGGTGGAAATGAAAGGGAAGAACAAAGGGTGAGAAGCAAAATGGTAAAAGCGAAATCGAAAAAGAGAAGTGGGTGTTCCAACAGTAGAGGGGATCATTGACGCAAATTCGTCCTTTTATGTTCCCACACGGCTCAAGTTGGGGAATATAAGTCCTAAAAACAGGCGCACCCTAATCCTACCTACTTCCCACAAGAAGCCTTCACGCAGCCAAGGCCCGCCCCACATAGCACACGCGCGGATTCGTTTTCCGTTTGGTAACTGACAGGAAGCGGAAGCCGTGCGTGGGAGGCCGATTCTAGTGCGCCTGCGTGGCCGCGAATCACCAGCCAGCCTCTGGGTCTGTAGCAACCGCCCAGCGTTGAGGCGCGGCTCATGCCCCCAGTATCCCGGTCCAGCTATTCCGAGGACATCGTGGGCTCTCGGAGAAGGCGACGCAGCTCCTCGGGGAGCCCACCATCCCCGCAGAGCAGATGTTCCTCTTGGGATGGCTGTTCCCGCTCTCACTCCCGCGGCCGTGAGGGCCTCAGGCCTCCTTGGAGTGAGTTGGACGTGGGCGCTCTTTACCCCTTTAGTCGCTCTGGGTCGCGAGGGCGGCTCCCAAGATTCCGCAACTACGCCTTCGCGTCCTCCTGGTCGACCTCGTATAGTGGATATCGCTACCATCGTCACTGCTATGCAGAAGAACGGCAGTCAGCGGAAGACTACGAGAAGGAAGAGAGCCATCGGCAGAGGAGGCTGAAGGAGAGAGAGAGGATTGGGGAATTGGGAGCGCCTGAAGTGTGGGGGCCGTCTCCAAAGTTCCCTCAGCTAGATTCTGACGAACATACCCCAGTTGAGGATGAAGAAGAGGTAACGCATCAGAAAAGCAGCAGTTCAGATTCCAACTCGGAAGAACATAGGAAAAAGAAGACCAGTCGTTCAAGAAACAAGAAAAAAAGAAAGAATAAGTCGTCTAAAAGAAAGCATAGGAAATATTCTGATAGTGACAGTAACTCAGAGTCTGACACAAATTCTGACTCTGATGATGATAAAAAGAGAGTTAAAGCCAAGAAGAAAAAGAAGAAAAAGAAACACAAAACAAAGAAAAAGAAGAATAAGAAAACCAAAAAAGAATCCAGTGACTCAAGCTGTAAAGACTCAGAAGAGGACTTGTCAGAAGCTACCTGGATGGAGCAGCCAAATGTGGCAGATACTATGGATTTAATAGGGCCAGAAGCACCTATAATACATACCTCTCAAGATGAAAAACCTTTGAAGTATGGCCATGCTTTGCTTCCCGGTGAAGGTGCAGCTATGGCTGAGTATGTAAAAGCTGGAAAGCGAATCCCACGAAGAGGTGAAATTGGGTTGACAAGTGAAGAGATCGGTTCTTTTGAATGCTCAGGTTATGTCATGAGTGGTAGCAGGCATCGCAGAATGGAGGCTGTACGACTGCGTAAGGAGAACCAGATCTACAGTGCTGATGAGAAGAGAGCTCTTGCATCCTTTAACCAAGAAGAGAGACGAAAGAGAGAAAGTAAGATTTTAGCCAGTTTCCGAGAGATGGTGCACAAAAAGACAAAAGAGAAAGATGACAAGTAAGGACTTACTTGTTGCACAGCAGGAATTTTAACAACAAAAATTTTATGTGACCAAAAGTGTTAAAAGGCTTTACAGTGCTACTGTACTTACCATATTAGTAAGTCCCTCAGGAAAAAGCTTCTTTTGAGATATCTTTAGCAGCTTATTTTTTGTTATTTTAACTTTAAAAAGTAATATGTGCACATGGTTTTAAAAATATTCAACCATTATAGGAGGAGAGTTAGTAAAAAGTGAATCTTTCACTTTAGCCCCTGACACCTTTCCCCCAAAAATATATATTTTGGTGTCTTATATACAGAATATACATTCTGTGCATATACAAGAGTATATGTTGCAGCATAAAGATTAAAAGCTATTAAAGTTTTTTTTCGCTCGTTACTCTTTTGCCATTCATTTGCCCCGGGGGGACCAAAAGAAGCCCAGAAAGAACAAAGGATTCAATCAAGTGTATACTTCTACTTTCAGTTAATAGACTGGCTTAGAAAATAGAAAAGATTTAGTGGCTCTTACAAATGAAAAGTCTAGAAGAAGGATGGATTTTCTGCATGGCTTTAATTGGACATTGGCTTTCTTCTCCACTTTTTTTCCAAGGGTCATTTTCCTTGGGCTGGTTTCCCTTATATAACAAAAAGGCTGCCAAAGCTCCTGATTTTGGTTATCTTTTTTCTGGTCCATCTCTGAAGAGAGAACATTTCTTAGTTGCTAATCCAAACAAGAATCCAGAGATTCACCATAATGGGATAAGCTTGGGTCACATGCCCACTCAAAACAAGTGTTGTTGCTTAGGAAATAGAATGGCTTATCTGTGGAGTCATAGACCAGTTATAGAGGAATGGATTCTTGAATGAAAATCAGGGTAATTTTGGGCAAGGGGGATAGACAACCATAGACGCGTACTACAGTTTCGAATGCTTTTTTAAAAAACGTATAATGAAAGTACATGTGCTAAAAGTGAACATTTTCTTGAAGAAAAACTTGGCTTCGACTATTAGAAGTCAGATTCTAATTTAAGAGGATATAGGGTTTATTCATAAAAAGAGATATAAAAGATGGAGATCAGAGTGCTTGAGTAGATTAGGGCCACCTAGACTAGCAAGAGAAAGAAAAAATGATAAGGTATAAAGAAGAAGGCCCAGGCATGATGGCTTGCCTGTAATCCCAGCACTTTCGGAGACTGAGGTGGGAGAATTGCTTACGGCTAGGAGTTCAAGAGCAGCCTGAATAACAGCGAGACCTAGTCTCACACACACACACACACACACACACACACACACACACACACACACACAGATGTTAGGTTGTGAAGGGAAGACAAGGGTTAAAGAAAGACATACACACAGAGGGCAGTTCAACAGGAAATGCAGGCTTTATGTCCAGCATAACACCTACAGAGGTGGGGAACCAGCCTAATGCCAGTGCCCACCACCGCTTACAGGCTGGGGTACTTATAGGCCTAGGTGGGAGGGGTCTGGGCAGTATGGCTTGCTGCTATGTACTGCTATGTGTTGGTAAGGTGTTCCCACGATGAGGCAGTTTGGCTCTTGTTCCCACAGAATGTGATGTTCCTTGCACTTTTTCCCAGCAGAATATGATAAAAGGCAGGCTGTTTCTCACAGCCCGAACCCCCGTGGAATGATTCACTTTGATCAAGGTCTGAGAAATGGTGGGAGACTTACAAAATGATGCAGTTGGAACTAACAAGAGAGAAAGAACTAGAAGAAGAATAAGGTAGTTGGCAGAACTCATGAGGAGGAGACCAGATCAGGAGGGACCACAAGGACAGGAGAATTAGCAACGAGAGACTGGCTGGCACCAGTCTTGGGAAAACTTCAGAGTGAGCTCCATTCATGGTCTATTAAAAGGCCTTTGTTGTCATTCAGTGATATGTGCCTGGCCCCTGAGACTTTAATTCAACACTAGCCAAACTATCTCATTTGGATAACCCCCTTTTCAAAGTTCAAAAGACTGATTAGCCCCCACAGAACTGAAGGTGAGGAAATGGGGTTCTAGAATCTGGCAGGGCAGTGTGATGTGGAAGGGCACATTTACCCTTCCACAGGATGTGACATGGCTGATACTGGACCACACCACCTTGAGATTTTCGCCAAAGGGTGTTGTGGCATATTGGTGATAGACATGCTGTTACATGTGCGTATTTCCATTTTTAGAACAAACTATACCACATGATACACATGGATTGACACCTTGCTCTTTTCAATTAATACATCCTGGAGATGTTTTATATCAATACATATGAATCTTTCTTTCTTTTAGATAATCTTGTAGTATTCCATTATATGAAAGCACCGTATTTTGTTGGATGGTTAAGATGTTTTTCTGTATTTTACTGTCACAGAGTACTATATTGAAAGCCTCTGTGGATATGTGACAGTATATTTGTAGCATATTCAACTAAAAATAGATGAATATTAGGTCAAAAAGAATCCTTTTGGTCATCTAGAAATGCTAACCTCAAAATAGAATTATTGAAACAAAGGGAAAATATCAGGTGCTTTCTATGTATTAGGCACTATGGCTGGTACTGAGGATAAACCAAGAAACAAGTTAGACTTGCTCCTTGCCATCATAGAATTTTACATTTTACTGGGGGAGACAGACTTATAAAAGCCAACAGGCAAAAATTACAAATTACAGTATGATGTGAAAAAAGTAACGGGCTAGAGACAGAATTGGGGGGAACTTTTTTGATATAGTGGTCAAGGAAAGACTAAGAATGCCAGATTTAAGCTGTGTGTGCTTTTAAATTTTAGTAGATATTGCAACACCACCTTCTATGTTTACACACTCACCAACATCATCACCAATATTGTATTTTCAAACCTTTTGATCTTTCCCAATCTAAGGTGAAAATGGCATTTTATTTGTATTTATTATTAAAAGTAAGATAGAGCATCCTTTCATAGATGTATTTACGAGTCTTTTGAAATTCTTTTGTGTGTATGTGAACTGCTCCTCTGATAACCTTTGTCCACTCTTCTATAGCGTTGTTGGTCTTTTTTCTTAACTGGTCATAAAAACTCTTTAATAAATTAGATCTTTATCAAATATCTTGCAAATATATCTCCGTGTTATTTACCTTTGACTTGTTTTTCTGAGAGACACTTGACTGTAATGCCCGTTAAAGCCTAAAAAGGTTTTCTAACAGTGGCCAAACAAATATCTTTATCTTTCTCGCTTGGAAGAAGATGCAGCTGAGAAACTGACTTCTAAGTAAGCCAAGGTAAGATCGGTGAGCTTCTTTCCCAGAAAGATAAAATACACACCATGCAACAAATAGTATGTCTAATGCCTACAGTGGAATACTCATGATAGCTTTTTTGCTGTAGTTATGCTTAACTTGCCATTTAATGTTGCTATTAGAGAGGGACTTGGCCAATAAATCTGCCTTAAAAGAGATTTCAAGAGTTGGAATATGACTGCAGATCACTGTTGTCTCAGGGGAGCTAATAAAAAGGGTTACAACTTTTCCTTTGAAGTAGTTTTGCCCAGAGTATGTAGCTATGGATTGTGAAATAGAAGAAAAACAGTATAACGAAAATTTTGTATTACGTTTACATTTCAAGAAACCATCAGAATCACTTTATTATTTCACTCTGCTCAAGCAGGAAGTTGAACAGATCAAATAACTTGTCTTAGCCACTAGAGTTACACTGAGTTTTATTCAGTGCTGAGAAACAGCCTAAGAAAGCAAACTAGTGAGGCTGTGCTGATTTACAATTGATACATTTTATGAAATAGCATTAATGTTCTCACAGACCATCATTATATGACTTTGTGGAATTATCAAAAGTAGTGTTTCACAAAATATAAAAATCTCCCACTGGCATAAGGGGTCTAATGTGTATTTCATGTTTGTTTGTTTTAAAGTTCTGTAGCACAAGGGAAGGTGTTTCTTAACCTTAGCCACCAGCAATTTAGGGAGTAAGAAATCATACATTTAGCAAAATTGCTCTTTTTATTCTTAGCCTAACGAATTCAGCTAGACTTTAATCTGAATTTATGGGGGATATGTCTAAGATTTCACCATCAAATATAAGGGAGGTTTTTGGTATATTTGAGATGTATTTATTTTTGCCTTATAAAGGAATCATCCATCTATTTATTTTTTATTAGGAGTTTCTGCTTTTAGTCAGAAATATATGTTGAGTTTTATGAAATGACATTGTAGCATTTGTGGAGATTATATGATTTTTCTTTATCAGCCTAATATGGGTGACTTAAAGTTATAGGTTCCTAATATTAAGCTATAAATTTGTTAGATTCATTTGTAGGCTTTGATTGTTTAGAACGATCACTGGACAAATAACTTATTTTAAAACTCAGAGTAATGAATGAGACCTTGCTGTATACGTATAAGAAGCAGAGAGAAGAGCAGGAAGCATCATTACCAGAAGATAAGAACTGTAAATCTTATGCTGGAGCATGGTGACATGACTCATAATGCGATAGCATCTCTACTGATAATATGGAAAAGAAAGTTCTTATCTTGAATATCGTATGAATGGACCTGGCAGAAACATGATCACTATAGTTTACAAAAATAAGGATAATCCTGGAAAATGAAAACCTCAAGTTTGAAAATTGATTTGTATTTTAGTATTTTGTCTCTCCTGGTGATAACAGTGTTTTGAGTTATTCTCACCTTATCTACCCCTACCCCTCCCAAAAGGTACAAACAGACTGTTTAAATGAAAAATGCACACCTTGAAAATTTAAAAAAACTCTTCTTTGTCTAGCTACTTTAAAGGTTTTGATTTTCATGGGATATCCAGTGCAATGGCAATAATCTCAGCCTTGACAATAAAAGTGACAGATTTAAGAAACTAGTCATAGTAGGGAATTTTAGAGGGGGAGTAAATAGGATATAGTATTTACTTTCTATTTAAATTAAATTTTCTTTATGTTTATCCCTTATATAATTTTTGAAAAGGTCCTTTTCTAGATATTAAAAAATAAGATATATGAGTTTTCCTCTCAAGAAAGAATATTGACTTCTAATTAGTAACACATATTGACTAGATTTGTTGGCCTTATGAAAAGTTTTAAAGTAAACATATTTAATTTTTACTTTAAAAATATGCTTTCAAAGATACATTCAGACACTTAAGAAGAAAAGATAACTGCTTGTGATAATGAAACTGGTTGTTTTTTTTCTGTTATGATAATTTCAATGCTTGAAACACTGAATAAATTACACGTCAGTACAATGTTTTGTATATTTAATGATATTTCAAAGCTTCTGTCAACTGATCAGTTAAACACAAAAGTTTGTTCAGATTTTTTAAAGGTTTTTTTTTCTTTCTTCCAACTTTTGTTTTAGGTTCAGTGGGTACATGTGCAGGTATGTTACATGAATAAAGTGCATACTGCTGGGGTTTGGTGTACAAATGATTTTGTCACCAAAGTGGTAGCATAGTACCTTATAGGTAACTTTTCAATCTTCACCTTCCTCTCACCCTCCACCCTCAAGAAGTCCTTGTGTCTGTTGTTCCCATTTGTGTTCATGTTTACTGAATGTTTAGCACCCACTTATAAGTAAGAACATGCAGTATTTGGTTTTCTGTTCCTGTGTTAATTGGCTTAGGATAAATGGCCTCCAGCTGCATCCATGTTGCTGCAAAGGACATGATCTCATTCTTTTAGCTGCATGATATTCCATGGTGTTATGTACCACATTTTCTTTTTCCAGTCCACCACTGATGGGCATCTAGGTTGATTCCATGTTTCTGCTATTGTGAAAAGTGCTGTGATGAACATACACATGCATGGTCTTTATGGTAGAACAGTATATTCCTCTGGGTATATACCCAATAATGGAATTGCTGGGTCAAATGAGAGCTCTGTTTTAAGTTCCTTAAGAAATTTCCAAATTGCTTTCCACAGTGGCAGAACTAATTTACATTCCCACTAGCAATGTATAAGCATTCAAAGAGTTTATCTTATTCAAAAACTATAAAAACCCAGTTTGTGATACTGTGGGCAAGAGAGACTATTTCTGTTCTCTGTTGTAGAATTTATTTTGATAAAGTGATATCTGTTGCTTTTATTCCCCCTGAAACTTACATTGATTGCAAAGTGTTGTTGATTTATTTTCTCTCACAGTAATAGCCCTAATTTCTTCTTACCTTAAACCTTTCAATCCAAACGTATGTCCATTGTTTAGTTTAATTTTCGAAATACTTTGACAATTATTTTTGCCATTGTGTTTGATGAATTTCTAAATTGCGAAAAATGGCGAAGTATGTGTGTTTTATTTATGTGAGCAAAGTGAAAATGTTGGCTGTTTGTGATAACACTCAACGGAGCTGGCCTGTTTTTACATGAATAAAATAAACATCCACTTTAAAATGAGAAAACAAAAACAAAAACAGAAACAAAAAAAAAACCCCAACAATCTTAGCTCACAACGAAATGACCCTCCCAGCCGTCCTCAGCAGGCAGCACCCATGTTAGTCTCCTTCTGCGATGCCTAAGCGGCAGCACCATCGAGCCAAGGTCCTCCAGCGTTCCTAGAGCGGAGAAGAAAGCGCTCCGAAGAGCTAGAGCTGACACTCGGCGATGAGCTAAGACGCTGTTTCAGAGCGTTTGGGTCCTCTGAGGCCCCTTGACCAGGTGAGCGGACCCTGGAGCTGGGCCCCGGGCTGGGGCGGAACTGCGGCCTAGGGGCCTAGGGAGCAGCTGCTTCCCGGCGGGTGCAGAGAATCTTCCCTCGACCGAGGGGGCGGGGTCCGTAGCGGAGGTGTCGGCCCTGGGGCCTATGAGAGTGATGAAGCTGTGGATCTGGTAAACAGAGTACAACCTTCTGCTGCATATTTTTCATCCATTCAGCGCAATTTTAAGTAGATATTAAAGGTAGGCGCCACCGAGAAGGTAATATTTGAGCAGAAATCTGAAGGAGGTGGGTGGAAAGACCTAAGTGGCTTTTGCGGTCAGGAACTTTCTAGGTAGAGGGAATAGCAAGTGCAAAGGTCTTAAAGCAGGAGCTTGCTTGGCATATTTGAGGAATAACGGGGAGACCAGAGCGGTTGGAGCAGTGAACAAAGGCGACCTTTGTAGGGAATGATGTCAGAGAGATTGGGGTATGGAGAGGAAGAGTGTAGAGGAAATGAGAACTGTATCGTGTAAGGAATTTTGTCTTTTTTTGGTGTGTGTTTTTGGAGGATTTTGAGCAGAAGAAAACATGATCTGACTTATGTTTTAAAGCTTCTTTACTTGGAGACTCATGATGATAATAGATTGTAAGTGGGCAAGAATGGAATCAAGAAAACTTAAAAGTTAAGAGTAATTTTTTAAAATTCCAAGTAATTCAGGTGGGAGATAAGGATATCTTGAGCCAGTGATCAGATTATGATCTGCTTTGAAAATAGAGACAATAATATTTGCTACTGGGTCAGATGTAGGGTGTGACAGTAAGAAGGCAAATATAAATCCAAGGTTTTGGGCCTGTGGGTGCAAGAGATACTGGAGAAAAGATCTGAGGTTTAGCTTTGGTACCTCGTGTAAGTTCTTCAACTCTCCCCGTCTCAATTTCCTTCTCTGCACGAAGAAATTAGGAATAGTGTCTTCTTTATAGGGTTGTGTGAGGGTTAAATAATTAATATATGTGAAACATGTAGTATAGTTGTCCTGGCTCATTGTTTTATTATGCTGAGACATGAAGTGTGAGTGGGCATTAACAAGAAGAAAATTGGAGGGTTGGAGGGTGGTCCAAGCAGAAGGAATAAGCTGTGGAAGGGCCAAGGAGCAAGAAGGAGTATTGCAAATTTGATGAAATAAAGTACTTTATTAGATCAAAAAACAATGTAAACCATATTAAATGTTTTGAACTTGATCCTAAGGGTAATAATCAGCCATTATATGTAACAGGCATAGCAGGGACATAATAATATTTCATATCCTCCTTAGAATGATCACTGTTTGCGTGTGGAAAATAGATTGGTGTCTCAGACCAGTCTGTTTGTCACAGTGGTCTAGGTAGGAGAAGACAATGGCAAAGGGGATGAGAAGTGGATTGATTTGAGAGATATTTAAGCAATAGAATCAATAGAACTTGATTGATCAGATACATGAGATATGAAAGGAGGAAGGAATGGTCAGTTTTCTGGCTCAAATAGCTGGGTAGATGGAGCTCCTCCCAAAACAGTTTATCAAATTATTTATTATATATTGTGTTTGATATATTTAATCACATTATAGAAATGAACTCACCACTAATTCAGCCTCATACCCAGCCAGGCACGGTGGCTCATGCCTGTAATCCCAGCACTTCGGGAGGCTGAGGACGGTGGATCACTTGAGGTCAGGAATTCGAGACCAGCTTGGCCAACATGGTGAAACACTGTCTCTGCTAAAATTACAAAAATTAGCTGGGTGTCATGGCAGGCATTTGTAATCCCAGCTATTCGGGAGGCTGAGGGAGGAGAATCACTTGAACCCGGGAGGCGGAGGTTGCAGTAAGCCAAGATTGCGCTGCTGTACTCCAGCCTGGGCAACAGAGGCAGACTCCATTTCAAAGAAAAAAAAAAAACACATCATACCCTATATATACATATCAACATCATACCACATGTTTATTTATATACCAATACTGATATAGATACCAGTATATATATATGTATGTGGCATAGATATATACTGATATGGGTATAGATATCTCTATAGATATAATAATATGAATACAGGTATATATAAAAAATACGAATACAGGTATATATACCTAAACAATAATACGAATTATGTATATATATACATATGCCTGTATTTGTGTCATTATTTGTATAACTAGGGTATCTATATCGGTAAAGATAGGTAGAGATCTAGAAAGAGATTTACTATAGGGAATTAGCATAGGTCATTATGGAGGCTGGCAAGTCTCAGTATCTTCAGAGTGAGTTTTCAGGCTGGAGACCCAGGAGAGCAAATGGTTTAGTTCCAGCTCAAGCCCAAAGGCCTGAGAACCAGGAGAGCTGATGGTGTAGTTCCTGTCTGAAGGCCATAGGCTTGAGATTCAGTAAGAGCTGTTTTAGTTCCAAGTCTGATGGCAAGAAAAAAGCTGATGATTCAGTTTGAAGCATTTTAGACAGGAAGAATTCTCTTACTCAGGGATGAGTCAGCCTTTTTGTTCTAGTCAGACTTTTAACTGCTTGGATGAGGCCCACCAACATTATGGAGGGCAGTCTGTTTTAGTCAACAGTCTACCAATTTAAATGTTAATCTCATTCCAAAAACACCCTCACAGAAACATCCAGAATAATGTTTGACCAAATATCTGAGCACCCTGTGGCCAGTTAAGTTGACACATAAAATTAACCATTACAATACCAATCTTTTATTTTCTGGCTAATAATCATCACTTTTTTTGAGACAGAGTCTCACTCTGTCGCCCAGGCTGGAGTGCAGTGGTGTGATCTCAGCTCACTGCAACCTCCACCTCCTGGGTTCAAGTGATTCTCCTGCCTTAGCCTCCCGAGTAGCTAGGACTACAGGCGTGTGCCACCACACCCGGCTCATTTTTTGTATTTTTAGTAGACACGGGGTTTCACTGATAATCATCACTTTCTTGGACTTTTTTACTTATATTAAGAATACTAGGAATTGGCTTTTTAAAGTTTAAGTTCATTTTGACTAAGAAAAATAATTATCAGCTGGGAAATGTTAACTATATACACATTCAGGAATATATAACAGCAAACTGTTTGGAGGCTAAGCCACTGATTAAGTGAGCCTTCTCCCGTTCTCCCACTTACCGCATGCACATTGATTCAAAGGCATGTGTCAGCAGCTGACAGATGGTGTTTCACTGATCTATAGGGATACTCAAGCATAGTCAAAATCAAGAATGCTAAATCCCCACATACCAAGGGCCTGCCCCAAAGGATGGTAGGGAATTGTCTGAGTTCATTTTTGACATGTTGGATTTGAGAGGCTTCTGTAGGGTATCCTGGTCCCAAATAGGCAGAAGGAAATTCAGGTCTGACACTTGAGATATCTGACCTGAAGAATAAGGAAATCATCAGCATAAGGACAGTAATTGAAGTCACAAAAATACTTATACTCTACATTAGCCCTTTCTAGTTTCTGCCCTATCTTTCTTGTTCCATTCAATGTATTACTTTTTTGAAATTTGTCATTTATGCTCACTCTCCATTTTCTCATTTCCTATGGCAGGCTAGCTATTCTCACTACCAAAATTACCTTCACAGAGGTCACTAATGACATCTTTGTTTTTGAATCAAGTGTCTATGCCAGGTCTTAGATTAATTCACCATCTTATAGCATTTCACACTCTTGAACACTGTGCTCATATCATTTCCCTTATAAATCAGTGAATTCCTTCTGTTCTTTAGAATTATCTCATTTACCTCAAAACTTCTGTGAATTAGGTATTATCTTCATTTTACAAATGAGTAAACTAAGTCCAAAAGGATAAGTTACTTGCCCCAGGTCACAACATGTAAGTGACAGGGCTGGATTGGAACCCAGGCCTGTCTAAGGCCCAGGGTCTTTCCACCATTCCACATTTACAGAAATAGACCTCCTTGACCTTCTGGATACTATTGTCTTTTTTCTCCTCCTACCTTTCCAGTTCCATCTCACTTCTGTTTCTTACATGTAGATGTTTCCCAGGATTCCGGCTCCATATAACGTTTTCCCAGCCATAACTAACTACTACACTGAACATCCAACAGCTTTATGGTGTCTTTTTTGTCTGAAAAAACTTTCTCTATTTCCTTGTCTTTCACTTGTCTTTTTTCTTTTCTTTTTCTTTCTTTCTTTCATTCTTTTTCTCTCTTTTCTTCCTTTTTTGATATAGGTCTTGCTCTGGTTGCCCAGGCTGAACTCAGACTCCTGGGCTCAAGCAGTTCTCCCTCCTCAGCCTCCCGAGTAGCTTGGATTACAGGCATGTGCCACCATGCCTGGTGTCACTATGTTGCCCAGGCTGGACTCAAACTCCTGGGCTTAAGCAGTCTTCCCACCTCAGCCTCCCAAAGTGCTGAGATGACAAGTGTAAGCCACAGTGCCTAGCCTCAGTTATTTTGAGGGCTACAAAATGGTGATTTTTCAAATCTATTATTCCTTCTACATTAGATGGTATTCTGTAAGATAGTTTTTTCCTTCTGTATGTATGTTTAGAAATGGTTGTTTTAGAGAGAAAAAATGGATAATAGGAAATGTATAAACCCAAGAAAATGTTACTGTTCTTGTTAGCAGTACTATTACTGTTTCTGTCACTCTTGTTACTATAATTTTAGGAGTGTCTCTGAAGATACAGTCCAAAGAAAGTTCTCCAAAACAAGGAGAACAGTCTGAAGCTGGGGATGGCAACAGCATTGGTGAGTGCCCATTCCCTGGCTCCCCTGAATCTGAAGAAGGAGGGGCTTCGGGTAGTGAGGGAGGATCACTACTCTACTTGGGAACAGGGATTCAAGCTGCAAGGAAACAGTAAAGGCCTTGGACAGGAGCCATTGTGCAAACAATTCAGGCAGTTGCGTTATGAAGAGACCACAGGACCTCGAGAAGCACTAAGTCGGCTCCGGGAGCTCTGTCAACAGTGGCTACAGCCCGAGACCCATACCAAGGAGCAGATCCTGGAGCTGCTGGTGCTGGAGCAGTTTCTGATCATCCTGCCTAAGGAGCTCCAGGCCCGGGTGCAGGAGCATCACCCAGAGAGCAGGGAGGACGTGGTTGTTGTTCTGGAGGATTTGCAGCTGGATCTTGGAGAAACAGGACAACAGGTGGTAAGGGTCAGATGTGCTCTTTTTCAGGAATGCAGGAATTGAGATCTCTGGCCAGACAGGTGGACATGGGCTCATCAGCGGAAGGAGAATTACTAAGCTTTGATTCAGTTTTTTTCCAGTCTAGCTGTTAATTTCCTTAGGTCTTACCTCAACCTTACCTGGCCCTTGCTTGGAGAAAACTGAATGTGCACCAGATTCCCCATCTTCTTTTCTTTGCCCCTCTGGGGTTTCTCTTTCTTCTCTTTTTTAACACCTAGGTGTTTTACTGAACAGCAGTTTCCTAAACCCACATATATCTAATTATGCCTCCATATACCTAATTGTCCCTAGGACCCAGACCAGCCAAAGAAACAAAAAATACTTGTGGAGGAGATGGCCCCTCTGAAAGGAGTACAGGAACAGCAGGTTCGGCATGAGTGTGAAGTTACAAAGCCTGAGAAAGAGAAGGGTAAGAATTGGATTGCATCTTCTGTGTGTGAGACGTGGTGGACTGTGCCTTTCCCTCTGAGGTTGTGCTTAGCACCCTTGTATTTTGTTTTTTGCTTTTGTTTTGAGTCAGGTTTACTGAAGCATAATTTATATGTAGTAAAATTCACTCTTTTTAGATGTACAGGTCAATGAGTTTTCACAAATGCGAAATAATTGTGGTCTAATCAGGACCACTATCAAGAGATAAGAGATATCTATCACCCCAAATATTTTAGCTGAACAAAATAGCAAGAAAAGGGTACAAAGGGAACCTGGACCTTCACCTTGCTCTTCTTCCTCTTACTGTAGGGGTGAATAAAAAAAGCAGTGCCAGGCCAGCTACTTGGGAAGCTAAGGGAGAAGGATCACTTGAGCCCAGTTCAAGGCTGCAGTGAGCAATGATTGTTGCACTGCACTTCAGTCTGGGCAACATCTCTTAAAAAAGCAAATAGTGGCCAGGCATGGTGGCTCATGCCTGTAAACCCAACACTTTGGGGGGCCAAGGTGGGTAGGTATACGAGGTCAGGAGTTCAAGACCAGCCTGGCCAAGATGGTGAAACACTGTCTCTACTAAAAATACAAAAATTAGCCAGGTTTGGTGGCGGGTGCCTGTAATCCCAGCTACTCGGGAGGCTGAGGCAGAGAACTGCTTGAATCCAGGAGGCTGAGATTGCAGTGAGCTGAGATCACGCCACTACACTTCAGCCTGGGCGACACAGCAAGACTCTGTCTCAAAAAACAAACAAACAAAAAAAAAAACAAGTACTGCTAGTTTCTTAATCAAGGCAAAGAAAGCCACATGCTTCATTACTCATTTTTTAACATTTCCTTCAAATTATTGTAAATGGCCACTATCTTTCATTTCTAAACGTCACCTGGATTTTTTTTTTTTTTTGGTTCTATACTTTCTTTTTTGTTGTTTTTCTATTGAGACAGGGTCTTGCTCTGTCTTCAGGCTGGAGTACAATGGTGCAGTCATAGCTCACTACAGCCTTGACCTTCCAGGCTCAAGTGATCCTCCCACCTCAGCCTCCCAAGTATCTGGGACTACCGGTGTGTGTGCCACCACACCTGGCTTTTTATTATTATTATTTGTAGAGACAGGGTCTCCCTCTGTTGCCCTGGCTGGTCTCGAACTCCTGGTCTTAAGCATTTCTCCCATTTGGGCCTCTCACAGTGCTGGCATTATAGGTGCAAGCCACTCGCCCAGCCTCCTTTATTTTCTTTGTCACTGAAATTCTTCTTCCTAATTTTTGCTCCTTACATTTTTTCATTTCTTCTTTTTTTTTTCTGTCATAGAACTAATTACATTATATTGCAGTTTCTAGTTTGCTTCTCTTTTTCTCTTGCCAGACTAAAAGGGAAGGGGTTTTGTTTTGTTTTCTGAGTCAGCTACAGTCCCTGGCCTAGTGTAGACCCTCAATAAATGTCTGTTTGATGAATGACTGGTTTTATATGTAAAATCATGCTTTACATGCTACCTATTCCTCTGTTCAATTTCCAAGTCAGCTTCAAATTACCTTTCTTCTGGGAGCATCCTGAATAAAGTAGCTGAAAGAAAGGGGCCTACCTTTTCTCAATAGCCTTGCAGAAATGAATTAGCCTTGCAGAAATGATTACCATGTAATCAGTGATGGGTGTATAGTTTAAATACAAAAAGTAAATGTGGCTGCTGTAATCCCACTACTTTGGGAAGCCAGAGTGGGAGGATTGCTTGAAGCCAGATGTTTGAGACCAGCCTGGGCAACATAGTGAAACCCTGTCCTCTACAAAAAATAAATAAATAGCTAGGCGTGGTGGCATGCAGCTGTAGTTCTAGCCACTTGGGAGGCTGAGGCAAGAGGATTGCTTGAGCCCAGGAGTTCAAGACTGCAGTGAGCTATGTGATTGCACCACTGTACTCCAGCGTTGGCAACAGAGCAAGACCATGTCTCAAAAAAAGTGAATGTAATGTCAGTAGACTCTTGAAAATGTCCCTTACCCTCTGGATCTGTTAAAAATGTTATTTTATATTCAAAGTTCAGGTTGTTTTTTGGTTTCATCCTCTCTTGCTTTTTTAAAGTTGTATATGTGATTATGTCATTACTGGAAGAGTCTTATTCCTTTCCCTTAATCTCTCACTCTTGCCCCCTGCCCCTGTGTAGGACTGAATACTTCATTCTGTTGTAGAGGGTCTTTGTACACAGTACATTATTACATTATTTAATTTATTCACTCCCCACCTGTGACCTTCCTTTCTCTGATGTCTCCTTACTAATTCCTTCACTTTCACTTTTCCTTTCAGCTGTCATCCACTCTTTCCTTTTTACTTATCTGCTGAATTAACTTGCTCACACTGATTAACCCTCTTTTGTTTGTTATTAGTGCTGCTTAGAGTCTTTCTTCTATTTTCTCCATCCAGCTTTCCTTTTACTCTCTCATTCTGACTTTGCATCCCCAGTCATGCTCCTAGCCTTTGAAGAGTTATCCTTAGCTACAAGAAAAACTGGTAAATAAAAATATAAAATGAAACAAAACAAAAACTTCACATTCTTCTCACCCGTCTGCTTGTGTATCTGAGCTTAAGTTTTCTCTATTTTCATTTAATTTCACCCTTAGGACACAGGCCATTTATTTAGTAAACATTTGTTTAATGTCTGTTATGTACCAGGCTCTGTGCTAGAGAAAACAAAGTCTGCTCTGCATGTGCTTACAGTCTCTTGGGGCATTGTGCATCAGGGGTGCAGGGAGCGACAGACATGAATAAATTATCATAGCGTTGAGATTAAAGCTCTGTTGAACCACACAGGAGAGCAGTTACTGCTGTCCAAGGAGATTAGGAAAGGCGAAGGCATTTTTGTGAACTTCATGTTATTGTCAAGGTCTTATAGTACATTATTCTTTCTTTATGGATGAGGACACAGAGCCCAGATGATTTACCTTACTTTTTTAAGATTACACAGTTAGTGATAAAATTGGGCACCACATCTACATTTCTTCATTTTCAGTTAAAATGTCGTCCCTTTCTTATGGGCCCTGGGGGCCTCAATTAACCTAGCTTTTTTTATTTTCCATGTGACAAGTTATCTTCAAGACTGTACAGCCATGCCCTTTAAGACAGTTTATTTGCTTGCTTGCTAGCTTCTCTGTGTGTGGTATCCCATGATAAAATTTAAACTATTTAAAATAAGTCACCTCCCACCAGAATTCCCCATCTTTCCCCAAAGACAGTCACAGTTAACAATGTCTTGTGTACCATTCTGTAACTATTTTACGCAATCACAAGCATCCACAATGTTTTTACTTTGCACACATGGCTTCATTATATTTTTTTTTCCTTTTAGTTGCAGATTCCTTTCCCCAAGCATCAAAAGACAAGTAATTGGTGGTATATATTTAATATTGCAGGTGAGGAGACAAGGATTGAGAATGGGAAGCTTATTGTAGTAACAGACTCTTGTGGAAGAGTAGAGTCATCTGGGAAAATATCTGAACCCATGGAGGCTCATAATGAGGGCTCTAACTTGGAAAGGCATCAGGCCAAGCCCAAAGAGAAGATTGAGTATAAATGCTCAGAACGTGAGCAGAGATTCATCCAGCACTTGGACCTGATTGAACATGCGAGTACACACACGGGAAAGAAACTCTGCGAGTCTGATGTGTGTCAGAGTTCCAGTCTTACAGGACATAAGAAAGTCCTCTCTAGAGAGAAAGGTCATCAGTGTCATGAGTGTGGGAAAGCCTTTCAGAGGAGTTCACACCTCGTCAGACATCAGAAAATCCATCTTGGTGAGAAGCCTTATCAGTGCAATGAGTGTGGCAAAGTCTTTAGCCAGAATGCAGGCCTTTTGGAACATCTCAGAATTCATACTGGAGAGAAACCTTATCTATGTATCCATTGTGGAAAAAATTTTAGGCGCAGCTCTCACCTTAATCGACATCAGAGAATTCACAGTCAGGAGGAGCCCTGTGAGTGCAAGGAGTGTGGAAAAACCTTTAGTCAGGCCTTACTCCTCACCCACCATCAGAGAATCCATAGTCACTCCAAAAGCCATCAATGTAACGAGTGTGGAAAAGCTTTCAGTTTGACCTCAGACCTTATTCGACACCACAGAATTCATACTGGAGAAAAACCTTTCAAGTGTAACATATGCCAGAAAGCCTTCCGACTAAACTCACACCTTGCTCAGCATGTAAGAATCCACAATGAAGAAAAACCCTATCAGTGTAGTGAATGTGGAGAAGCCTTCAGGCAAAGGTCAGGTCTTTTTCAACATCAGAGATATCACCACAAAGACAAACTGGCTTGATGAGGTGTTCTCTCCTTGTAGAACATCAGAGAAGGCACATTGACTAGCAAACAGCACTTTAGGAAAAGTCACCGTAGCCCACTGTGGCATCAGAAAATTCTTGGGGGCTGAGTTGGAGGCTCCCTGCCTCTATTCTCTCTCCTTTGCTTTCCTTGAAGTCAGCTTTGGACCACAATAATTTCACTGTAGATGATATGCTAGGATCAAAGTTAAACAGCATTCTTCACTGCAGGACATCTCAGAGCATGTAACATAACTGCATGATTATATACTCTAAGCAATAGAGAGCTTCATGACTGAGTAAGAGTTTTGAAGTCAGCAGTGAATCAAGTGCCCACAGATTTGCAGGCTTAAGCAGAACAAGGGAAGATTGATATTTTTGGATATGCTATAGCAGCTTTCTCCTATGAAATAAAACTGATGATGTTTGGAAGTATACTACTCTCAAAGGTGTCTTTAAAGTACAGGTTAATGGTGAACATTTTCCCCCAGTGGCTTCACCTCATTCCTCCCACTGGCCTTACCCCTTCCTTCCCCAGTGGAAGCATTTTCAAAAGCAAAGATAATTTTCGCTGGTGAACTTCAGAACTTGCCTTCAGGGTTAGCTTCATGTAATTTTACCATTTCCCATCCCCATTCCCCACCACATTATGTCAAGATTCAAGTTATAAATTAACGTTTTACTTAGACTTTGAAAGAGATTTCATGAGTAATTTGAATGAACCTTGCTGAATTAATCTGAATAGCAACTGTCTGACTTGATAACTCCAGTGCCAGTATAGTGGCTGCTGCATAGACACTATTCAGTAAATGTCTGATGAAAGAAATTGGACTTTTTCCCTTTAATACTGATGATGCAATTTTGAAATGTTGCTTGTTCTGGAATACTTCGGAAGTTAAACAATAAAGTCAGCTTGGAGAGGAGATCATGATCTTTATACTGTGAATAGCAGAATGTCACAGATGAAGAATATTAAAATTAGGGGCGTCCACTCCAAAACATATCACCAGAGTGACAACTTCAGCCCTCAGCCTCTGCAATCCATATATATCCTGGTCTTGGGAGTCCATAGAATACTGTTTCCTTCTAATAAAGGTTTCAAACAAATCCCTGCAGATTTATTTAAAGTGTTTGTGGAAGATAATTTTCCATATAAGCTGTGCAGTATTCTATGGTATATGTCCCCATTGTTCATCATTTACGTCATTTACAGTTTGATCACCATAAACAATTTTTCAGTGAACATCCTTGTATATACAACTTTGCCTACTTACAGAATTTTTTTCTTTGTTCAGTTCCCATAATGAGAATCAATGAGGCAGAAGGTAGGCATATTTTCTAAGGCTTTTGATGCATTTTCCAGAATGCCCTCCAGAAAAGTTACACTAATTTGTACACCCTGTTAGCAGCCTATGATAATGCCCAATTTTCTATACCCACGTAAACTGGGAATTATTCTTTTGAATATTTGACAATCTGATGTGTACAAAATGGTTTGCTTTTTTTAATAAACCATTTTTTAGAGCAGTTTTAAGTTCTCAGCAAAATTGAGAGGAAGATACAAAGATTTCTCATATACCCACTGCTCCCATTCATGTATAGCCTCCCCTATTATCAACATCCCCTCCCAGGGTGACATTTGTTACAATTGATGAACCTACATTGACATATTATCACCCAAAGACCATAGTTTACATTAGGGTTCACTCTTGGTATTGTTCATTTTATGGGTCTGGACAAATACATAATATCGTGTCCACCATTATAGTTTCACTGCCCTAAAAATCCTCTGTGCCTTACCTATTATTCATCCCTCCCTTTTTCCAGCCCCTAGCAACCACTGACCTTTCTACAGTCTTTATAGTTTTGCCTTTTCCAGGATGTCATGTATACAGGTTGAGTACAGCTAATCTGAAAACCCAAAATCCAAAATGCATTAAAATGTGAAACTTCAGCACCAACATGATGCTACAAGTGAAAAATTTCATACCTGACCTCGTGACAGGTCATAGACAAAATCCAGTCAATACTTTGTTTCGGCTGGGTGCAGTGGCTCAAGCCTGTAATCCCAGCACTTTGGGAGGCCAAGGTGGGTGGATCACCTGAGGTCAGGCGTTTGAGACCAGCCTGGCCAACATGGCGAAACCCCGTCTTTGCTAAAAATATAAAAATTAGCCGGGTGTGGTAGCATGCACCTGTAGTTCCAGCTACTTGGGAGGCTGAGGCACGAGAATCGCTTGAACCCAGGAGGCGGAGGTTGTGGTGAGCCAACATTGTGCCACTGCACTCCAGTCTGGGCAACAGAGCAAGACTCAATCTCAAAAAAAAAGACTATGTTTCATGCACGAAAGTATTTAAACTGTATAAAATTAGCTCTATGTGAGTAAGGTATATATGAAACAAATGAATTTCATGTTTAGACTTGGGCCTCATCCCTAAGATATTTCATAATGTATGTATATATTCCAAAATCCGAAATTGGAAACACTTCTGGCCCCAAGCATTTCAGATAAGGGATACTCAACTTGTAGTTGAAATCATACAGTATGTAGCTTTTCAGACAGGATTCTTTCACTTTGTAATATGCTTTTAAATTTTCTCAATATCTTTTCATGCCTTGATAGCTCATTTCTTTTTTTTTTCTTTTTTTTTTTTGACATAAGGTCTCACTCTGTTGGCCAGGCTGGAGTGCTGTGGTACGATCTTGGCTCACTACAACCTTTGCTTCCTGGGTTTAAGCAATTCTCCAGCCTCAGCCTTCTGAGTAGCTGGGACCACAGGCGCACACCACCACGGCCGGCTAATTTTTTGTATTTTTAGTAGAGATGGGGTTTCACTGTGTTGCCCAGGCTAGTCTCCAGCTCCTGAGCTCAAAGTGATCCACCTGCCTCAGCCTCCCAAAGTGCTGGGATCACAGGCTTGAGCCACCGTGTCTGGCCAGCTTATTTCTTTTTAGCACTGAATAATATTCCATTGTCTGCATATACCACAGCAAAAGAAATATCTGTTAAAGGACTGTTATCCAAAATACAGAAAGAACTCTTAAAACTCAGAAATAAGGAAACAACCCGATTCAAACATGAGCCAAAGACCTTGACAGACACCTCATTAAAGAAGATATACAGATGGAAAATAAGCATATGAAAAGATGCTCCACACCATATCCCATCAGGGAAATTGCAAATTAAAACAACTGTGAGATGCCACTACACATCTATTAGAATGACCAAAATCCAGAACACTGACACATCAAATTCTGGTATGGATGTGGAACAACAGGAGCTCTCATTCATTGCTGGTGGGAATGCAAAATGATACAGCCACTTTGGATGACAGTTAGGTAGTTTCGTACAAAATTAAACATACTCTTACCATGTGATACAGCAATCGCCCTCCTTAGTGTTTACCCAAAGGAGCTGAAAACCAGTGTCTACACAGAAGTTTGCACACAGATGTTTATAGCGGCTTTATTCATAATTGCCAAAACTCAGTAGGTAAATGAATAAATAATGGGTCTGTTTTTTAAAGAGTTTTTTATATTTTTACTATTGAACATCTTTTCACATGTTAATTTGTCACTTATCTTGTGTGTAGTAATGTTCATATCCTTTACTAATTTTTCTACTAAAGTCTCCTTTTACTCTTAAACAGAAGTGCCCTTAAAAATCAAATAGGGAACTTGCATATCAGCATTTTAAATGCACGTGTCCTTTGGCTGAACAGTTCTAATATGTGGCATTTATCCTAGAAATATATTCTTAAAAGAATGTAAAGGTATTGAATGGTGTTCCCTCTAGCATTGCTTTTAAAGAAAAAATATAACCTAAGTATGCATCAATAGGATAGTTAAGTAAATTATGGAACACTCATACAGTATTACTTAGCTGTTAAAGAATAAGCTGATCTGTGAAGATCTCCAAGTTGTCTTAACCGAAAAGAGCTAAGGTGCAAAATTACATTATGATACCATAAGTGTTTTAAAATGTATAAATACTTATTCACTAAACAAAATGTTCATTAAGTGCTACTGTGTGGCAGGTAGTGTCCTAGATAAATATGAACAAAATACAATGGTTAACTCTAAAGAGGGGACACTTTTCGTTTTATGGTCCTTTTGCAACTTGACTTTTTTATTGTACATATATTATGTATACTTAAAGAAAATAATTTGTACAGCTTACTATAATGGTCTTTTTATTGATCTGTCTCTCCTACCAGCCAGTGATGACCCCGAAGACAGACATTTACCACTGTGTTGGTTTTCAATCGAAATGATGTACATAAATTTGGGGCGTGCTTGCACCGTCCGAATGGGCCTGGGGTCCGGCGGCGGAGAGTGACCTGGGCGGGGCAGGAGGTGGCAGCGGGGGTCCTCCCGGCTCACCAGAGAGACGAGCGGCCGTGCTCCTAGAGAGGCAGGGAACCCGCCAGACTCCGCCACTCCGCTGCGGGCGCGGCGCAGGGAGAAGCTTTTGTACCCGCCCAGCTGCTGGAGGCGCCGGCAGCGCCCGCCAGACCCGCCAGCCCAGCGGCCCGGGCTCTGGGGAAACCGGCGCTCCCGACAGGGGAGCACCGGGCCTCTGAGCTCCCTCGGGAGCCTTTCACGAGGTCAGCTACGTCTTTGTTGTGCGCGTTCCTGAACTTTTGGTCCATTAACCAACAATTAGACACGCCGGTATTCAGTGCCTGGCGCGGTGCTAGATGCTGGGTGTAATCTCAGAAAAATACATTCAGGGGCGCGCCTGAGGGTGCTGGCTGCTGGCATCTCAGGTGCTTTACGTGCATTCGTGAAGAAGCCCATCAGTATTTCTTGAATACCAGGTACGTGCCGGGCATGTAGAGTCTATGCAGAGATAAACTCCTGTCCTCAAGAACCCGGGTGGGGATGGGGTTGGTGATCTGTAATACGAGATGGAGATGAGGGTTGGGTGCAGTTTTCTATGGGAATACCCCATCTCAACCTGTGTGGCTTACTTTTCCTGTCTATATGTTAGGGTTAGGGGTTGCCAGGGAAGGTTTTACAATAGAACATTTACGCTGGGCCTTGGGAATTTACCCTTAGAAGGGCGGTCCTGACTGTATAGAGTGGGTGGAAAAAAATTGAGTACTTAGCATGGCAGTGACATAAGAAATTTGGGAAGACCATGGCTTTCTTGAAAGCAGGAACCAAGTCTTTTATTCCAGAGTTAACTTTATGCCTGGAAAATAATGAGATGCTCCACAAATGTTGATTGAGTGACAAACAAATCAGCAAAACCCAGTAAAGATTAGATCCTGGGGAGTTTGAATTTACTTCAACGAGTTTAATGAAAACTTTGTGTGTGTTTATGTGTGTGTGAGGTATGTTGAATATGGTCACAACTGTGCTTTAGGGAATATTAATCCAGTGACCATAGAAGCGGGGAGTTGGGCAGGAATACCGTAACAGAACATTATTGTAACAGTGAATGAAAATAATAGTAAAATTATAAGAAGGAAAGAATGGCTGCAAGAGGCGTTTTTAAGAATTGACTCACTGATTGTGTATAGAGGCTGTTTAAAAGACTGAATGCGTGGAAGATGATGGTGATGCCAGTAGAAATGGAGAAATACCGAGTGAACGCAGCTTTGAGGGACTCTGATTTCAGTTTGAGATCTGTTGAAATTATAGTGCAGTAGAGGCCCACAGCTGCTGGCATTTCAAGATGTGGGTTTGGAGTGCAAAAAGCAAGCTGGTGCCAAAGATTTGAGTCTTCTTGGAACAGAGATATATTGAAAGTGTGACTAAGGAGATCACAAAGGAAAAAATGAAAAGAGGGAATAAAAGAACTTGATGCATGTCTACTGTTTTTCAGTTATGTATTGTTGCATCAAAAATAAAACTCTAAACTTAGTGGCTGAAAACAAGCTCAGCTTATTGTTCCTCAGGATTATGCGGGTTGACTAGGCGGTTCTACTGGTCTCACCTGGAGTTACTAATAGAGCTGCATTCAGGTGGTGAATTATTTGAGCACTAGGCCTGGCTGGGCTTTAACTTGGGCATTTTGGTTCTCATCCACATGACCTCTGTATAGCTAGCTTGGGCTTCCTTACAGCATGGCAGTCTTATGGCAGTGAGCCAAGAGCTACAGCAGCACTCTCTCTTACAATGTCATTTCTGCTGTATTCCACTGGTCAAAGCAAGTCATAGGCCAGAACAGATTCAAGGGAAGGAAAAAGAGACTCCACCCCTTGAATGACAACAGTGGCAAAATCTCATCACAAAAGGTATTTGAGAATGGGAGACTTTGGAAACATTCTGTTACACCTACATTTAAAGTGGAATATTCAATGAGAGTTACACAGATATAGAAGACCTTTGAGACTGTATTATTTGTCCATGAAGGCAGCCATCTGCCTCCTCAATGGGTAAATTATCCCCTCTCCCCAGCTGAAGTGCAAGCTACTCGAGCTTTCTTATTGCTAACACTTCTTCCCTCATGTCCTACATCCCTTACCTTTGGACTCAGGCCCTTTAGTACTAGTTCAAAATATACTTCTGATTCATTTCACTGATAATAGAAGCAAGCAGGCTCAGCTTTTGAGCATTACCTACAGTGGGGACAAAAATGTAAGTAGGTTACATACAGTTTTGAAGCTCTTATAATTTGCATGTTGCTGATAAATTCTTATGCCTCAGATCTCTATTTCTGAATATAGACCCCAAGCTAAGTGAAGCTTTAGCCTCTAAGCTCAACATGTATGAAGCTTTGCCAGGCCCTGCTCCTGAAAATGAAGATGGCCTTGTGAAAGTGAAGGAGGAAGATCCCACCTGGGAGCAGGTGTGCAACTCACAGGAGGGCAGCTCCCACACTCAGGAGATTTGCCGCCTGCGCTTTCGGCACTTCTGCTACCAGGAGGCTCACGGACCCCAGGAAGCTCTGGCCCAACTCCGAGAACTTTGTCATCAATGGCTGAGACCGGAGATGCACACCAAGGAACAGATAATGGAACTGCTGGTGCTGGAGCAGTTCCTGACCATCCTGCCCAAGGAGCTCCAGCCCTGTGTGAAGACATATCCTCTGGAGAGTGGAGAGGAGGCAGTGACAGTGCTGGAGAATCTAGAGACAGGAAGTGGAGACACAGGACAACAGGTGGGAAGAGAATGTGTGTGGTGATGTGGGAGAAGAAAAGGGGGACATGTATCGGTTTATTTTTAACGTTTTATTTTGAAATAACTCCTAATTTATAGAAGTATTAGAAGAATAGAGAACTCCCGTAAAACTCTTCATCCAAATTTGCCAGTTGTTAACATTTGTTTGATGAAGTCCCATTGTTGTGTACACACTCGTACAAGGAAGTGCATTCCCCCCCCCCAAGATGCATATGTATATGTATACACACACATACATACACATATGCAGTATTTTTTTTTCCTGAATCTATTTGAGAGTCAGTTGCAAACACTATATCCCTTTACCTCACTGTTGACCAGGCTGGAGTGCAGTGGTACGATCATAGCATCATTGCAGCCTTGAACTGCAATGGTGGAAGGCTCAAGCAATCCTCCCACCTCAGGCTCCTGAGTAGATGGGACTACAGGTGCATGCCACCATGCCTGGCTAATTTATTTTTAATTTTTTGTAGCGGGGGTGGGGTCTCACTATATTGCCCAGGCTGATCTTGAACTCCTGGCCTCAAGTGATCATGCTGCCTTGGCCTCCCAAAGTGTTGGGATTACAGGCATGAGCCACTGCACCTGGCTATTCGGTGTGTATTTCTGAAGAGTGAGGATATTCTCTTGTATCACAAGAATACAAAAATCAAGTTTAGGGAAATTAAACTTACGATACTATCATATAACCTTAGTCCTTATTCATATTTTGCCATGTTATCCTAATAATGTTCTTTATGATAATTTTCCTGTGATTCAGGATACAAGCCAGCATCACATATTGCACTTAGTTGCCATATCTCTAGTCTGTGAATCTGGAGTAGCTGCTGTCTTTGTCATGACGTTGTTATTTTTGAAGAGTACAGCTAGTTTTTTTGGAGACTATCCCTCAATTTGAGTTTGTCCTATATTTTCTCATGATTCAGGCTGCACATTTTGGCTAGAATACCACAGAGGTAATGTTGTGTTCTCAGTGCGTTACTTCAGGAGGTGCGTAGTGATGATTTGTCCCATTACTGATGAGGTTATGGTGGTACCTGTCAATTTTCTCCACTAGAAAGTTACCATTTTCCCCTTTGTAATTACTAAGTAATCTGTGGGAGACATTTTGAGGTGGTGTACATATCCTGTTCCTCATTAAATTTTCACCAGCTAGTTTAAACATCCACTTGTTTGTTGTTTTTGTTTTTCTGGGCTGGGATCCTTTGCCTGTCTTTTCTGCCTTGTTTGCTGCTGTATCCCCAGCATGTAGAACAGTGCCAGGCTCTTAGCATGCAGTCCATATATGCATGCCCTTTCAAAATAAATCTTTTGTTTCCAGGCCTCTGTCTATATTCAGGGACAGGACATGCACCCAATGGTGGCAGAATATCAAGGAGTCTCTTTGGAGTGTCAGAGCCTCCAGCTCCTGCCTGGGATAACCACCCTGAAGTGTGAACCTCCACAGCGTCCTCAAGGGAACCCCCAAGAAGTGAGTGGTGAGTGCTCGAGTGAGTTTAGTGAGGACGCTGGGAGCTGGCCACTGACACTTGCACAGCCTTCTTGACCTCAAGTTTGTATACATTGTGAAATGATTACCACAAGCTAACTTACATATCTCACAGTTACCTTTTATGTGTCTGTGGTAAGAATTCCTAAGATCTACTCTCATGAAATTTCAAGTATACAATATATTATTATTACTAACTATAGTCAGCATTCTGTACGTAGGTCTTCAGAGCTTATTCATCTTATAACTGCAAGTTTATACCCTGTGACCAACATCAAGTTTTATTTTTTTGTCTAACCCTGTATCTGAACAAACTTGTAAAGACCTGCTTTATTTTACACTGTGCATTTTAAGCTGGTTTATTTAGTATGTATGTGTTGTGGACAAGTACATATAATAGTAAAAGTGAATCGGGGCAAGGCTGTTTTTTTCCAGCAAACTTTATTCCTTCTAGAAATGCAACAACAGCAATAAAAACATTCCATAGTGATCCATTATGGAAGCAAAGAAAAGCAGAGCAAAGAAAAGTGATGTTCTGTTTTATATTTTTGGGTTAGAATTACCACATGTGCTCTTCATTTGATAATTTTGTACTCTGCCATCTGCCAACTGCCAACTTTGTGACCTAGGCAAGTCATTTAATAGGTTATTCAGTTAATCAACAATTATCTGTTTGATCTCTGTGTGTACTCTGCACTCAGCTGTGATTCTTCTGAATGTGCCTAGGATTTTGGAGGCAATAATTTGGACCTTCTTGATTATTTTGAGGATTGGAAATAATCTTTTAAAGTAACAGCACAGTGGCTGGCCTTGTGCAGTCATCATCACCATTTTGATTATTGTTGGTTCTTTGGGATCAGTACCTCCTAACAGTTTTTCTAGTTCATGGCTAACATCTCTTCTCTATTTTTTTAAATATCTTTATTTTCCTGTCTCTCTCTCCATCTTCCTTTCTTCTGCTTTCCTGTTTCCCCTCAGTCTCATCTCTCTACTCTCTACATCCTTTCTTTTGCCTCTGTGTTCTCTCCTTGATCCTTCCTTTATCACCAGCTTCTTCCTCCCCTTTATTTTTGTCTATGATTTTTATTTTTTCTTTATGTGAAAGTGCATGACTGTAAAGCACCTTATGAGTTCATAAATCCCACTCCATTTTTTGGGTGAGAGACCCTAAAGTTGTAGAATTTTAGAATTTCTGACAGAATGAAAGCAGTTGTGATGCTCTTTCTCACACTGTAAAATCTACGTCTTAGTTCTTGAATGTTTAACAAACATAACATTTGGGGGAAAAGGCTGGGTCTCCAAAAAGGGTACCCTAAAGGCCATCATGTCTCATTTAGGACTCTTGCCCTCTCTCTCTGCAGGGCCTGTTCCCCACGGATCAGCTCATCTCCAGGAAAAAAACCCCAGAGACAAGGCTGTAGTGCCTGTGTTTAACCCAGTCAGGTCCCAGGTAAGTAGGATGCCCAAGCTTGTAGGAATATCAGTAGTGGTCTTTCTCCCTCATTCCATGTTCCTTGCCCTTCTCTTGGCTCACACTCATCATCGTGAGAGCCATTCAGGTGGCATAGTCCCTCTGCCTTCACCTTGTCACAGAATATCACAAAGTGTGTTGCATCATTCGAGGAGCTTGTATTGATTATATGCCATTGCCTCATTTCATTGTTCAGGAGGCACGTCCAAATCTCAAGGCATGGGAGTGAGGGGTGGAGTGAGGCTCCTGGTTTCAGAAAGTGCTCCACTCATTTGATGTTGAGTAACTGATATTTTCTCCTTTGAAGTCTCTGGTTTATCTCCCCAGCTTTAGAATAAGGGCCCTTTCTCACACTACTTTATATTCAGCATGTATGCAATTAATGCTTGGTGATAATAATGGAAATTCTATATATCTAAGGTAATACTTAACATCTTCTTCACAAAATGGACTCTGGTTTTTTTTCTTATTAGTGGTTCATTCATTTTCCTAGTCATTTATTTACAAAAAAAAAATAACTCTCTCATTTAAGTCCTCTTGCATACTGCTGCCACATCAGTTTCCTCAAGACACTTGCTCAGTCCTCTTCTATGGCTTCTAATTAATTTTTAATTCTATCAGACCCAGTGCCTCCTGTTATTAACAAATACTTCCTGATAAGAAGTATCTAGAAAATAAAACCTACTCATGCACATTCTGAAAATCAACATAATTCCCTTAAATGTAATTTAATGGTATAATGTAGAAACAAAAAAGTTATTTATTTTAAAAGTAGTGTTTCAAAATGCAAGTGCTTGATGTGATTATAACTAGGGAAATAACAACGTAGTCAGGTGTTTGCACTGAAATATAATTAGTAAGTTCAAATTAAGGAGGAATAAGAAGACCAGAAGCCCAAGAAAATCAAAGAGCAATGGTATAGGTGGACAGTGAAATGAAACTAGTATTGAGTCAGATAATACAAGACTAGACAGAGAAAGTGGGGCCCTTAATTGAAGTAAGGCTTAGATGTTGTAAATTGAATTATGTCCCTCCAAAAGATATATGAAAATCCTAACCCCACGTACCTGTGAATGTGACCTGATTTGGAAACAGGCTCTGTCTTAGTCCATTTTGTGTTGCTAATAACAGAATTCCTGAGACTGGGTAATTTATTTTAAAAAGAGGTTTATTTAGCTCAAAGTTCTACAACCTGGGAAGTCCAAGATCATCAGCCTATCTGGTTAGGATCTCATGCTGCTTTAGCTCATGGCAGAAAGTGGAATGATGGATAATCAAGTGTGTGCAAGGAGACCACACATTAGAGGCAGCCATCCTTTAAACAGTCTGCTCTTGGAGCTGAGCAAGAGCAAGAATAGAAAGCTTATTCAAAGAAATAACAATAGGCCGGGTGCAGTGGCTCTCAACTGTAATCCCAGAACTTTGGGAGGCCATGGCAGGAGGATTGCTTGAGGCCAGGAGTTTGAGACCAGCCTGAGCAACACAGCAAGACCCTGTATCTATTTAAAAAAAAAGAATAGGCCAGGCGTGGTGGCTCATGCCTGTAATCCCACACTTTGGGAGGCTGAGGTGGGTGGATCACGAGGTCAGGAGTTCGAGACCAGCCTGGCCTACCTGGCAAAACCCCGTCTCTACTAAAAATACAAAAAAAAGGAGCCAGGTGTGGCAGGCACCTGCAATGCCAGCTACTCGGGAGGCTGAGGCAGGAGAATCGCTTGAACCTGGGAGATGGAGGTTGCAGTGAGCCGAGATCATGCCATTACACTCCAGCCTGGGCAACAAGAGCAAGACTCCATCTCAAAAAAATTAAAATAAAATAAATTAAAAATAAATTTTAAAAATAGAGAAATAATAACAAAAATCTTCACAAAACTTGTGAAAGATATAAATGTCCAGGTACAGGAAGATCTGAGAACACTGAACAGAATCATCCCAAATAAGACTACTCCAAGGCATATAATAATCAAACTCTCAACTGTCCAGGAAAAAGAGAGGATCTGAAAAGCAGCAAGAGACAAGAAACAAATAAGGAGCTCCAACTTGTCTGGCAATAGACTTCTCAATGGCAATCATACAGGCCAGGAGAAAGTGGAATGACATTTTCAAAGTACTCCAAGAAAAAAACTGACATTCAAGAATATTGTATCCAGCAGAATTATCTTTCATATATGAAGGAGAAAGTCTTTCCCAAACAAACAAGCTGAGAGAGTACACCACCACCAGACACATCTTACAAGAAATGCTAAAGAATTCTTCAGTCTAAAAGGAAAGAAGACTAATGTGCATAAAGAAAACTTTTGAAGGCATAAAAGTCACTGATAAAATTAAGTACATGGACAAACCCAGAATACTTTATTACTGTAATAGTGACATACAGTATACTCACAACTGTGAAGCCCCAAGACATACCTATCAAAAACAATAATAGGACTGGACACAGTGGCTCATGCCTGTAAACCCAGTTCTTTGGGAGGCTGAAGTGGGAGGATCACTTGAGACAAGGAGTTTGAGACCAGCCCAGGCAACATGGTAAGATCCTGATGCTATACCTGGAGACATGAGACAGAGTGAGACCATATCTTTAAAACAAAACAAGACAAACAATAATGGCTAGCAACCTGTTAAGAGATAGGTAATATAAAGATATAAATTGAGACAACGAAAAGTCAAAATCTAGAGGAATGGAATTAAAGCATATAATTTTTTTCTGTGTGTTTCTGCCTTTGTTTCTACTCTTGTATTTGGGATCTAAGATAAGTTGTTATCTCTTTAAAATAACTTATTATATCTGAAGGTCTTCTTTGTAAGCCTCATGATAACTACAATGCAAAAACCTATAATAAATTCACTAAAAATAGCAACAAAGGAAGGCATACTATAAGAGAAAATCACTTAGCCACAGAGGTTTTTTGTTGTTGTTGTTTGAGATAGGGTCTCACTCTTTCACTCTGGCTGGAGTGCAGTGGTATCATCTCAGCTCACTGCAACCTCTGCCTCCCGAGTTCAAGTGATCCTTCCACCTCAGCCTCCCAAGTAGCTGGGACCACAGGTGTGTGCCACCATGCCTGGGTAATTTTTTGTATTTTTTGTAGACCTGGGTTTTTGCCATGTTGCCCAGGCTGGCTTGAACTTCTGGCCTCAAGCAGTCTGCCCACCTTGACCTCCCAAAGTTCTGGGATTACAGGCGTGAGACACCATGCCCGGCTGTATATAACAATTATAAATACCTATGCATGCAACACCAGAGCTCCCAGGTATATAAGGAAAACATTAATAGATCTAAAAGGAGAGTTAGACTGCAATACAATAATAGTAGGAGATTTTAACACCCCACTCTCAGTAATTGACACATCATCCAGACAGAAAGTCAACAGAGAAACGATGGAATTAAACTACATGCTAGATCTAATAAGCCTAACTGATATTTACTGAACATGTAACCCAACTGCTACAGAATGCACATTCTTTTCATCAGCACGTGGGACATAAGAATAGACCATATCTTAGGCCACAAACAAATCTGAACAAATTTTTAAAAAATATAAATCATATCAAGTATCTTTTCTAATCACAGTGGAATAAAACTAGAAAGCAATAACAAGAAAAACCTTGGAAACTACACAAACGCGTGGAAATTAAATAGCATGCTTCTGAACAACTAATTTGTCAGGGAAGAAATTAAGAAGGAAATGTAAAAATGTCTTGAAACTAATGAAAATAGAAAATGTGACATATCAAAATTTGTGGGATACTGCAAAAGCAGTACTAAGAAGGAAATTTATAGCAATAAACACCTATATCAGAAAAGTAAAAAGACATCAAATGCACAACCTAATGATACACCTCAAGGAACTAGAAAAGCAAGAACAAACCAAACTGAAATTAGTAGAAGGAAACAAATAAAGATTAGAACAGAAATAACTGAAATTGAGACCAAAAAAAAAAAAAAAAAACCCAGAAGAACAATGAAACAAGAAGTTGGATTTTTTTTAAAAGATAAACAAAATCAAGTCTTTAGCTGGACAAACAAAAAAGGAGAAGACCCAAATGAATAAAATCAGAAATGAAAAAGACATAACAGCTGAGACCTCAGAAATACAAAGAAACCATTAGAGACTTATGAACAACTATGACAATAAATTTGAAAACCTGGAAGAAATGGATAAATTCCTAGATGCATGCCAACTACCAAGATTGGACCATGAAAAAATAGAAAACCTCAGCAAACCAATAACAAGTAACGAGATAGAATCTGTAATAAAAAGTCTTCCATCAAAGAAAAGCCCAGGACCTGTTGGCTTCCCTGCTGAATTCTACCAAACATTTAAAAAGAACTAATACCAATCCTATTCAAATTCTTCAAAAAAAAAAAAAAAAATTGAAGAGGAGGGACTACTTCCAAATTCATTCTAGGAGGCCAGCATTGCCCTGATACCAAAACTAGACTAGGATACAAAATAAAAAGAAAACTACAGACCAACATCACTGATGAGCATAGGTGCAAAAATTCTCAATGAAACACTAGCAAACTGAATTCAACAACACATTAAAAAGATCATTCACCATGATCAAGTGGGATTCACTCCAGGGATGCAAGGATGGTTCAACATATGCAAATCAATAAATGTGATATATCACATTAATATAATCAAGAACAAACACCATATGATTATTTCAATAGATGCTGAAAAGCATTTGATAAAATTCATTGCTTTTTGATAAAAACCCTTGTCAAAATTGGTATAAAAGGAACATACCTCAAAATAAGGGCCATATATGACAAACCTACAGCTAACATCAAACTGAAGGCCTTTTCTCTAAGGACTGGAACAAGATAAGAATGCCCATCTCACCACTGTTGTTCAACATAATACCCGAAGTCCTGGCCAGAGCAATTATGCAAGAGAAGGAAATAAATGGCATCCAAACCGGATAGCAAAAAGTCAGGTTAGTCTGTTCGCAGATGATATAATCTTATACCTCGAAAAACCTGAAGACTACACCAAAAAAACTGTTAGTGCTGATAAACAAACTAAGTAAAGTTGCAGGATAAAAAATCAACACTCAAAAATTAGTAGCATTTATATACTTCAATAGTGAACAATCTGAGATAGAAATCAAGAAAATGATCGCATTTACAAAAGCTACAAAAAATATAAAATACTTAGGGAATTTAAATACTAAAAATTTAAACACCAAATTAAGTTAAATTTAGTGTTTAAATTCCCTAGGCATTTTATATTTTTTAGTATTTTATTTATAATTTATAATTTAGCATTTAATTACTAAAGAAGTGAAAGACCTGTATAAGGAAAACTAAAACTCTCATGGAACAAATTGAAGAGGACACAAAAACACTGGAAAGATATTCCATTCTAATGGATTGGAAGAATTTATATTATTAAAATGACAATACTTCCCAAAACAATTTACAGATTCAGTGTAATCACTATCAAAATACCAATGACATTCTTCACAAAAATCAGAAAAAAAAATTCATGTGGTGAGCCCTTAATCTAATGACTCATATTCTTATAAGAAGTCCATATTTGCAAATTGACCAAGGGGTTGAAAAAAAAGAAAGAAAAATGCCCAAGTGAAAACACACACAGGGAGAATGCCATGTGATCACTGAGGCAAAGATTTGTATAACACATCTGCAAGCCGAGGAACACCAAGAATTGCTGACAAACACTAAAAACTTGGAGAGAGGCAAGGAAAATTATCCCATGGAGCTTTTTTTCTTTTCTTTTCTTTTCTTTTTCTTTCTTTTTGAGACAGTCTTGCTCTGTTGCCAGGCTGGAGTGCAGTGGCGCGATCTCAGCTCACTGCAACCTCTGGCTCCCTGGTTCAAGTGATTCTCCTGCCTCAGCCTCCCGAGTAGCTGAGATTACAGGCAAGCGCCATCACGCCCAGCTAATTTTTGTATTTTTAGTAGAGATGGGGTTTCACCATGTTGGCCAGGATGGTCTCGATCTCCTGACCTAGTGATGTGCCCACCTTGGCCTCCCAAAGTGCTGGGATTACAGGCATGAGCCACCACGCCAGGCCTCCCATAGAGCTTTCAAAGATAACATGGCCCTACTGATATCTTGATTTTGGATTTCTAGCCTCCAGAGCCATGAGATAATACAATTCTGTTGTTTTCCACTATTGAGGTTGTGGTACTTTGTTACAAGAGCCATAGGAAAGCAATATAAGTTACAAAACAAATTATGGACTGATAAAGGGAGAAAATAAGGAGGTATGATATTACAGATACACTTCCTTCATTGTGTTTCACTTTATTGTGCTTTGCAGTATTGAAAGTTTGTGATGACCCTGTGTGGAACAAGTCTGTCAGCACCATTTTTCTACAGCATGTGCTCACTTTGTGTCACATTTTGGTAATTCTTAAATTCTTAAACGTGACACTCTGTGTCACATTTTGGTAATTCTTAAAATGTTTCAAACTTTATTGTTATATCTGTCATGGTGATCTGTGATCAGTTATTTTTGATGTTACTATTGAATTTGTTTTGGTGTGCCACAAACCATGCCCGTTTAAAATGTCAGACCTAATCAATAAACATTGTATGTGTCCTGACTCCTCCATTGACCAGCTGTTCCCTCATCTCTTTTCCTTTCCTTGGTCCTTGCTATGTCCTGAGACACAATAATATTGAAATGAAGCCATTTATAATACTACTACTACAGTGACCTCTATGTGTTCAAGTGAAAGGAAGAGTCACATGCCTCTCAGGTTCAATAAAAAGCTAGAAGTGATTAAGTATAGTAAGGAAGGCATGTTGAAAGCCGAGATAGGCCAAAAGCTAGGAGGCCTCTTGTGCCAAACAGGCAGGTGGTGAATGCAAAGGAAATGTTCTTGAAGGAAATGAAAAGTGCTACTCTGGTGAACATATGAATGATAAGAAAGCAAAAAGCTTTTTGCTGATATGGAGAAAGTTTGAGTGGTTTGGATAGAAGATCACACCAGCCACAGCATTGCCTTGAGCCAAAGGCTAATCCAGAGCACATCTCTTACTCTCTTCAATTCTGTGAAGGCTGAGAGAGGTGAGGAAGCTACAGAAGAATAATCGGAAGCTAGCAGAGGTTGGTTCGTGAGGTGTAAGGAAGAAGCCATCTCTATAAAATGCATCAGCAACAAGTGCTGATGCAGATGCTGCAGCAGGTTATCCAGATCTAGCTAAAATCACTAATGAAGGTGGCTACACTAAACAACAGATTTTCAATGAAGATGAAACCACCTTTTATTGAAATAAGATGCCATCTAGGACTTTGATTGCTAGAGAGGAGAAGTCAGTGCCTGGCTTCAAAGCTTCAAAGGACAGCCTGACTTGTTAGGGGCTTACGCAGTTGGTGATTTTAAAGTTGAAGCCAGTGCTCATTTATCATTCTGAAAATCCTAGGGTCCATAAGAATTATGCTAAACCTACTCTGCCTGTACTCTAGAAATGGAACAACAAAGCCTGGATGATAGCACATCTGTTTACAGCATGGTTTACTGAATATTTTAAGCCTACTGTTGAGACATACTACTCAAAAAAGAAAAAAAGATTTCTTTGAAAATATTACTGCTTATTCACAGAGCACCTAGTCACACAAGAGCTCTGAAGGAGAGGTACAAGGAAATTAATGTTTTCAAGCCTGCCAATACAATACACATTCTGTAGCCCATGGATCAAGGAGTAATTTTGACTTTCAAGTCTTATTATTTGAGAAATACATTTTTTAAGGCTATAGCTGCCATAGATAGTGATTCCATAGATAGTGATGGATCTGGGCAAAGTAAATTAAAAACCTTCTGGAAAGGATTCATCATTCTAGATGCCATTAACATTTGTGATTCAAGGGAGGAGGTGAAAATACCAACATTAACAGGAGTTTGGAAGAAATTGGTTCTAACACTCATCATTGTCTTTGAGAGGTTTAGGACTTCAGTGGATAGTGTAGCTGCAGATGTGGTGGAAAGGACTAGTATTAGAAGTGGAACCTGAAGATGTGACTGAATTGCTACAATCTCATGACAAAACTTGAACAGATAAGTTACTTCTTATGGGTGAGAAAAGAAAGTGGTTTGAGATTGAATCTACTCCTGGTGAAGCATTGTTGAAATGACAACAAAGGATTTAGAATATTAAATAAACGTAGTTGATAAAGCAGCAGCAGGTTTGAGATGATTGACTACAATTTTGAAAGAAGTTCTACTCTGGGTAAAATGCTATCAAACAACATTGCATGCTACACAGAAATCTTTTGTGAAAGGAAGAGTCAATCAAGGTGGCCAACATTACTGTTGTCTTATTTTAAGCAACTGCCACAGCCACCGAAACCTTCAGCAACCACCACATTGATTAGTCAGCATCGTTCAACATCGCAGGAAGCCCCTCTACCAGCAAAAAGATCACAACTCTCTGAAGGCTCAGATGATTATTAGCATGTATTAGCAATAAAGTATTTTTAAATTAAGATATATACTTTTTTAGACACAATGCTTATGTACGATTAATAGACTACATAGTATAGTGTAAACATGACTTTCACATGCACTCGGAAGCCAAGAAATTTCTGTGACTTGCTTTATTGTGATATTTGCCTTATTGTGGTGGTCTGGAACTGAACCTGCAATATCTCTGAGGTAGGCCTATGTTTAAATGAGGTGGGCTTTGCCTTTTATTATCAAAATAATTATCTGTAGTTTGGAATAGGGTGATGATGAGTTAAAGAGAAAACATCTTCTGTCTTGAAACCCCCTCCTTGTCAAAACAGATATTCATTCTCTAAAAGACTGGCACTGTGTCCTTTTTCAGGCAACAAGAAAGAGAAAGTAGATTGGAAAATGAGAGAAAATCAAGAGGCTAATGAAACCATGTGGTAGCCTTTTGGGACAGTGTCAGAGAGATAGAAAATCTCAGACAGTTCCCCAAATAAATAAATTCAGTGTATGATTTTTCCAGCCTACATATCATTACTAGCTTTGAAATGTTTTTAAACAATCTTTGTTGATGAAATTCAGTGAGATTTCTGCATTTACATTAGATTCCAAATCTGTTAAAAGGAGTCTCAAAACTCTGTTAGGTATTTGTAGTCAGTTTAATTGCATTTGTTATAACTGCAATATTATATTGAAGTGCTGTTCAACCAAATACATAGAAAATGCTGTAAAATAGTGTGTAGAACAATCCAAGTGAGTCAACTTTTGTGACAATGTCTTTAATCGATGTAAGCTTCCTTCTCTAACTTTCTTGAATTACTGACTTTTTTTCAGTATCATCCTATAAAAACTCTTCAGGTTTCCTATGTTTCAGTGTAGCTGATTTATACTGATTGTAGGTTTGGTTCAGGAGGACACTCAAAAGTCCTGCAGGATGTGGAAGAATTCTTTGTAGTGTGGGACTGTCCCACATATTTCAAGATGCCTAGCATCTCTGGCCTCACCCTCTGAATGGCATCGGCTTGAGGTGGTGGTGGACTTCATTGTTATAACCAGAAAGGTTCCCACAAGTTTACAAAATGCCCTGAGGGGCTGGGACTACCGGTCTACAGCGTGGTATTCAACACCCTTCACAACTGGATTCCTTACCATGTGAAAACAAAGAGGCTATTTTCTTTTTTTGTCTTTTTAGACATTGGTGAAGACTGAGGAAGAAACAGCCCAGGCCGTTGCTGCAGAGAAGTGGTCACATCTGAGTCTGACTCGGAGGAACCTCTGTGGGAACTCAGCTCAGGAGACAGTTATGAGCCTCAGTCCGATGAGTAAGGCCAGGCCTCTGGCTGGACCCCTGTCTGGACTCTCATTTTCCTGTCACTCACCCTGGCTTGGCCCTTGGGAGGCCACGTTTCCTACAGACCCACACCCTTCCTTTCCCTTCTTCTGGCCTCTGCCTCCAGACTTCTAGCCCTTATCACTTTGCATCCTTCCCAATCACATTTTCTTCTGTTACTAATCAGTTTACTGATTGTTGTGGTTATCTTCTCTGATCATCTCTTCTAGTTCCCTGATTCCTTCAGTGACTCCTTTGTATCCTTTTCCCCTTTTTTCTTCCCTGTCAAGGATTCCATATAACTTGTCTTTCAGATATCCCTTCATACTTGGAAGCCCCATGAACACCTCTGTCTGACCTTGTCTTTACCTCAGAGGAGGTCATCTTCACTCTCTAAGAACACGACAGTTCATGTTTATTTTATTTTTTTTAGTTTTTTTAAAGATGGGGTCTCGCTTTGTTGCCCATGCTGGAGCATAGTGGCACGATGATAGTTCACTGCAGCCTCAAACTCCTGGGCTCAACTGATCCTCCCACCTCAGCCTTCTAAAAAGCTGGGGCTACACCCAGGTAATTTTTTGTAGACACGGAGTCTCGCTATGTTGCCCAGGCTGGTCTTGAACTCCTGGCCTGAAGCAGTCCTTCCACCTTGGCCTCCCAAAGCACCCAGCCTAATTTTCTTGAAATGTGCTCTGCCCTGTTGGGCCCTCTCTGCAGCTGGGCTTTGGTGCCTTAATTAACCTTTCTTATCATTTTCCCATACCATGCCACATTTTGTAGGATTGCTGAAACTGTGCACCCTTGAAACACCAATATGATTTGTTTTTTGTTTGATTTGGAACATCTATTCCCTACCCTGGAAGTTTTTTTTTTTTTTTTTTTTTTTTTTTTTCAAAATTCACATAACAGATGACATTTAAATCATTAATGTTATATTTTAGCTGAAGAAATTGTAACTAAAGATAGATTGTTTAAAGCAAAGCAAGAAACTTCTGAAGAAATGGAACAAAGTGGAGAAGCCTCAGGAAAGCCCAACAGGTGAGTGTCCATGGTCCTCAGTGAATCAAATCCTGCAGATATAAGAAATTGGAATGGAATCAGAGAAACCAATTGGTCAAAGGCCTGCTTCTCTGGAATAAGATATGACAACTGCCACTCACTTCTGTGATCATAGGAGGTCCATGCCAAGAAAGTGACCTATTCAAAATTTTCAATATGCAATAAATATACAAAACCTTCAGTTGATACTCAGTTTCCTCCAAGAAGCCTATCCTGATCCAGTCTGTCCTGCTTGATTACCCTTCCCTGGGCTCCCTTACATTTTTATGGAGCTGTGGAGAAGCTAGAAGGCAGATAATTTAACAAGAATGAGGGCTACAGATGAAGCTGCCATGACAGTTAAGAAAGAAATGTCAGAGTGGAAGAGGACAAGCAGGGTACAGGTTGAGCATTCCAAATCTGAAATGTTCCAAAATCTGAGCTGTTTGAGCACCAGCATGATGCTCAAAGGAAATGCTCATTGGAGCATTTTGGATTTTGGATCTTTGGTTAGGGATGCCCAACTGGTATAATGCAAATATTCCAAAATCTGAAAAAAATCCAAAATTCAAAAATCTTCTGACCCCAAGCATTTCAGATAAGGGAAAATTAACCTGTATTTTCAACCGCCATTGGGAGACCTGAACAAGGTATAGGTCAAAAGGAAAGTTAGCTGATGAAGTAGAAATGAATGACAGTGGTGTGTGCTTCATAAGTGCTGGTTGTGGGAATGAATGAACTTGTAACAGATACTCCTATGCAAAGCAAGAAACTTCTGAAGAAATGGAACAAGGTGGAGAAGCCTCGGGAATGCCCAACATTCCGAGGCTTCTCAGGATTGCAGAAAGAGAGGGAACAAATCACAAGCAGAGGGTTGGCTTCTGGTGAGGCCATTTGGTCCTCAGAGACTTGAGAAAAGAGAGAGTAAGCAAGGTGGGCTACTTGGCCAAAGAGCTGAGAAGGGGGTGTGAATTTTCCTTATTGACATTTGTTTAACTTAGAGAAACTGGGAGCTAAATCTCAGCTAAAGTAGAAATGTCTTAAAGCTCAAGAGGAGAAGTGAAATTTTGCATTAAGATTAGTGAAGACTGAGCCAGGCTCCACTAAAGGAAGAGATATGATGTTCAGTAACTTAGAGCAGAGTTATGCAACTGGAGAATAGGAATCTGCTATTGTGCCTGTAGGTACATTTAGTATCAGGCAACTAACAGGTAATTCATAGTGCCTATAATAAAGATATTCATATAACAAAAAGTGTGAAGGTAGGCTATTTCAGGTTAGGTGCAATAGCTTAACCATGGTATCAAAGGTCTAGCCCCCTGCCCTCCTTCTAGTCCCCCTCCCTCACCCCCACCCCACTTTCTTAGCTCACTCTTTTTTCCCATTTCTCACTCCCATTTCCTTCCCTCACAATATTGGGCTTAATGCACTGTGGTTCTTAGAGTTTAGATGTCAACAGTAGAAAGACTCAGTGTGATCAAGGAATGTCACTGAAGTTATGGATGTCAGGGAACTTTAAGATGGATGTGTTGAATACATGCAGACACTGAAGACACCCTGGATGATAAACACTTTACATAAAGAAATGTATGTAGTGTAAATTATATTAAAATATACTCTTCATGCTTCTTAAATGTCTTTGAAAACTTGACTAGTTTACCAACAGAACACTAATAAATTAAATGCACATGTCTAAAAATTAAAAACTTTGTGTAAAATAATACTTTTCAGTTGGGTGCAGTGGCTCATGCTTGTAATCCCAGCACTTTGGGAGGCCGAGGTGAGTGGATCACGAGGTCAGGAGTTTGAGACCAGCCTGGCCAACACAGTGAAACCCTGTCTCTACTAAAAATACAAAAATTAGTTGGGCATGGTGGCACGTGCCTGTAGTCCCAGCTACTCGGGAGGCTGAGGCAGGAGAATTGCTTGAACCTGGGAGGCAGAGGTGGCAGTGAGCTGAAATCATGCCACTGCACTCCAGCCTGGGTGACAGAGCTAGACTCTGTCTCAAAAAAAAAAAAAAACAAAACAAAACTTTTCATCTTTGTAACTTTAGCTTACTTCCTTGTAAACCCCATAAAAATCAGTCCAAGTGCAATGAGTTGAGTTTCATTTGTTTTTCCCCAGAGTAGTATGTCCATCAGATGAATGTAGAACTAGCAGGGGCTAAGTCCTTCCATGTTCAGAAATTCTGTGAGAGATGTCAGAAGACCTGGTAAATAATAACCTTTTTTTCTTGTTCAGATTCAGAACCAATTGACAGGGATGCAGGAGTAAAATAGATGGTTCTGGAAACCTCAGTTTCTTACTGACAGAAGTTAGACTGGATAAAAACGGCTTAAAGGCAGAGCTAAATAGGCTTGTACTGGCAGAGGAGGAGTGTAGCAGATGTCCCTCTGCATAGGTCTTCTCAATGCAACTTGGGGCACCAAGGAGCATGGGATGTCTGCATCCTGCTCCTAAAGAGGACAGAGGGAGGAGTGTACCAAGGATACTCAGTTATTTCTCCCAGGCTCAACAGTTAGTTCCATCCTGAGGAGTGAGTGAGAGGTGGAGAGTGGCTAGAAATGTTTAATCTAGCCAAAGTCCTCCCCATGGAAACTTAAGAGAAATAAGTAAGTATCCCCCCACACCCACCCCAAGCCCCAAAAGATTTAAGCTTCAGCAGATTTATCATGTGTGAGAGAATATGATTGAGGATTTTTATAACATGTTCTTTTTTTCTTTCCCAGAGAGTGTGCACCCCAGATTCCTTGTAGTACTCCTATTGCTACTGAAAGGACAGTTGCACATTTGAACACTCTGAAGGACCGTCACCCAGGTGATTTGTGGGCCCGCATGCACATCTCATCCCTGGAATATGCTGCAGGAGACATTACCCGAAAAGGGAGAAAAAAAGACAAAGCTCGAGTGAGTGAACTGCTCCAAGGCCTCTCATTCTCTGGTGACTCAGATGTGGAAAAAGATAATGAGCCTGAGATCCAGCCTGCTCAAAAGAAGTTAAAGGTATCATGTTTCCCAGAAAAGAGTTGGACCAAAAGAGACATTAAACCCAATTTTCCAAGCTGGTCAGCACTGGATTCTGGACTTTTGAATCTCAAGAGCGAAAAGTTGAACCCAGTAGAGCTTTTTGAATTATTTTTTGATGATGAAACATTCAACTTAATTGTCAATGAAACCAATAATTATGCTTCTCAGAAAAATGTCAGCTTGGAAGTCACAGTTCAGGAAATGAGGTGTGTGTTTGGTGTCTTACTTTTGAGTGGATTTATGAGGCATCCTAGAAGGGAAATGTATTGGGAAGTCTCTGACACCGATCAGAACCTGGTTAGAGATGCAATCAGAAGGGACAGATTTGAATTGATTTTCTCAAACCTGCACTTTGCAGATAATGGCCACCTAGATCAAAAAGATAAGTTTACAAAGTTGAGACCTCTCATAAAACAAATGAATAAAAATTTCCTCTTGTATGCTCCCCTGGAAGAATACTATTGCTTTGATAAGTCAATGTGTGAATGCTTTGATAGTGACCAATTCCTGAATGGAAAGCCTATTAGAATTGGCTATAAAATTTGGTGTGGTACAACCACACAGGGTTATCTGGTTTGGTTTGAACCCTATCAAGAAGAATCAACTATGAAGGTAGATGAGGATCCTGATCTTGGGTTAGGTGGAAATCTAGTGATGAACTTCGCTGATGTTCTTTTAGAGAGAGGTCAGTATCCCTATCACCTGTGTTTTGATAGCTTCTTTACAAGTGTCAAATTGTTGTCAGCCTTGAAAAAGAAGGGGGTGAGGGCAACAGGAACAATTCGTGAGAACAGGACCGAAAAATGTCCCCTTATGAATGTAGAACATATGAAAAAAATGAAGAGAGGGTATTTTGATTTCCGAATAGAAGAAAACAATGAGATAATTTTGTGTCGTTGGTATGGGGATGGCATTATCAGTCTGTGCTCCAATGCTGTGGGCATAGAACCAGTCAATGAGGTAAGCTGTTGTGATGCTGATAACGAAGAAATCCCTCAGATAAGTCAACCATCCATAGTAAAAGTGTATGATGAATGCAAGGAAGGTGTAGCTAAAATGGATCAAATTATTTCGAAATACAGGGTGAGGATAAGAAGCAAGAAATGGTACTCAATTTTGGTGAGCTACATGATTGATGTAGCCATGAACAATGCATGGCAACTACACAGAGCCTGTAACCCAGGTGCTTCTCTAGACCCCTTGGATTTTCGGAGATTTGTTGCACATTTCTACTTGGAACACAATGCTCATCTGTCAGATTAGGGTACATAAAATGGACATAGTGCAGACATTAATAAGACATAGAAAAATAATAATTATACATGCTGTTGTACCCTCCCAAAGTAAATCTGATATATGTAATGAAGTTATTAAATAATACTTTTAAAAATCAGACATTTATATAGAGTTTCAAAGACTATTGTAACAAGTAATGTTAAAAATTGTCTGTGAGAATGTTGAACTGTAGTACCTTTCTCTATGTCAAGTTTTGTGTCAGACATGGGAAATCATGTATTTGTTCAATTGACTACTTTGTGCACTTATTTATTTATTTTTTGAGACACAGTCTCGCTCTGCGGCCAAGCTGGAGTGCAGTGGCACGATCTTGGCTCACTGCAACCTCTGACACCCTAGTTCAAGCGATTCTCCTGCCTCAGCCTCCCAAGTAGCTGGGATTACAGGCACGTGCTGCCATGCCTAGCTAATTTTTGTATTTTTAGTAGAGACAGGGTTTCACCATGTTGGCCAGGATGGTCTCGATCTGACCTCGTGATCTGCCTGCCTTGGCCTCCCAAAGTGCTGGGATTACAGGCGTGAGCCACCATGCCCAGCTATTTTGTGCATTTAAAGAAGGAAATCCTACCTCTTAAAAAAAATTATCTGGAGAATGCCATTTTTAAGATGCAAGCAATGTTACAGAAACCATAGAATGGTGCTGACTCAATAGTTCAAACTAGTGACACAGCCTATGAAGTAAGAATGATCTAAACAAAACATAGGTGGTAAGAGACTAAAAACCTTAGCATTGGTGTAAAACTGGATCGGATTGTGTGTAAGTGAGAAGGGTCAGGCATGGATATTGAAGGAGAGTGCTATAAAGGAAAAACCAGAGGTGAAGCAGTGCCTTTGAATATTGAAATGATAGGTGTATCCTATGGTGACTGTGTGAGTTGGCAGCAGAAGTCAGAAGAGTAAAGAAAACCAAGGAAACAGGCAAATCAGGGTAACAAGTAACCAGGAGAGTGAAGGAAAAGATAGGCATAAAGTCAACATAAAGGCCAAGTTGAAATCACCTGAGGAGATGTCTAGGCTTAAGGCCATCAGTGATAGGTAACTGAAGGAGAAACACTTGGAAAAGTGAATGATACGGACTGTGACTCCTTAGTGTTGAAGTCTAGCATTGGTGGATTAGTCTGGAGGGTAGAGAAGACAGGCTCCACCTCATTTCTGTGAGTTGTAGCCACAACAGCTCTTTGCCTTTCTTTCATATCCTAATATTTACAGTCCCTTTCCTGGCTGGAAGGCAGGTGGTCAGGTTTGAATTCTTTCAACAGGTATGTTTCTTATGTGGATGACTGGTGAAAGTGTAAGCTGCGTGTAATGTAGTCACAGATTCACCTATTCCATGCAAGATGTTCAAAGAAAATATAAGTTCATTATTTCCTGTAATTGATCTGATATTCTTTGTGAAATACATCACCAGCGTGGGTTGGTTTCACTTTTAAATGATGAAGTGTCTGGTGTCTAAGTATCTCCCCACAAAAGGGTATTAATAGAATGCAGGTTTTAGTTAAATGATGAGTGGTGCAGATAGTAATTGCTAATATAGGCAGGAAATAGTTACAGAATAACTTCGTATTTCACTTTCATGTCTGCCCTGATGTTTAGAGCCCTCTAGCCATCCCCACTTGGAAGTTATCAAAGGCTGCACTTTATATCTCCCACATTCTAAATCTGCTTTTCTCTTCTCCAGGGTTCCATAATTATGTAAATAATATCACTGAACACCCAGGTTATCAAACAAGACACCTAAATGTTACCTGTGACCCTCTTCTACCACTCACCTCTAATATCTCTTGAATCCATTCACACCATTCTACCTCTTTGCCATCATTCAGACCACAGTTCTGTGATGTTGCTTGACTGCTCACCAGACCCTTCCTTGACCCTCCCCCTCCCCAAACCTGTCTCCAAACAATGACTGTGAAAGTTCTGAAGAGCAAATCTGAGCATCAGCTATGCAGCAGATAGAAACAGTATGTTATGAAAAAGCATAAATAGTGGACTGTATGTGGGTCTTGGCACCAGAAAGCCTTTGAGTTTCAGCCATGTAACCTTGGGCAGATTAACTCTCTGAGCCTAACCCACACTCTCCATGGCACTCAATATACCACTCTACAGTTGAGAAGCAAATGTGGAGCCCAAGGAAAATGGGGAGTGACACCCTAAGACTGGAGCAGAACTGGCCCATGCTGTACACACCAGTACCTGCCCAGGAAGTGAAGTAAGCTGGAAGGAACCTGGTTCCCTGAAGACTGGAATAGAGTCTTGAAAATTGCCTACGGCTGAGATTTACATGTGAGGGCAAAAAACTTCTATCTTGGTGAACTCATTGTTACTGGGGGTGGGGTGGGGGTATTTGTTATTCTCAGCTGAACATAATTCTAAGTGACAGTCACTGATCCATATCAGGTCTCCTAGGTTAGATGAAGTTGGATACAGGAGAACAACTTTGGATGACTCCTAATTCACACCCACAAAAAAATTGAACAAAAACTTTTAGCATTTGCTACATATGACTGTTCTAAGAGTTTTACAAATATTAAGTTATTAATATCCCCATTCTATGGATGAGAAAAACATAAGTAGCATTTTAAAAGTCATATAGCTAGTAAGTGGTATAATCCTTGCAGCCAATATTGAGTGCCAATTTGTTTTATGGTTTTTGCTTCTAGTTTTTATTCCTTTTGGTCTTCTCTTTAAAAAACCCAAAAAAGATCACACTGCAGGAGAGGTCAACACCTTTGTCATTGTGAAAGGGTTAGGAAAAGACATTACAAAGGTTCCTGGAGATCTGTACCAAGAGAATGACTGTCTACCACACCATTGTACTGAACATCTATGGTACTTCTGCACACACCGTGTTCATGGTGCTCCTTAAATACTGCTGCCTTACATGGTAGTTGTTTTTGTTCAGGGCATATCCTTTATTAGACAACAAATTTACAGGGAATCTCTTTTGCAACCCTCCTTGCAACCAAAACAAGACCTGAAATTTGCTATATTACTCAGCATACTTAGAATACATTGCAATTTGATGGGAAAATTTGGCTATCCAAATACATAGCTTTATCTTTAAAGTGTACTATAGAACAATGGAATATGAGAGTAACCTTGGAAACAATACAGAATAATTTGGAGTGAGAGATAATGAAGACAAATGGTGACTTTAAAACATTATTAGGTAAATTTATACCTTAGGAGAGGCCCCAGCATCCTTTACTAATCTGGCTTGCTTCAAGGAACAGTTTCCAACTAAGTCACAGGACAGTGACTTTTTAAGGCAGGACAATTCTTCAAGGCAGGACAAACCTCATGATTAAGTTCTCCTGTAGTCCTTACACTGAGGTATCTAATTAGGGATTGTCCGCTTTTTAATAACTGGATACCAAATTAACATCAGTCTGACTTGCATTTGTGCCTAAACATTCTGACTTAACCCCCAGGCTCAGACTGAACTATTTCCTTATTTTATACTATAAAGTTCATTCTTTTAAAATTTTATTTTATGTATTTCAATAGGTTTTTGGGGAAAAGGTAGTGTTTGGTTACATGAATAAGTTCTTTAGTGGTGATTTCTGAGATTTTGGTGCACCCAAAATCTCAGAACAGTGAACACTGTACCCAATGTATAGTCTTTTATCCCTCACCCCTGCTCCCATCTTTTCCCCCCAAGTCCCCAAAGTCCATTGTGTCATTCCTATGCCCTTGCATCCTCATAGCTTAGCTCCCACTTATTAGTGAGAACACACGTTGTTTGGTTTTCCATTCCTGAGTTACTTCACTTAGAATAGTGGTCTCCAATTCCATCCAGGTTGCTGCAAATGCCATTATCTTCTTCCTTTTTAATGGCTGAGTAGTATTCTATGTTGTATATATACCACAATTTCTTTATCCACTGTTGATTGATGGGCATTTGGGCTGGTTTCATATTTTTACAATTGTGTATTATGCTGCTATAAACATAAGTGTGTAAGTATCTTTTTCATACAATGATTTATTTTCTTCCGGGTACATACCCAGTATTGGGATTGCTGGATCAAATGGAATTCTACTTTTAGTTCTTTAAGGAATCTCCACACTGTTTTCCATAGTGGTTGTACTAGTTTACATTCATCCACCAGCAGTGTAAAAGTGTTCCTTCTTCACCACATCCATGCCAACATCTATTATTTTGTTATTATGGCCATTCTTGCAGGAGTAAGTTATTGCATTGTGGTTTTGATTTGCATTTCCCTGATAATGAGTGATGTTGAGCATTTTTTTATGTGTTTGTTGGCCATTTGTATATCTTCTTTTGAGAATTGCCTATTGATGTCCTTAGCCCACTTTTTGATGGGATTGTTTTTTTTCTTGCTGATTTGTTTGAGTTCCTTGTAGATTCTGGACATTAGTCCTTTGTCAGATGTATAGATTGTGAAGATTTTCTCCCATGCTTTGGGTTGTTTGTTTACTCTGCTGATTGTTTCTTTTGCTTTGCAGAAGCTTTTTGGTTTAGGTCCCATCTATTTATCTTTGTTTCTGCTGCATTTGCTTTGGGGTTCTTGGTCATGAACTCTTTGCCTAAGCCAATGTCTAGAAGGGCTTTTTAAATATAGAGTTTTTATGGTTTCAGGTCTTAGGTTTAAGTCCTTGATCCGTCTTGAGATGATTTTTGTATAAGGTTAGAGATGAGGATCCAATTTTGTTCTTCTACATGTGCCTTGCCAATTATCCCGGCACCATTTTTTGAATAAGATGTCCTTTCCCCACTTTATGTTTTTGTTTGCTCTGTTGTAGATCAATTGGCTGTAAGTATTTGGCTTTATTTCTGCGTTCTCTATTTTGTTCCATTGCTCTATGTGCCTATTTTTATACCAGTACCATACTGTTTCTGTGACTATGGCCTTATAATTTGAAGTCAGGTAATGTGATGCCTCCAGATTTGTTCTTTTTACTTAGTCTTGCATTGGCTATATGAGCTTTTTTTTGGTTTCATATGAATTTTAGGATTTTTTTCTAGCTCTCTGAAGAATGATGGTGGTATTTGCATAAGAATTGCATTAAATTTGTATATTGCTTTTGGCAGTATGGTCATTTTCACAATATTGATTCTACCCATCCACGAGCATGGGATGTCTTTCCATTTGTTGGTGGTGTGTATGATTTCTTTATTCAGTGTTTTGTAGTTTTCCTTGTACGGGTCTTTCACCTTGGCTAGATATATTCCTAAGTATTTTATTTTATTTTGCAGCTATTGTAAAGGGGGTTGAGTTCTTGATTTGATTCTCAGCTTGGTGGCTGTTGGTGTATAGCAGAGCTACTGATTTGTGTACATTAATTTTATATCCTGAAACTTTGGTGAATTCATTTATCAGTTCTAGGAGCTTTTTGGAGGAGGCTTTAGGGTTTTCTAGGTATATGATCATATTATCAGCAAACAGCAACAGTTTGACTTCCTCTTTATCAATTTGGACGCCCTTTATTTCTTTATCTTGTCCAATTGCTCTGGCTAGGACTTTCAGTACTATATTGAATAGAAGTGGTGAGAGTGGACACCATTGTCTTGTTCCATTTCTCAGGGGGAATGCTTTCAACTTTTCCCCATTCAGTATTATGTTGGCTGTGGGTTTGTCATAGATGGCTTTTCTTACATTAAGGTATGTCCCTTCTATGCTGATTTTGCTGAGAGGTTTAATCATAAAGGGATGCTGGATTTTGTCAAATGCTTTTTCTGTGTCTATTGAGATGATCATGTGATTTTTGCTTTAATTCCCATTTATTGACTTGCATATGTTAAACCATCCCTGCATCCCTGGTATGAAACCCACTTGATCATGGTGGATTATCTTTTTGATATGCTGTTGGATTTACTTAGCTAGTATTTTGTTAGGGATTTTTGCATCTATATTCATCAGGGTCTATAGTTTCCTTTTTTGTTATGTCCTTTTCTAGTTTTGGTATCAGGGTGATATTGGCTTCATAGATTAATTTAGGGAGAATTCCCTCTTTCTCTGTCTTGTGGAATAGTGTTAATAGGATTGGTACCAATTTTTTGAATGTCTGATAGAATTCAGCTGTGAATCCATCTAGTCCTGGACTTTTTTAAAATTACCGTTTCAGTCTTGCTGCTTGTTATCAGTCTGTTCAGAGTTTCTATTTCTTCCTGGTTTAATCTAGGAGGGTTGTATATTTCCAATAATTTATCCATCTCCTCTAGATTTTCTAGTTTATGCATGTAAAGGTGTTCATAGTAGCCTTGAGTGATCTTTTGTACTTCTATGGTATCAGTTGTAATATCTCCCGTTTGGTTTCTAATTGAGCTTATTTAGATCTCTCTTCTCGGTTAATCTTGCTAATGGTCTATCAATTTTATTTATCTTTTCAAAGAACCAGCTTTTTGTTTCACTTATCTTTTGTATTGTTTTTTGTTGTTTCAATTTCATTTGGTTCTGCTCTGATCTTTGTTATTTCTTTTCTTCTGCTGGCTTTGGGTTTGGTTTGTTCTTATTTCTCTAGTTCCTTGAGGTGTGACCTTAGATTGTCTATTTGTGCTCTTTCAGACTTTTTGATATAGATATTTAAGGCTATGAACTTTCCTCTTAGGACCACCTTTCCTGTAACCCCGAGGTTTTGATAGGTTGTGTCACTATTATCATTCAGTTCAAAGAATTTTTAAATTTCCGTCTTGATTTCATTGTTGACCCAATGATCATTCAAGAGCAGGTTATTTGATTTCCTGTCTTTGCATGGTTTTGAGAGTTCCTTTTGGGGTTGATTTCCAGTTGTATTCCACTGTGGTCTAAGAGTACTTGATATAATTTCAATTTTCTTAAATTTATTGAGACTTGCTTTGTGGCCTATCATATGGTCTGTCTTGGAGAATGTTCCATGTGCTGATGAATAGAATGTATATTCTGCAGTTGTTGGAAAGAATGTTCTCTAAGTATCTGTTAAGTCTGTTTGTTCTAGGGTATAGTTTAAATTCATCATTTCTTTGTTGACTTTCTGTCTTGATGACCTGTCTAATGCTGTTAATGGAGTATTGGAGTCCTTCACTATTATTGTGTTGCTGTCTATCTCATTTCTTAGTTCTAATAGTAATTGTTTTATAAATTTGGGAGCTCCAGTGTTAGATGCATATGTATTTAGGATTGTGATATTTTCCTGTTGGACAAGTCCTTTTATCATTATATAATGTCCTTCTTTTTCTTTTTTAACTGCTGTTGCTTTAAAGTTTGTTTTGTCTGATACAGGGATAGCTACTCTTGCTCACTTTTGGTGTCCATTTGCATGGAATATCTTTTTCCACCCCTTTACCTTAAGTTTATGTGACTCCTTATGTGTCAGGTGAGTCAATTGAAGACAGCAGATACTTCTTTGGTGAATTCTTATCCATTCTGCCATTCTGTATCTTTTAAGTGGAGCTTTCAGGCCATTTACATTCACCATTAGTATTTAGATGTGAGGTACTAGTCTATTCATCATGCTATTTGTTGCCTGAATACCTTGTTTTGTTTTTTATTTACTGTGTTTTTGTTTTGTAGGTCCTGTGAGATTTGTGCTTTAAGGAGGTTCTATTTTGGTGTATTTCAAGGATTTGTTTCAAGATTTAGAGTTCCTTTTAGCAATTCTTGTAGTGCTGGCTTGTTAGTGGCTAATTCTCTCAGCATTTGTTTGTCTGAAAAAGACTATCTTTCCTTCATTTATGACGCTTATTTTCGCTGGATACAAAATTCTTGGCTGATAATTCTTTTGTTTAAGTAGGCTGAACATGGGGCCCCAATCCTTCTAGCTTGTAGGGATTCTGCTGCAAAATCTGCTGTTAATCTGATAGGTTTTCCTCTATAGATTACCTGGCACTTTTGCCTCACAGCTTTTAAGATTCTTTCCTTTGTCTTGACTTTAGATAACCTGATGACTGTGTGCCTAGATGATGATCTTTTTGTGATAAATTTCCCAGGTGTTCTTTGAGCTTCTTGTATTTGGATGTCTAGATTTCTAGCAGAGCCAGGGAATTTTTCCACAATTATTTCCTCAAATGTATTTTTCAAATTTTTAGATTTCTCTTCTTCCTCAGGAACACCAATTATTCTTGCATTTGGTTAACATAATCCCAAACTTCTTGGAGGCTTTCTTCATTTTTTAAAATTCTTTTTTCTTTGTCTTTTTTGGATTGGGTTAATTCAAAAACCTTGTCTTCAAGCTCTGAAGTTCTTTCTTCTGCTTGTTTAATTCTATTGCTGAGATTTTTCAGTGTGTTGTGCATTTCTCTAAGAGTGTCCTCATTTCCAGAAGTTGTGATTTTTATTTAGGCTATCTATTTCACTGAAGATTTTTCCTTTCGTAGCTTGTTTCATTTTTTTTTAATTTCATTAAGTTGGACTTTGCCTTTCTCTGGTGCCTCCTTGATTAGCTTAATAATCAACCTGAATTCTTTCTCTGGCAATTCAGGGATTTCTTCTTGGTTTGGATACATTGCTGGTGAGCTGGTATCATCTTTTGGGGGACATTAAAGAACCTTTTGTATTATCAGAATTGTTTTCCTGGTTCTTTATCATTTGGGTAGACTATGTCATAGTGAAGATCTGGGGCTTAGGGATGCTGTTCAGATTCTTTTGTCCCACGGGGACTACTTGATGTTGTGCTCTCCCTCTTCCCCTATGGATGTGGCTTCCTGAGAGCTGAACTGCAGTGATTGTCTTCTCTTCTGGATCTAGCCATGCAGCTCGGGCTGGTACTGGGGGAGTCTGCATAGAGTCCTGTAATGTGAAAGTCTTCAGGTCTCTCAGCCATGGATACAAGCACCTGCTGTTGTGGAGGTGGCAGGGGAGTGAAATGGGCTCTTGTGAGGATCCTTAGTTGTAGTTTTGTTTATTGCACTAGTTTTGTGTTGGTTGGCCTCCTGCCAGGAGGTGGTACTTTCAAGACAGCATCAGCTGTGGTAGTGTACGGAGGATCAGACAGTGGGTGGGGCCCTAGGTCTCCCAAGAGATTATGTCGTTTGTCTTCAGCTAGCATGGTGGGTAAAGACCATCAGGATGGGGCAGGGTCAGGCATGTCTGAACTCAGACTCCCCTTGGGCAGGGCTTGCTGTGGCCGCTGAGGAATGGGATTATGGTTCCTAGGCCAATGGAGTTACATGTTCCCAGGGGGATTATAGCTGCCTCTGCTGAGTCACGCGAGTGGCTAGGGAAGTTGGGGAAAGCTGGCAGTTATAGGCCAGGCCTCACCCAGCTCCCACACAGCCCAAAAGACTGGTCTTACGCCCACTGTACTCCCCCAGCTGCACTGAGTTTATTTCCAGGCAGCAGGTGAGCAGGGCTGAGAACTTGCCCCAGCCTACCAACCTCCTAGCTGAGAAAGCAAGCAGTGCTTTCAGGTTTTGTGCCACCCCACCTGATGTGGTTTCTGTGTTGTGTCTGCACTCCCGATTCACCCCCTCCCGGGAGTTCTGTACAAGAAATTTTGAATTTGGTCAAAATTCTTACAAAGTTCAGCTGGACGTTTCCTTCTCTCTGTGGTCTTTTCTCAGTTCCTCTAGCAACCTTCCCCAAAGACCTCTTTGAGACAAAGTCAGAAATGGCTTCCCTGGACTTTGTCCCTGGACTTTTTCCCTTCCCTGACCAAGCGCCCATAGGGCTCTTCCCGCTGCTGCTTCTACCCCTGTGTTTCACTTAGCTCTCTAATTTTGTTTCAGCTCCAAGTAAAGTCAAATCCTTCTCTTGTGATTTGGACCTTCAGGTTCCCTAGTGACGGTGGGTGTTCAGGGGCAGATGATCCCCCTTTCATACTTTGGGCACCCACAGTTTTTCAGCTGTCTCCTGGGGCCTGCAGGAGCAATCCACTCCTTCAAAGGTTCTATGGGTTCTCTTGGCTTTCCTGGTATGTTCTTGTGGTAGTTCTTGGAGCAAAAGTTCACGATGTTAGTCTCCACACACTGCTCTGTCCATCTGAGTGGGAGCTGCAATTTAGTCCTGCTTCCTATTCACCATTTTCCTGTCTTGTCCCGTAAAATTCATTCTTTACTGAGGTTTCACTCCCCTGTCATTCAGAGCAAAATGAAAGTGGGACTTCTTGCGCACATGGAGTTTCTGATGTTGGAAGTCAGAATGAAGAAGGAAGATAGCACCAAATTCAACTGTCTGATAAGTTTTCTCTCCAGGACAAATTTACCAAAGTATTCAGATTGACTATATCTGTGGCTCTGCTCTGTGTGTGTGTGTGTGTGTGTGTGTGTATACACATACATATATTTGTCTTCTAAGGTAGGGATGATGTCAGTGTCAATTCAAGCTCCAGCTCTGTTTTATTTTCCATGCTCCTGCTCCAGCTTGATACACTCTCAGAAATAGGTGACAGTACCGCTATTAGTAAAGTATAGGTTCTGGTCAAAGATATAATTGGTTTATGCTGTAATAGATGCAGTTCTGGTATAAGAATTAAGCTCTTCATTTCTTCTCTTAATGTTCATATATTGATTAATCCAAACTTATTCAAGTTCTACTCGAAGGTTTTCTTTCCATCACACTACCAATTAGCATCTTTTCTGGGCTTTTTTTTTTTTTTTTTTTTTTTAAATAGAGGGTTCTTATGCCCAAGAAGTGTTGAGATCTGCCCAAACGCATTGCCACATACACACTGATAGGGCCTCTCGCCCATGTGGACCCGCTGGTGCGGGATGTGGCAGGAACTCTGGCTGAAAGTTTCGTGGCAGCCGCTGCAGTGATCAGGCCTCTCACCTGTGTGTGTACCTGCGGGTGCTGCAAGCGGGTTAAGCTCCTTAGGAAGCGCTTGCGGCAGCGTTTGCTTGCGTAGGGCCTGCGTGGAGTACCAGATAGACGCTGAGGAAGAAGACGGTTAACTGCCGGAGGCATGCGCACAGCGGTGGTGCTAAGTGCTTGCTGGGGGAGTGGCCGAAGTCCCTAGGCCCACGCAGGTGCTGGGTCTGGTTGGAGTGCTGCTCCCACGCCGACTTCCCCTTGGCGCACTCTTATGGTCTTTCCCTTGCAAGGAAATGCATCCTCGGGTGGATCTGGAGGTCACGTGAACCTTTTTTCCCTTGTGGGTTTGCCCATTCACTGCTTCTGTCTCATTTAGGACTGAAAAACTTTGATTCGAGGTCTGCATAGGATTGCTTTAGGGGGTTTCACTTATTCAGGTGTTTCTTGCTTTAAGGCTATTTCACTTGTTGTTGTTGTTGTTGTTGTTCTTAGTCTCCATATCTTCAACCTTAGATTCTGATCTGAAAATATAAAAGAAATTTGTGAACCGGTCCCCATCTTGGGGGAGAACAGGATGAATCAAGTGAAACAAAAGTGTAGTAAGCTTGAGGGTTGGTAAAGGTGTGCAAGGGATCACTGCCAAAAACTGAAGGAAGGGGACAGAGCGAGAATCTGTCTCAAAAAAAAAAAAAAAAAAAAAAAAAAGAAAAGAAAGAAAGAAAAGAAAAAAGAAAGGACAGAAAATATTCTGTTGAAGCCGAACACTGAATCATGAGGAGCCACTCTGGATCCTGACTCTCTGGACCCCTTGCTTTCATTCTTTGCTTAAGGTTTTGTTAGAGTTAACAAAATTGACTTTTTAATCCCTGAACGATAACATGTATATATAAAATTTAAATTCTAAGATTTAGGAATCACTATTCCCAACTGTCATGTTGACTGCTGAATGTTATCTAGATATCCGTGACTAACTGAGGCACATTAAGTAATTCCCTTCAGCACAGGTGCTAGGACAAATCATCAATGAACTGAAACCAGAAAACCATATATTGCCTCAACCAAATATATGTTGAACCTATGGCATGGACAAAAAGGAATTTTTAAAAATATGGATATAGTTTGCTGATAATTCTTCTTCTTCACATCCTGGACTTAAGGAAGCCCAAGAGTTGGAGAGGGGAGCTGGTTGGTTGAAAGGGAAATAATATAGTTTATATAGTCTCACCTGGGGTCAAGGAAAAGCATCAAAAGAAAAGCAGGCAGAAAAGCTATCATTTATGAGAATTTGGGGTTTGAGGTGCAGATCGGCAAGTCTGAAACTAAAACAAGCTTGGTGGGGAGGTAAGGATATCCAGGTGAAACCTGGGATTTGTCAATGCAGGCATGAGAGCTAAAGGTGGCTCACATTTTTATTCTAGGGCCAGAGGACTGGGAGTAAGTGAAATATTATAGCCAGGAAAAGGAGTATAACAAAATTAGGCAGATGTGAGAGGTGAAGTTGTAATTAACGAAGGAGATTCTACAGAGTAGGTCCTAGTTATTTTCTCCCCAGTTCATAGGAAGAAACAGCCACCAGGAAGTCTTTTAATGTTCTTTTCTTTCTTTGATGCTTATATTTTCTATACTTGCTATTTTCCTTTAGGGAGGTACCTGTAGCACAGAGAGAGAGACTAAGCCAAGAAAGGCCAGAGTTAATTAACCTGGCAGCCATCCAACTGTGAGGGGCAGTACACAAGGTTCTTCACATGGTCCTAGAGCCATGGTTGAGTCTAGAATTGTGTGTATGGCTATGTAATCGTGGGTACACATTTACATGCTAATGTGAAGGTGTCTTAAGCACTGATCACACATTCTCAAAAGGTCACGTCAACACTCTTATGGTAAAGGCTATAGTCAGTTCTCTCTTGTCTATGCTGAGACACAGACTAAACACAGGCCACTCAAATGATAGGACAAACAAGAGGCCAAACACACTTGGTTTCCAAAAGGAATGGGTAGATGTTGGTTCTGCCCACATATCTTCATTCATTTAGCTAATACATTTTTTGTATGCATCAACTGGGCATAAGAAGATGGATAGAGTAGAGTTTTATTGAAAGGGGAAATGAATAAAAAACGGGCCGAACATTACTTCTATGTCTTTAGCTGGCAATACTTCCATCTCAGAAGAAACTCCGCTTCTCACCAGTCTTTGGAAAGGTACATGGTTTTGGAGGTTCTCATTTACCTGGGTCTTTATGGGCTGCAGATGGATGACTAAGTATGCCTTCTATGCCCTCAAAGATAATTTTTCCCTCAAGATTTTGTCCTTTTTATGGAGATGGGCTGGACCCTGAATCAGTAGGTTTATTACGAGAATTAGGGCTAAATCCTTAGAGAAGAGATTGCAGGACATAGAAAAATTAGTGTTTCATTAGACCAAGGGCTGCAAGGGTGATGTTTGAAAGTTGAAAAGAAAAATGCAAATAACTAATAACTTTAGCTTGGCTCAGTAAAGACTGAAGTTGCTCAGAAATAATCTCCTCACTGCCAACCTGTCAGTGCCCCTCATTCTGGCTTTATACCTCCAAGCCTTCTACCTTCTTACCTGCTGTCTTGATCCATCAGTCTTTCTCTTCTACATGGCCAAGCAGGTCACAGCCTCTTTTCCGCTTTCTGGATGATGCTCTCTCACTGAGGCCTGGGGCTTCTTAGGCAGGATGGTCAGGAACTGCTCCAGCAACAGAAGCTTCAGAATCTGCTCCCTGGTGTGGGTGCTCTGGCTGCAGTCTCTGTTGGCAAGTCTCCCAGAGATGTCTCAGAGTCGCTCAAGGCCCAGGGGAATCCTGATAGCAGAGGTGCCTGAAGTGTCATCTGCAGATTTCATGATATGAAGGACTCTTTCCTGGAAGTCTGTATTCCTGATTCCATGTCTAATGACTAGTGCAAACCAGGAGCAGGCAGTAGGAAGTTTATGATAAGAAAGGACAGAAAATAGGCCAGGCAAGCTGTCATGTTAAAGAAGCATACACGACTGTTTTTTTCCACCTTGACTTGCACAGCTGTTTTCTGTACCTCAGGGAACTGGCATGGCCACAACTAGGACTTCTCTTGTTCTCCAGATAGGTTGAGCCTTGAAAATTTGTAGCAGGTTCACTCTGCCTAGAATTTTGGAATTCAGGAAGATTCCCATTCAGCATTTTATCTTCAGAGTTAGTCCTACTTTTTATAAAAAATGAAATTATATAATAAATATATATGTATATCTACATATATTCTATATATAAATACACACACACACATACAAGGGATTAATATCTAAAATATAAAGAATTTCTACCCTCTGATAAGAAAAAGTTAAAATGTTCACCAGAAAACCAGACAAAGGATATGAATAAGGAATTCACAAAGGAGGAAATGCAAATGGCCAATAAATGGTATAAAAAGATGCAGTGTCATTAGTATTCAAGGATTAAAAATAGAAGTGAGATACCATTACACATTTAACAGCTTGGTAAATGTTTAAAAGTTTGATAATGGGCAAGGATACAGAATAACAACCATACTGTGCTAGTGGGAATATATATTGGCAATTGGTGGCAATATATATATATACAGCCAATTTGGTGGCACTTTAGTGGTATTAAAATTTTAAATGCACATATGATATCATGTTTTCATTCTGTCATTCTCCACTGTCTTTGAGAACTAGGATACTTGACATGGAAGCTAAGTATGGGTGACAGCCTCTAAAATGTCCCCCAGTACTCCCACTTCCCAGTATTCAAGGCCTTGCATAATCCCCTCCTTTTTTTTTCAAGTTCTGACACACAAACTTTTATTTATTTGCTTGTTTTTGATTAAATGTTTGTTACAGGCAACCTGGGAATAGCTTTCTTTTTCCCCTCAAACCAGCTATAGAAAGGTAATTGATTGTACTTAGTTCTCAGAACTTCAGAAGCAACATAATAGGTAAACAAGTTCTTAAAAGAAGTATTCTAGATAACAGTAAATGGGATTCTTTCAACAATAGTACTCTGTTGCAGTGAGAGATGATTTTTCTGAAGAATCCCAAACCTCACAATATTCTCTATATTTCCCAGCCCCTTACACACACACACACACACACACACACAAATGTAAAATCTTGATCTCACATATATAGAAAGGCTCTATAAATGACAGGAAAAAGTGAAAAAATAACAGCATATGTCAAAGAAATACAAAATAGGCATGTGTTACGACTTTAACAGAAATTATAGAAAAACACTTTTAGTTAAATACCTTTACGTTGTTACAACAGAACTGATGAAACCATAACTTTCGTAGATAACTGAGAATTATGACTATATCCTTTGCTTCAATACTTTTGCTCTAAAATATGACCATAAGTAAAACATATGTACATAAATTCTTTCCATGAACAGCTTGATTCCAGAAAACCAAACATATTTTAGATATATCTTGACTAAATACTGAACTATTTCAGTGCCTTCAGTTACAATGTGTTGCTCACACTGGCACCAAGTGGAGACTGATAATCTAAAAGAATAGCATTAAGTGTTATTCAAACTGGTCCATAAACATTCTCAGTGGTTCTTAGGTTCTCAAATTTGAGGAACATAGTCCTAAAAGTTTACAAGTATGCTTAGTTGTAATTGAAATTCTAACCTGCATAACATAATGTAACTTAAAATGTTAGTCTCTCCAAAAAAAATAAGACCCAGGACCTCTTTATAAAAAATCATCAAGTTTATTACAATATCTAGTTTCATTTTTAAACTGTAGCTGCTGGACAATTTTTGTAATTTAAAATTCATTATCGGGGTACAGAAAACACTAATAAGCTGACAGTGAATTAGATACTAACAGTGAATAAAATTACTGGACCATGCATTTATAAAAGCCATGTTTAATAGTAAAACATCCCAGTTATACTTCTTAACTGAAAGAAACATCCTTTAGCTCCTTCCAATTACAGCACATTCTTATTTTGAGATCATTTATCCTTTTTCACCCAATTACTACTATGCCCAACAAAATGTTTCCAAATGTTGTACTTTTCTTTACCACTTATGAAGTATGACTTCACTGTTACTCATGAAGAGTTCTTTGGCCGGATGCTGTGGCTCACCCCTGTAATCCCAGCACTTTGGGAGGCCAAGGCGGGTGGATCACGAGGTCAAGAGATCGAGACCATCCTGGCCAACATGGTGAAACTCCGTCTCTACTGAAAAAACAAAAATTAGCCGGGCGTGGTGGCACGCACCTGTAGTCCCAGCTACTCGGGAGGCTGAGGCAGGAGAATTGCTTGAATCCGGGAGGCAGAGGTTACAGTGAGCTGAGATCACACCACTGCACTCCAGCCTACCAATAGAGTGAAACTCCATCTCAAAAAAAAAAAAAAGCTTTAAAAGAAATTTGAAATTTAAAGATACACTTTGAACCTGTTTGATCAGAAAGTATTAAATATCACTACCACATGAGTTAAAACAAAAAATGGAATAAAAAACAAAAGTGGTGTCTATGTTATCAGTGAATTACTTGATAGGACATTTTAACTATTTTACAGTTCTGCTTAGCACAAGAATAAACTGGTTCCAAGGTACTACAGTGTTTGGCATTTTTACTGCAAGCTCTAAACTATAGTGTTACTCCTCTTAACAAGCCATCTCTAAGAAAATGGCAGTGTTTGAAAGCACAAAAAGTGTTCTATCCAATAGGTGGTATTTTACATAGTCAAGGTAAGAGGAATCTTTTTATAAAATTACATTTTAAAAAATGCGGCAGGGCATGGTGGCTCACGCCGATAATCCCAGCACTTTGGGAGGCTGAGGCGGGCGGATCACAAGGTCAAGAGATGAAGACCATCCTGGCCAACATGGTGAAACCCTGTCTCTACTAAAAATACAAAAATTAGCTGGGTGTGGTGGTGTGCACCTGTAGTCACAGCTACTCAAGAGGCTGAGGCAGGAGAATAGCTTGAACCTGGGAGGCGAAGGTTGCAGTAAGCCGAGATCCCACCACTGCACTCCAGCCTGGCGACAGAGTGAGACTCCATCTCAAAAAATAATAATAATAATGTAAAATGTCTTGATAATTACCAGTTGTCTCAAAGGCTAAAGTAAGAAAAATGCAGCAAATAGAAGTACTCGTTGATTAACATTATTTTGAGAAAGCCAGAAATGATTCTAAGAAGTAATAAAAGATGTAATTAATACATTATATCTCTTTTAAGCCAAAGCACATTTTTCATCTCAGACAGGACAGTTCTGACTTTTACATTCTTGATTTCCTTTGTCCAAAACGGGACGCCATTTTAAATAGAGTTCATTTGAGTAGGGTTCATAATATAAAGTCATTTTTCCCCACAGGATGTTTTCATTTCAGTACGTAAACTGCTAAACAGCAAATGACTAGGTCAGTTATAAAGAATTTGTACTATAATAAATGCTAATTTACAATAACTGTCAATAGAAACCTATAAATGCCTACACCCAAGCCTAAAAGTTACTACAGTATTGAGGTCGGAACTAACATGATTCTTCCATTTGGTCAAATTTCATTTACTAAAGAATACTGTCAAGAAATCCAAAGAAGAAACCTTAGTAGGTCCTTCCAAAGCTGCATAATTTTCCAGATTATTTCCTCTGGTTGCAGAGCCTGTTCAGTCCTTCAATCCTTTCATAGTTGTTTAGCTTTTGCAATGTTTTCTAGGCGTTTTTGTTTCTTCTTTTGCTCCTTACCCCTGGCCTCAATCATCTTGGCCAATTTCCAACACAATACAACACTTGCTAGGAACAGTGGAGTAAGGGCCAAAATAACAGTTGTAAGGAAGTCATATGGGTCCTTTGCAGCCCATTCCACAAGCCTTTATATCAAACATCTTCATAGCAGTCTTATGAAAACTGGGGGCTGGGCGCAGTGGCTGACACCTGTAATCCCAGTACTTTGGGAGGCCAAGGTGGGCAGGTCACCTGAGGTCAGGAGTTCAAGACCAGCCTGGCCAACATGGCGAAACACCATCTCTACTAAAAATACAAAAATTAGCTGAGCATGGTGGTGCATGCCTGTAATCCCAGCTACTAGGGAGGCTGAGGCAGGAGAATCACTTGAACCTGCGAGGTGGAGGTTACAGCGAGCAGAGATTGTGGCACCGCACTCTGGCCTGGGCAACAGAGCAAGACTCCCTCAAAAAAAAAAAAAAGAAGAAGAAAAGAAGGGAGGGAGCGAAGAAGGGAAGGGAAGGGGAGGAGAGGGGAGGGGAGGGAGAAAGAGAGAAAGAAAAAAAGAGAGAAGAAAGAAGAGAAAGAAAGAAAGGAAAGAAAGAAAATAAAAGGAAAAGAAAAGAAAAAAGAGAAGAGAACGAACCCGGGGCTTATGCTTGAGTAGTGATCTCTAACTTTGTCCTGTTATTATCAGTGACCCAATCACAATTTCAGATGACCCTTGGCAGTCTGTCTTTTTTAGTTCTACCATAGACATCTGAGAGATGGTTTAAATTCCTATCAGGCTACAGAGCCACAGGGGCTACGTTCACCCCTGCCCCTCGGCCTTGGCAAGTGCAGGGCCCTTATTGCACAGAAAGGAGGGTCCCAGGGGATACTGGGTCGGCCCCATCACACCTTGCACGGCCACCATTTCTGCTGGGCACCGGGAGAAAACTGCGGCAGCGACAGCCACCAGCCTCCCCTTTATTACCCCCAACACACTCCTTTTAAATAACTTGCTTCTAATTAATAGAATACAGCAATGTTGAGAGGATGTTACTTCTGTGATTAGGTTACAAAGAAAACGGTGACTTCTGTCTTGCTAGCAGATGCTCTCCCTTGGGGGTTTTGACGAAGCAAGTTGTCATGTTAAAGAAGCCTATATGACAAGGAACTGAGGATTGCCTGTTGCTAACAGTCAGCATGTAACTGAGGCCCTCAGTCCAAAAACCCTCAAAGGGTTTGTTGATTTCTGACAACAGTCATGTGAACTTAGAGCTGATCCCTCCCCAGTTAAGCCTTCAGATGAGACGCCAACTCTGACCAACACCTTGATTTCAGTCTTGAGAGACTCTGAAGCATAGGACCCTGCTGAGCCATACCTGGATTCCTGACCCATGGAAAGGATAATGTACGTTGTTTTATACTACTAAGTTTTTAGTTAATTCATTATACAGCAATACATGATAATAATACAAGGGGAGATACAAATGTAAAGAGAAGTAAAAACCCTGTAGTTCTGAATTAGAAAGAAAAACAAACAGGCATACACAGATATATGTCTCCTAGGTCTTTCTATTGAAAAGGCTTGGAAACAATAACCAGCCAAACAATGAGCCTTTGCTAGCATCGAATGTGTCATCTTGAAATTCCATATCCCCAAAAAGAAATCAGGATTCCTGGGAGACATGACTGAATCCAGATCAGAGGCAAGAAATGTATGGCATGAGCCTGAAACATCTTGTCATACCATAAAGCAAGGGTCTTGAGTCAGAAGTACTCAGGTGCCAAGTTGAAGACCTTCCCACTTGAAGATGGGAAAATTTGAGGACCAGTAAAGATAATGACAGCAATGAGTTGAAACACTTCAAGTATGTTTATATCCATGAGTTTGTAATTATTCTTAAAAAAAAGAAAATGGTCACCATTGGAGAATGCTAGGGAGCCATGTATTTTGAAAACAGGTAAATAAAGGGAAACAAGTATTTATCCTGCCTTTTCCATAGGAACTGTACCACTTGGTAACCACATAGATGATAAGGAAAAGTTTTTTGTAATGTATTAAAAGTTTGTTACAGAAACATTACATATACAGCAGGGTGCCTCTGCTGCCTACAAGCTGTGTGACCTTGGGTGAGTGACTTAACCTCCTTGTGCCTCAGTTTCCCCCTCTTTAAAATGGAGTTGACTACACATTTAGATTATATATGGGGATTAAATGAATTAATACATGTCAAGCAACTAGAACAGTGCCAGGCATATGGTGTTTCAGAAGTGTCTATTATCATTATTATATTTATTCTTAAAATGCTGGCATTTATCCAACCACAGTTCTTGGCACCCCTTGCACCATGCACCCCCAGTCACTCCTGGGCTTTAGCCTGGAGCCCAGTGCACATCCCCACCCTGCATCACCCCACTCACCCTGGGACTCACCCTGGGACTCACCCTGAGCTGAGCCGATCTTTAACAGAGACTTTTCCAAAGCCTTTGGGGACCTTGAAAAGGCTTTGGAAAAGCCTGGGCAAGCCCTGCACCACTGACCCACCTTCTGCTGCCTCCTTAGGTGGTTTGGAGAATATTTCATGTCATTAACTTCCTCACTTTGGGCCCATCTAGGGCAAAGAGGCAAGTAGGAGACTCTTTTCCTTACTCCTCAAACATCCTGGGACCGTCTGTTTAGTTCTTCTTTTCCAGTTCTTAACCACTCTGGATCCCACCCCACCCCTGTACACCACTTGCCCCACAGATGGATTTACAGGCTTTACCTGTATTGCTTTACCTCCTGAGAGCTCTCTCCTCACCCACCTAACCTTCATGTCTTTCCACAAGAGCACAGAGAGGTGAAGTAACTTGTGCAGAAGTCGCACAGCTAGGTAGTAACAAACTACAGCTACGCTATGCTACCAAGCAGCAAACTTAAATATGTCTTCACTTTCCCAGCCCTTCCTTCCCAGGATGCTGCACTTTCCCAATCACTCCCCAGCCTCTTGTACCTCATCTGCATTAATGCAGCTGACCTACCAGAATTCTACTCATTTCTTCCTCTTGTATACCAACAGGTTATCTCCCGCATCCCCTCCCTCCAGTGCTTTCAGGGTGCAGCTACTCATTCAAAATAATTACTCAATACCTAATAGGAAAGAACACTAGATGGGAATCAGTCAGTCTTGAATGCAGACCTTTGCCGCCTCACAGGCATGTGACATTGAGCAATCACTTTTATTTCACTGTGCTCAGTTTACACAATAAACACGTATGGCAAACACCTGTGCCTTCCTCTTCTAGGATGATTGTGAGGATCACTTGACAACCTCAGTGGGAAAACAATTTTTATTCCATGACTTAGCCTTTGCACTGGCTGATCTCTCTTCCTGGAACATCCTCCTTCTAGATAGCATCAAGCTGTCTCCCTCTTTGCTTCCGCATCTTAGCTCAAATGTCTCCTCCTCAATGAAGCATCCCTGACCCCCATCCCCCGCCCTATATAAGGAAATCTTACTCCTCATGCTGCTCCACTTTCTTCTGTTTCAAAAGCACTTCATCACCTTCTAATATACTACATAGTTATTATGATTATTGTCTATTATTTTTCTCTGCTGCTAGAATGTAAACTTTATGAGGGCAGGAAACTTTGTCTGATCTACTGATGCATCCCAAGTTCCTACAATGGTACCCACTGGCCTAACAAGTGCCCCGTGGATGTTTGCTGATTGACAGAGTGCCCCCATCCACAGTCTGAGCCTTCCTTCTTCTCTAGGTCTCTTGATGTTCCTCTAATAACAGGGGCACTGAAAATCCTTCTTGTTACTGTCAATGAGGCCAAATGCAGGAAGTAGTGGCATCAACTACTACAACACTTTGGACCAGATCAATGAAACAGAATTAGGAAAAAAAAAAAAAAAACCAGAAACATTCCCAAATTCTCCCTTCAATTTTCTCTTTACTACAGGCATGCCCATTCGGGCCCTTTTTTACGTCCCTATCTCTCCCCTCCTCCTCTCTTACTCATTTGGGATGTATCTCATGCCCTTAATGTTCCTCCTTCACCCTTATGTCTTCTATTTTGTGGCTTTTTCCTCTGTCAGCTTTACTTTGCTTTTCTGAATAGGTGAGAGAGAAAGGGACTATCTGAGCACTGGGGTTGGAGTCACAGAAGGACCACGCAAGGCTTCAGTGTTGAAGGTAAGTGTGGCATGCCATAGCACCATAGATAAGGAAACCTCAGCTGGGACCTTGTTCCTGTGGCCCAAGCAGTTTGGAGAGCCCAAGAGAGGACTGGGGGTGTGGACTGGCAGGTCTGCAAGGTGCTGGTAAACATGCAACAAACAGCCCCTTTCCCTTCACCCTGTGAGCTCATGCAAGAGGAGCAGAAGCTCTGTAGAAGTAGCTTTTTCCTAAAGTAAACATTTATGGGTCCTGTTTAGACTGCCTGGGTAAACATTTAGCTCTATTTGCCTATTCCAGAGCAAAGGACACTGCCTTGCTCTACAAACTCACCTCAACCCACCTGCCCATTGCACTTCACAGGCATCTCAGTCCTCTTAGGGTGGGACAGGCAGTGGGTCAGTGAGGGGAGCACAGGTTTAGGGACTACCTACTGATGTAGAGGTTGCAAGTGGAAGGATGGAAAGGAAGCTATTATGTGCTTGGTGCCTGTAGCATATTAAAAGGACCATACTAATCCTCAGGGTAGTCTGGGACCTTGATACTCAAAGTGCACTCCATGAACCAGCAGCATCTGAGGCACCTAGGAGTGCATTGCTCATTTAAAATGGAGATTCCTGGGCCCCCTTCTGACCTTTTGAAGTAGGAATCTGCATTTTAACAAGATCTCAAGTGATTTGTAGGTATTATAAAATTTCACAAACACTATTCCAGAAAATCTGAATTCAGCTAATTGCTAATGTTCTATTGACAAATAAAATAGTAAGTGACTTTTAAAGAATTGTTTATGGTTCCTAAGCCATGAGGAAAAAAATAACACACACACATATGTATGTATTCTTTAACGCTTTAAAAATAAACTTCAAAGCCAAAGGTTTAGGGCAGAACAGTTTTAAGCTGAACTTTTATTTCCTCTCTTTTGAAATATTCTGATTCAGGTTTTGACTGTGGAGAAAAGAGTAACAAGAATGTCAGCAGAGGCATTTCGTATCCTAATTTTAACATGATACTTAAAATTCTACCTACATTTGTTAAATGCTATTATTTCGTATGTAAATCATAATGCATATTTATTGAGAGCTACATTTTAAGTACAAGTTTGTATTTATTTAATCTTATGTACCCTATGAGGAAGGTATTGGTATCATCCTCTGTTTTACAGGTGGGGAGACTATAGCATAGCAGCATTTAGATAACTTGCCTAAAGTCCCACAGCTCACAAATGGGGAGGAAAGATTTGAACTTGGTGCCAGAGCATATGTTTAACCCTGGCAATAAGTGTCTAAGCATGCTGGTCTCCCCAGTAAGCAGCAAGCTGCCCAAGATATCAGACTTCTTTTCTTTATAAAACTACTTAAATGATGCTGCTTGCAATGGCACTCAAAGTTGCTGACCAACCCCCAAAAGAAGAATAATGCTGACATAAAAGGCTATGAATTAAAGAGGTACCTTGTGAAGAACAGAGATTTTAAAGTATCATCTTACTTATTATTTGTAACAAAAATGGAAAACTTACAGTAATGACCTGCATTGAGAATTTGATATGAATCATCAACATAGTTATGTTGATATGTATATACTATGTTGATGATTCATGTCAAACTCATATTAACTCATGATATCAACATATATATTGATTCGTATCAAAAACATGAGTTAGATATGAAATGAGACATAGATTTCTAAACCATTAAAACTACAGGTTTCATACTATGGATAATGCTGCATAATTATAGAAGCTATCTATCACATTCCTAGGGGAGACCATAGCAATGATTTCCTGTGGGAATGTGGACGATTCTTATTCCCCAAAACCTTACATTTGTTTAAAATGTCACTCTTACAGAAAAAGATGCACCTCTGAATATCCTTTGATCTTAGCAAATCTTTTTTTTAAAAGTATACATAGATACTGGTCTTTTAGAATTGTTCAATATGCAGTATTGCTCAAAAACAGCCCCTCCATAACAATTTATTTCCAGATAAGATTTGGTGCCTTTAAAGGAAATCATAAGAAATGGACCAAAGGCTAGGGAATAAGAAGGCCACCCAGCAACCCCCTACAATCACAGTCATCCACACAGGAGACACCAACACCTGGTTTGTAGACAAGTGGTTCAATGCAATACAAAATAAATTTTATAAGAACAGAATAAGCCACTTGAAAATCTTACTTTCCAAGACGGCCCCATTTAGGGGTCTGAGGGTCCACAGAATTAGTCCAGTTCTGCTGGAACAGTATGGATTCTAAAATGCCTAATAAGGTTGCAATGATGACTGAAGGCTTTCCCAAACTCATCACCCTTATGGTCTCTCTCCAGTGTGGATTTTCTGATGTTTCTTAAGAAGTGTCCGCTTACTAAAGAGTTTACTGCACTGACTGCACTGATAGGGTTTCTCACCAGTGTGGACTCGGAGATGCTGGAAAAGCCCTGCATTCTGAATGAAGGCTTTGCCACACTCACGACACTGATAGCGCTTCTCTCCAGTGTGTATCCTCTGATGCTGAACAAGGCATGAGCTGAGGAGGAAAGCCTTCCCACACACTTTGCATTCATATGGTTTTTCCCCTGTGTGGATTCTTCTGTGTCGAGTGAGGCCATTGCTGGCACTGAAGGCTTTCCCACACTCCTTACATTGATAGGGTTTCTCTCCAGTGTGGCTCCGCCGATGTTCATTCAGGCTTGACCTCCGGCTGAAGGCCTTCCCACATTCTTCACATTCATATGGCTTCTCCCCAGTGTGGATTCTCTGGTGCTCAATGAGTACTGAACTCTTAGTGAAGCTTTTCCCACATTCATTGCACCTGTGGCGTCTCTCTCCAGTGGAATGTGCCTGCTGCTTTTCTGCCTTGCTGTCTCGTTTACAAGTTTCTCTGTACTTAGAATCCAAAGATACATCTCTTTGGAGTTTGCTATCCCCCAAATGTTCCATTTCTTTTAAGATTTCTTGCTTTGATGCCAACTCCTGGTTCTCAGGTATACTTTCACCATCTGGAATAATAAATGGACCAAACAATGTAATCTCTTTCCTTTATGAAAGAATACAATCATAGGATGGAAATAGAAAGATCGATATCAAACAGACATGTTCTAGGAATGAAGAACTGTCAGTTAAGGAGCAGGTTGGGTTAAACAGGGATGTTTAGGCTAGTAGAGTAAGGGGTCATCAGCACTGCTAAAATGGCTGGAGGGAGCACCCAGAGGCTCCCAGTGAGGATGTACATAAGCAGGCACTATATTATATTCATTACAAGGCAGGCACTGTTCTAAGTGTTTTACATATGTTAACTTTTTAAATCTCAAATGACTCTGTGACTGAAGTGCTATGATTATCCCCACTTCAAATATGCATAAACTGAAGGCACAGGGAGGTTACCTGACTTGTCCATTGTCACAGAACTATTAAATGCAGCGTTTAAATTCCAACCCAGGCAATTTAGCCCCAGAGTCCACAGTCTTAACTATCGCCCTATATAGACCCACCAGAGATCTCCTGAAGGGACCTGTCAAAATCCTTACCTTGTTCTTGAAATTGGTGGAGGCAAAAAGATTCATATCTGAGCTGTGTCACCATAGGCTGAAGCTGTATGTCTGTTGGTTCCTGCTTGACCTTCAGATGTTCCACATCCTCCAAGAGCACTTCAGAATGTCCATGTTCATGGTCTGGAGCCTGAAGGCAGGTAGGCATATTTGGTTAAAGAGGGGGATTATAGGAGTACAAGCTAATACTAAATGAAAGATATCACATGGAACTATATGAAACATTTTCTAGAGAGATGTCACAGTGGAAGGACCAGAGTTTAATTCATTACCCAAAAGCAAAACAGGGAAGAGTGGCCCAATCAAGTGTGGTGGTTTAAAATAAATCCACCAGGTAGAATCTAACTGCCCATCCCCAACCCCCTGAATGTGGGCTGTACTTGATAGCTCAACTCTACTGAATAGAAAGTGAGGCAGACGAGATGGTATATAACTTCTGAGTCGTAAAAAGTATCAGAGAATCTGTCCTGATATTCATGTAGGTTCTTTTCTATTTTCCTTAAGCGTCAGCCAGCTTGAGAAATAAAGGGACAGAGTACAAAAGAGAGAAATTTTAAAGCTGGGTGTCCAGGGAAGACATCACATGTCAGTAGGTTCCGTGATGCCCCACAAGCCACAAAAACCAGCAAGTTTTTATTAGGGATTTTCAAAAGGGGAGGAAGTGTGCGAATAGGTGTGGGACACAGACATCAAGTACTTTACAAGGTAATAGAATATCACAAGGCAAGTGGAGGCAGGGTGAGATCACAGGACCACAGGACCAAGGCGAAATTAAAATTGCTAATGAAGTTTCGGGCACCACTGTCATTGATAACATCTTATCAGGAGACAGGGTTTTTGAGATCAACCGGTCTGACCAAAATTTATTAGGCGGGAATTTCCTCTTCCTAATAAGCCTGGGAGTGCTATGGGAGACTGGGGTCTATTTCACCCCAGCAGTCTCAACCATAAGAGATGGCTACGCCCAGGGGGGCCAGTTCAGAGACCTACCCCCAGGCGCACATTCTCTTTCTCAGGGATGTTCCTTGCTGAGAAAAATAATTCAGTGATATTTCTCCTATTTGCTTTTGAAAGAAGAGAAATATGGCTCTGTTCCGCCCAGCTAACTGGCAGTCAGAATTTAAGGTTATCTCTCTTATTCCCTGAACAATTGCTGTTATCCTGTTCTTTTTTCAAGGTGCCCACATTTCATATTGCTCAAACACACACGCTGTACAATTTGTACAGTTAATGCAATTATTACAGGGTCCTGAGGCAATATACATCCTCCTCAGCTGACAGGATTAAGAGATTAAAGTAAAGACAGGCATAGGAAATCACAAGGGTATTGATTGGGGAAGTGATAAGTGTCCATGAAATCTTTACAATTTATGTTTAGAGACTGCAGTAAAGACAGGCATAAGAAATTACAAAAGTATTAATTTGGGGAACTAATAAATGTCCATGAAATCTTCACAATCTACATTCTTCTGCTATGGCTTCAGCTGGTCCCTCCATTTGGGGTCCCTGACTTCCCGCAACAAAAAAGCACTGTGGCTTTTTCCTTTCTCTCTCTTTCTCTCCTTCTCCTCTCTGGAGGAAGCCACCTGACATGTTGTGAGGGCACTCAAGCAGCCCCATGAAGAGTACCAACATGGTAAAGAACTAAGACCTCCTGCCAACAGCCAGTGAGTAGCTGAGGCCCCCTACCAACAATTGTACCAGTAAACCATCTTGGAAGTGGATCCGCCCACCTGAGTCTTGTCATCAGATGACCATAGTCTTGGCCATTAAGGTTTAGGGGTAATTTGTTACACAACAGAGAACTAATACATATAGCTATAGCCAACCAACCTGTGTCACCAAACCCCACCTTTCATTTAGTATTTAATGTCTAGAAGTCCATCTTTCTCCTCTCACCTGGTTCCCTGGCTCACTAAGCTCTTGTTCCAGATCTTCAACTACAGCCACAGCCTCCTCCCCACTCTCCGGATGGTGCTCCCGCACCCAGGCCTGGAGCTCCTCAGGCAGGATAGTCAGGAATTGCTCCAGCACCAGCAGCTCCAAGATTTGCTCTTTGGTGTGGATTTCTGGCCTTAGCCACTGATGACAGAGTTCTCGGAGCCGGCTCAGAGCTTCTCGGGGACCAGGAGTCTCTTGGTAACAAAACTGCCTAAAAAGTTGTCGGGAGGCTTCTTGGCCAGAAAAGTTGTTCCCTCGAAGGTGGGTTTCTTGGTCCCAGATAGGGTCTTCCTCCACTTTCACAATCTTAAGATCGTACTGTTCCTCTGTTGAAGCCATTCCTGGGGTTAATTTGGAAGGCTTACTCTGGCTTTAAGTAAAGGGATAACTGTGATTTAAAATTTTCTGATTTAATCTTCCTTAGGAGAAGACACCTGATGATAGAGCATTATATATTAATGGAAATAAATCATAAAGTAGTGGGGAAAAAAGCAAAGTATGGAAACATGAATGGTATTCTATCATTTATGTTAATAAAATGTATATATAGTTACTGACTTACATATGTTTAGCAACTGGGAAAAGGCTATGGCAGAGTATGTTAATGGCCTCAATTCTTCCCCCTTCCCTATAGCCATGTATTAATATTTTGCAGTGCCCTTCCATTGTGACACTGGATTCAACAATATGACTTGATTTTGCCAATGATATTAGCAAATGTGATGCATGGAGAGGTTTGAACAGTACTTATGTGACTGGGTTTGCTTACTTTTGCCCTCTGAAACTGCCAGAAGAAGGATATCTTTCAGATGATAAGAGACATGCAGGACAGAGCCAGATCACCCCAGTGGAGCAGATGAGACCATCCTAGATTAGCTGACAGCCAGCTAACTGCCAGACATGTGAGCAGGCCTAGCCTGAGGTCTGCAGAGCTGTTGAATGCAGATGTATAAATAGGGCCTGCCCACCCCAAGTAAGCTGTGCCCCATATACTTATGTGCTAAACATAAGTTTATCACTATATGCCACCAACGTTTTGTGGCTATTTATTATACCACATTATTATGGCAATAGATAACTGATATAGAAGGGTGAACCTCTGGGAAGCAGAATTAGGTAACTGTGGAATTACAAAAGCAAGAGATATTTACTTTTTGAGCACAGACATGATGCTAAAAGGAAATGCTCATTGGAGCATTTCATATTTCAGATTTTCAGATTAGGGATGTTCAACTGTTAAGTATAATGCAAATATTCCAAAATCCAGAAAAATCTGAAATCCAAAACACTCTGGTCCCAAGCATTTTGGATAAGGGATATTCAGTCTGTAGAAGTGATTTAAAAGCCTGGGCAATATGTGTATATGGTAGCTCTAGGAGGAGAACAGGATATATAAAACCAGCTATAATATCAGATGATGAATGCTATAATAGAGGCCTCACCAGAATATTCAGGGAGTAAAGAATAGAAAAAAGAATTTCTGACAGGGTATGGAATATTGAAAGAATGTGACTTAGGGGAAAGTACACTTGAATTAGACTAAAATCATGAAAAGGAATTTATCAGGCAGAGAAAGGAAGGTATCCGGCATCATAAATCAAGCAAACAACATGAGGAAAGGTATTTAAGAGCACACACAATGGCGATAAAGACAGGCAAAGCTGAACTATAGAATATGGGTTGTGGGTAAAATTGTGAGAGGAGATGAGGTTAGAAAGATGCATTATATGGGATAGAAAATGGCCTTCAACTCTAGGCTTAGACGTTAGACTTGACTTTATGGAAAACTGAGAGGCATCAAGGCTTTTATTTCATTGTTATGGTGTTAGATCTGTATTTATAGAAAATATTAAGATTCAGGATGGAAATGGTAAGAATATGTTGCAAGGTTGTGGCCATTTAAGTTGGGAAGTTTAATGGTAGTTAAACTGATACAATGTTGACTTTAGTGGTGTAATTTAAGTTTTATATGATTTTTGCCCAATGCTAATTGAATTATTAAGGTCTGAGATCACTTGGAAGTTTTTCAGTTACACTTTATTGGGTGAAAATGCATTTATTCAATTCATTCCAATATTATGTGTCTACTAGGTGTCTGGAATAAAGGAACGGTCCCTAACTTTATGGTATTTACCATGGGAAAGACAGACCTTAATAAAATATTCACATAAAATGATGTTACAGAATTGAGAATTTGAAGAGTTACAAAGATCATGGCATTTATTCTTTGTCAATGTCTAATGCCAAATGTATATCTTTTTACTCCTTACTGTAGCATCTGGTAATTTGGTTTGTTGAGTCTTCAGTGCAGAAGACTGAAAGTCTGAAAATTTCTAATTATGAATTTGTATTGGATTCCATTATTATTAAACATGTAGCTTCTCATGGCCTTAGGTTTATAGGCAAAAATTGTTCTGCAAATATGCGTTCTGCACTTTAATGCTATTGAGAAACCATGGAGATACAGTTGGCTTTTTTTGTTTTTTGTTTTCTTGATCACTACAGGCAATCTCTCACATACCCAAAGCCACAGGTGGAGTATTTCTCCATCAATTGTATTCTTCTCCCCATAATTGGTGCTTAGGATTTACCTCCTGGTCTTATGCCACCATGAACTGTCTTTATCCTTAATGCATAGCACAGTGCCTGGCCCACTGTCAGTGCTCCATAAATGTTTTCTGGGCAAATAAATATATTCTCCCCTCCTATATCCCCTTTCACTTCATCAAGCCATGGTAAGGACAGGGAAAGGAACACAGAAGGGAAAATACACTCTTTCTTCTTGTCCCCCAAACCACCCCTGTTCCCAGGATGTATATGCATTACCCTGTGTTCCCAGCCAGTCCTCCCATCTCTTCCTATCTCCTCTCCCAAACTGCTACAGATTACAGACACTTCTTATTTTTAAAATGCCTAGAAGACTTAGAAGTCTGGACTTACCACAAAATTATGAACGCATCTTCAATGTTTTGTTTACCTGATTTATTCGATTAAATGCAAATTTGGTGTCATCTGATATCCTAGCAGGGAACAAATACTTGATAGACATCTGACAAATTAAATGGAATAAACTATTTAAAATGATCTTTACTGAAGCACTGCAGTACAGTGAATAACGTTCAAATCCTGTGGCCTCTCTAAGTGTTAATGACCATAGTACTCCTCTTATAGGTGTTATGATTATACAAGGTAACGCATATAAAAAGCTTAGCGCAGTACCTGGCCCATAGCAATCATTACATAAATATCAATGAGCAGGTATTATTAGTAAAGTAGTATTAGTAAATTGAATATCTTCATTTCATAGAGGAAATAGACCCAACAAAATAAAATATTGACTTCATATGTTAATAGTCAGTAGACAGTTGAAAATACTAGAAGAAATATTCAAGAAAATCCAGGACAGACTGTGACCAGTGGTGACCTCCCATTTGTGTACTGAAGCCCATCTCTAGATACCACCAGGGGTGTCCCCCTGAACATCCCAACAACAGCTCAAAAGCAACATTAAAGATTGGATTTAGATTTCCAGGGTGATATGAAACAGGCCAATTTATGATTAATTACCAAATTGACTCCAAACATTTGGCATTGGGAGATGATATATAAAAGGGGATAAAGAGAAAGACATGGCCAGCTACAAATACAAGACAAAAATCTCAGTGGACCAGAAACACAAACACAGAGTAGTTAGTGGAGTTGATGACTTGACTGCAGAAACAGTCAAAGACATCCTAGAATTCAACTCCTGGGGGATTAAATGTGGTGTGTCTCAGGTTGTAGGGAACCAGGCTCACTGTTTCATTCCAGGACCTGCAGTGGACTTCCACACTCATGAAAGGGAGACAGAAAAATAAAAGGTAGTTGACTGCTGACTCAGCTTATGACTTTATCAGCAACTAAGGCCCAGGAGGCAAGGGACAAGGAGAGACTCATTACTAGTAACTAACCTATTTATTTGCTCATTTAGTCAATAAATGTTCATTGAGCACTCATAACATACCAGGTACTTGGCTGGGCATTAGGGCTACAATGGTGAAAAAGACGGGACCAGGCCCTGTTTTGCTGGAGCAAACATTTTAACGGGGAAGACAAACCAAAAATAAAAGCAACAACAAAAATAAGTAAGGAGGCAAATAAAATAATTATGAGTTGTGATGATTACTGAGGATAATAAACTAGGCACTGAGTTACCAAATAAATGGACAGCCTATTTAGATGGGGTAGTGGGAAGTGAGGTAACATTTAAGCCAAGCCCTTAAGTGCAAAAGAAGTGAGCCATACAGAATAGGGATGAGGGAGGGGAAGAGCACTCTGGACTATCCAAAGGCCCTGAGGAAGTGCATGCTGCCATCAAAGACAGGAAAGGAGGCTGGAGTGTCTACAGTCATGTGGGAGAAGAGTGGCAAAATATTAGGCTGGCAAGCCAAGCAGGAGTCAGATCATGTAGGGCATAGGAGTTAGGATTTTATAAATGCAATGAGAAACCACTGAAGGCTTTAAGAAAGGGAGTGACAAGGCTGAATTCTGTACCGAGAAGCTCTGCTACTGGATGGAGAATGAGCTGAGGGAATGAGGGTAGAGGCAAAAGTGGAAGCAGAAAGCAAGAGTAGAAGCAGAAGAGGCAAGAGTTAAAAAAAAGGGTAAAGTGGAGGGGGTGAAGACTATTGCACTGAATCTAGAAAGACTTCCACTTAGTTTAGATGTTACTGTACAAGTGAAAGGAGAAAGAGCTTAACCTTTGTAAAAGCAGTTCAGTCACTGGACAATCAATTTATGGAGCTGAGCTAAGAGCTTGGAATATAGAGGTGTTTATAGCTCATGAGGATATAGTTACAATACAATAAAATAAAAGCCATAATTTAAAAAATGTATACAAGGTATACCCCTGGAGGAAGTGGAAGAGCTCATCCTAAATACAAGATTAAGTTTTTATGCATTGCCTGTAATCCACAAAGGAATTCATTTCACATATATTTACTAAGTGTTTACGAGGTGTCAGACAGCAAAGAGTGAAACAATGCAGAATTTGATGTGTCCCCACTGTCCTTCACCGAAATAAAAACATGGCAGAAAGAGCATAAAAGAGAATGTTTTCATTCATGAGAATGTTTTCATTCACGTCAGCATAATTAACAACAGCAACAAAGAGATCATGTAAATCACAAATCATGTGTGTTGTAAAATAAATCCCAAAGGATACCAATTACGATGACAAGAAAACAGAAGAAGACCTTAAATACCATGAGGAAACAGTCAAATCCAGAAATGGGGATGCACTACAGGAAGACTGGAAGAGCCTCCTTTTAAACAAGGCAATGGGATGGGAGGAAGGGAGGCAAAGAGTAAAATTGCCCTAGGTTAAGACTCAACTACATGCAGTGAGTGGTCTATGATTGGATCCTAGTTGGTACAAACAGGTATAAAAGACATCTGTGGGACAACAGGGGGTGGAAGGATTTAAACATGAACTAGGTGTTAGGTGAAGCGCCTACACTTAGTTGGGTGTGCTAATAATCTTGTGGTTATGTAGGGAAATGTCCCCAATTTTTAGAGATGCATTAGAAACTAGAGGTGACAAGTTATGAGGTTGGTGGTTTTTACAATATTTAAAGAAAACATATGCGACAAACATTGCATAATGTTGACTTATTAAATAAAAATTACGTGTATATAGGAAATAAGGCTTTTGACAGGGAGAGACCCTTCTCTACCTCTGGACCTCGGTTTCGCCGCAAAGCTCCGACCTCTCTAGGGGTCTCTCCCACCACCCTGTGAAAGGGCTACCTAGCTTGCCTTAGGTGGATAGCAAGGGAAGGGTCCCTGGAGAGCCTGCCCCCGCCCATGATTTAGTGTCTTATCCCCACATAACATAAAACTAAGCCTGGGGAAAAAATCAGGTTGCAGGCACCGATAAGGGAACTAGCACAGGGTGTTGTGCCTAGAGATATGCCCACGGCTGCATAGATAGAAAAACCTCGGGCCCATTTGGATAAAAACTTGCACAGAACCTCCAGCTCACTCAGATAAGGGAACAAGGCCTGACACATAATGCCTTTGTCCTTTGTATAGTCAGCAGGTTCCCAGGAAAAGTTTCTTCTCCTTTTGTGGGTATGGACACGGTGGGTTCTGGTAGGTTCCGGCAGGCGCTCTACTTTCCTTTATTAGGACTATAAGCCCAGCTTCTGTGAATCATCACCTCAGCCCCTGATTGGTCCGGGGCCAAACTTTCACTTCGGCTTCTGATAGGTCCTGGGCCAAGCTAAGCAGCAGCTATGAATCATCATTTCAGCTCCTGATTGGTCCCGGACCAAGCTGAGTCAAGCGTTCGCCAGGACAGCCCGCAGACTAAGCGCATTCCCTCTCCTTTCCAGTCCATAAAAACCCCAGAACGGGCCCCATAATGGGTACTCCCGGTCGGGACCCCTTCTCTGCTGGCAGAGAGCTTTTTCCTTTCGCTTATTAAACTTTCGCTCTAACCTCACCTTTGTGTCTGCGCTCCTTTATCGTCTTGGAGGCAGGACAAAGAACTCCGGGCGTTATCTCAGACAAAGAAAGGCTGTTTAATCTTCAGGATAAGGGGCGGGACCTCCACCTACTCCACGGGGGCTTCAGGCCAGTGAATGTGTAGGGGCGGGGGTCACGCCTGCGCAGACGTTCCCTCCCCGCCTACTCCAAGGCACAGACCTGAAATCTTCTGGGAACCTGGCGGGTCGCGACAAGGGGCCAAGACTCACCTTCGGGGCACCGGCAAGCTACGGAACAGGTGGCGGGGCTGCAGCACCCCAATGACCGATCAACCGCAAAGGCCGGAAATGCGTCAGCCGTTCTGAGCCCACTGGCTGAAGCCAGGCAACTCTTTCCTTTCTAGGAATTCCAGAGGTGGCTGCTGCTTGGTGACTCCCTTATTGCAAACCCCGGGGCCAAAAATCCCAGTCCCACTGGGTGCGAGGCGGAGAAATCCGGCGAGGCATTTCTATGGGGAGCGGCCCCCAGCATTTAGGAGTTAGATGGTCATCGAGACCCAAAACATTAGAGCCGGAAGGTGTTAGGAAGATATAAACGTAGAGAGCGAGTAACAGGAGGCAATTCCACGGCCAAACAGGTTTATTTACAGGAAAAGCCTGCGAAGAGTTCCAGTTAGGAATCTGGCTGAGATCCTGATCGCTTACAAGCTGAGGCTTTTATAATAAAGTTTCTGTTGGGGAGGGGTTGGGGAAGTGCTGGCTAGTTGGAACTGTTTGGACACTTTCCAACTGGGGACAGATGTGGTTAGGGCCGTTAGGCTCTGTTGCGGTTAGAGCTGTTATGCTCTGTTGAAGCTATGGACGGGGTTGACATTTGCTTTGTTTCTTGAGAACACAGTCATCAAGGTTGTAAAATGGCATCACTATTGTTAGTCCTCACAGAAGGGACTTCATACTTTTTCTGTCTCTAATACTTACCTATTCTTCCCCGAGTCTGTCCACTTCCTCTGGTCTCTTTGACATCACAAAGGAGAGATGGTAATGGTGGGGACGAGAATACAGAGTTGTTTTTGTTGTGGTTTTGTTATTTTGTGTTTTACACTCAAACCTCTGTCTTCTGGAATCCCAAAGTCTAGAAGAAGAGCGTGTAAACAAGTAACTGCGTAAAACAGACGTGCATGTGAAATGAAGTAAAATAAAATAAGTGCTTGTAAATCGATGAGAATAGCCTCTGGAACATGCTAAGTACGTATGTAGGAAATAAATGTATGTATTAGTTTGAATTCGTGGCGTGGAAGAGAGAGGAAAACTAATGGGGCAAAACAAGACTCAGCAGGAATCTGCCAGTGTACACTGGAAAAGGAGCAAAGGAAATAAATTTCTGGGAGAGGGAATCAAATGTACAAAAGCAGAACTGGGGTGAAATCCTTTGGTACATCCAAAGAACTGGGCTGATCAGCATGACTGGAGAGTGGTATATGTGGCAGGGGCACCAGCTCTTACTTTTTTTGGATCCCTAACCAAGGAATTTGAGCAGTCTGATCAAATTTACATCTAGAAATGTTATCTTGGCAGCCATGTGGGGATGGACTGTAAGGAAATGAGACTACAGGCAGGGAGACCAGCTAGGAGACTACTACAAGAATCCAGGGTAGAGAGAGTGAGGGCCTGAATCAAGGCAGTAGCAATAGAAATAGAGAAGACAGATAATACATGTTAAGAGGTTGAATTGATTTTTTACAACTCATTCATTAATTATATAGATTCCCATTGAATGCGATCTTTGTGCCAAGGGCTTGCTGGATATAATAATAATGAAGGACACAAGGTCCTCATCCTCATGGGGTTTATAATGTAACAAGGAATACAGACAGAAAGAGACCCAGCTTATACAATTCAAGAGACCTTATTTGAGAAAAGGAATACAAAATTACAAGTACAAACATAGATATGAAAATGGAGACTTAAGTCAGGTGTAATAGCTCACGCCTGTAATCCCAACACTTTGAGAGGCCGAGATGGGAGGATCTCTTGAGTCCAGGAGTTCAAGACAAGCCTGGGCGACATAGTGAGACTCTGTCTCTGCAAAAAATAAAAAATATTATCCAGGCACAGTTACTCATGCTATTAGTCTCAGCTACTGGGGAGGCTGAGCAGGGATAATCACCAGCTGCAGTAGCCATGATCGTGCCACTGCACTCTAGCTTGAGTGACAGACTGAGACCCTGTCTCCAAAATTAAATAAATAAATAAATAAAGAAGGAAAAAGAAAAAAAACAAAAATGGAGATTTAGAATGGAAAATAGGCCAGGCGTGGTGGTTCACGCCTATAATCCTAGCACATTGGGAGGCTGAGGCAGGCAGATTGCATGAGCTCAGGAGTTCAAGACCAGCCTGGGCAACGTGGTGAAACCCCATCTCTACCCAAAATACAAAAATTAGCCAGGCATTGTGGCACATGCCTGTGGGTCTGAGGTGGGAGGATTGCTTGAGCCTGGAAGGTGGGGTTTTCAGTGAGCTGAGATTGTGCCACTGCACTCCAGCGTGGCTGACAGAGTGAGATCCCATCTCGAAAAATAAATAAATAAATATAGAATGGAAAATACATTCTTTACATCACATTACAATTTTTTTTGTAATTGTAATGATAATTACAATTACAAAACGAGACAGAACAGGGTCTCGTTCTGTCAACTAAGCTGGGGTGGAGTGGTGTGATCACTGCAACCTTAAACTCCTGTGCTCAAGCAATCCTCTTGCTTCTGCCTCCCAAAATGCTGGGATTAAAGGTGTGAGCTGCTGCCACCACATCCAGCTATACTACAAATTTTAAAGTCTTCCAAATATCACAAACAAAAATCAGAAAAATAACAAAATATTTTTATTATTTAACTGCCTGACTCCTCTATAGTAACTCTCCCCTAATTTGTTGGCTTTATGTTCTTGGACTGCTTCTTTGTATGTTAATTTCATAATTTAAATTTTTCTAGAAAGAATAAAAAGTTAATGTAGCCATTCCTCTAGCATGGTTGATCAAAAGCTTTTTAAAATTGTTGACATTTGAGTAAACTTCTATCAAGTTTCTTTCAATTATGAGCTACAAGATTTCAGGACATTCAAATTTTTTTATGTGGGGACTAATCTGAGAATCTCTGTGTTGATGACACATTAACTAGTTGGTCTTAGATGTCCTCATTGTCAATGGCATATTATGATGTCTTTGTCAATATCAGTATTTTATGTAAAATGTGCAAGAAATTTAAATCTCTTTTCAATGTGTTCAGTGATTCACTTTTCTTCACTAGAGAATTAATCCAAGAGCATATTTTTTTACTGTATTCAAAGTTTAGCTTTTTTTCTTAATGAGTTGCTGATTTTATATAATTTGACATTGTTTCTTTTGTTATAATTTGCTTCCTGATGTCAGAATAATTTCCATTGATTTTATTATCTTTATTTCTTTTGTTTCTCACATTCCATTAATTTTTTTTGGCAGGGGAGTGGGGAAGGAGTCATGCTCTATTTCCCAGGATGGAGTGCAGTGGCTCGATCTCAGCTCACTGCAACTTCTGCCTCCCAGGTTCAAGCGATTCTCATACCTCGAGTATCTGGGATTACAGGCATGTGCCACCACGCCTGGCAAATTTTGTATTTTTAGTAGAGACGGGGTTTCGCCGTGTTGGCCAGGCTGGTCTCAAACTCCTGACCTCAGGTGATCTGCCCACCTTGGCCTTCCAATGTGCTGGGATTACAGGCATGAGCCACCACGCCTAGCCTCCATTAATTTTTAAATTTAAATTTGCTCTCAGTTCTTTAATAAATTATTTAATTTTGTAATTTAGCATTTATTGCTTAAATCATGCCAAAATATCTTTTCAAATTGTAGTTAAAATGACTTATTTCTAAGATAGTGTCCCCTTACCAGATGCTAAAATTCTCTATTGTTATTTCAGTGCCACTCAACAAGAGAAAAATAAGAGATGGGGAGTCAGAAATGGAAACAAACAGTGGTTTAAACACCTGTTGCTAAAATATCCATTTTTTCCCCTCAAATTTTGCAGGCATATGAACCATGTAAACACATTGCTAGGTATCATTCCAGGCCAGGGCATTTGAAGAAACTGCAAGTGTAGAATCCATTTTTTCCCCTCAAATTTTACAAGCATATGAACCATGTAAACACATTGCTAGGTATCATTCCAGGCCAGGGCATTTGAAGAAACATGCAAATGTAGAATCACTTACACTTTATAGACTTAATCATAAACCCACTTCTGAATAAGTTAAGTGCTGCAGTGGAAATAGATAGGAATCTGATGACTGTTACAGTAATTACAATACCCATCTTTAATTTATCACAGCCTAATTGGAAATAATATTGTATCACTTCACATTTTAGTCTTAGTTGCATATTTAACAATTTACATTTCACATATAGACAGAAACTTATGACACTATTATTCCTTTGCTCTTGCCCATTGATATGGTTTTGCTGTGTCCCCACCCAAATGTCATCTTGAATTGTTCCCATAATCCCCACATGTGGTGGGAAGGGCCCAGTGGGAAATAATTGAATCATGGGGGCGGTTTTCTCCTTGCTATTCTCATGATACTAAGGTCTTATGAGATCTGAGGTTTTATAAGGGGTTTCCCCCTTCACTCTGTTCTCTTCTTCTCTCTCCTGCTGCCATGTGAAGAAGAACATGTTGCTTCTCCTTCTGCCATGATTGTAAGTTTCCTGAGGTCTCCCCAGCCATGCTGAACTGTGAGTCAATTAAACCTCCTCTCTTTATAAATTACCCAGTCTTGGGTATTTCTTTATAGCAGCATGACAACAGACTAAAACACCCATCTTTTGTAGTATTCTTATATATTTTACTTCTCTGTACATTATAACTGCCAGCTTAAAATGATATTATTTTTGCTTTAAATGATCACTTGTTTTTTAAGGAAATTAACTAAAAAGCAAGGCTTTTATATTCACATACATATTCACCATTCTGATGCTCTTAATTCCTTCTTGTAGATCTGAGTTTCCAGCTGTCACTTCCCTTCAGACTGAAGTTTTTTGTTTTTCTTTAGGGTTTGGTTTTGGTTTTGGTTTGGTTGGTTGGCTTGCAGTGCAGGTGCAAGTCTGCTGGAGAAGTATTTTTCAGCTATCATTTAATAGAAAATGTCTTTATTTCACTCTTATTTTTGAAGGACATTTCCACTGGATTTAAAATTCTGGGTTAGGAGTTACAAGAGAAAGATGGCAGAATAGGAAGTATTAGCCCTGTTCCCCTGCAGAAACGCTGATTAACAATTATATATGGATCAATATATCCTTATGAGAATTCCAGAATCAAGTTAAAAAGTTGCAGTACCCCAGGTGAGCTCAAATCCAAAACAGCTACATTGAAATTTCACTTTACACAATGTCTTAGTCTATTCAGGCTGCTGTAACAAAATACCTTAAACTGAGTAATTTATAAACAATAGAAATTCGTTGCTCACAGTCCTGAAGGCTGAGAAGTCCAAGGCCAAGGCAATAGCAGATTTGGCATAGAGTGAAAGCTTCTCTCTACTTTATAGATATGGTGCCTTCTATGTGTCCTCTTCTGGTGGATGGGGCAAACAGGCTCCCTCTAGCCTTTTCTTATAGGGCGCTAACCCCATTCATGAGGGCAGAACTCTCATTACCTAATCACTCCCAAGTCCTCACCTTTTAATGCCATCACCTTAGGGGCTAGGTTTAAACATAAGAATTTTGGGGGAACACAAACTTCAGACCATAGGACTCATGTCAGCCCTTCCCCCAAGTGGGCACAGCTCAGAGCTAGGAGAGAATGTCTTGGCTTATGACTTCTTCCTTGGGAGAAAGAAAAAATTGGAGCATGCATCCTCTGTTCTGGCTCTTTGGAGGGTGGCCCAAGGGACTGGTTTCTATCTTACCTCATTTGGAGAGCTGATGGAACTGTCATGGTTTGGATGCCTGGGGTCTGCTAAAAACAAAGAAAAGTTGGGGTAGCTTACAACCTGCATAAACAACCCTGAGAAATGGCGTGGGCAAAAGAATGGTCAGGGCTTTGCGTTGTTGGCATACACTGTAAGATGTGTAGGAACACAAAAGGCCCTAGAAGGAATGTTCTTCTAATTTTTTTTTTAGAATTTAGGTAGAAAACGTATTTATAATGACTTTGAAATAGTACAGTTGTTTTTGAGGACCACAGATGCATTGGAAGAAGGCAATGGAATTGGGTGATTATGAATGTAAGGCAAAGTGAAAAATTCAGAGACATCCCTGACACCATATAAAGAGTCTCCTTCAGCCAGAAGGGCAGCAAAGGCTGAGGATCAGGCCTGGGGCTCACCTGAATGTGTGGCAGAGCTCGAGAAAAGATGTCACATCCAGCAGGCCTGCTAAGCTAATGCCAGAGAGCTAATTGGAAAGGAATGGAACTCTGCGATTTAGGATAGGGATATCTAGGCCAAAGCACCAAAAAGTCTCGACTCCTCAGATTCTCCTGAACCCTGTGGACCTTCAAAAGTATCCCATTCCTCCCTAGTGTTCTCTACTTGCTTGAAGATGATGTGCCTGCTCAGGACACACCCCACCACCACACCTGGACACTACGTTAGTTCCTAGGGTTACATCACAGCAAAATCTGGCTAGATAAGTACTGGGTCTGCAAAGGGAGTAAAAACACTATCTACCAAAGTTGCAGTAGGACCTAGCCAACATGTAGTGTCAGAACCTAGGAACACACATATAGAATTGGATCCTAAGAGAGCTGGATCAACAGGAATCTGATATATAAAGTTGGATAAGAAAGAGTGTATCAAGATAGAGGCACTCTACTATGATTTAATATTCTGGCAAGGGCCCTGGGAGATGTTGCTTATATACAGATGGCTATTGTTTGATCCACAGTACTTTTTTAAAAATCAAGGGTAAGTGATAAGGCTGAGGGCAACTATCATAATAAAACATCTCAAGTCCTTCTGCAGTTTTTGGACTACAGCTAGTTCTCAGAACTGGCTGTGTCCCGAAGAGGAAAGACCATGTAGCACTAAACCAAATAGCATATGGAACATTTCTCCAACTCTTCTACAGAGAGACTGCAGTCAGGACATTTATTTAGTTAGATATATATTGGAGAAAGGGGGAATATCCAAAGCTTTTTAGGATGAACCTTTTACACAGTGTGAGTTGACATTGATACCTAGGTACCCAGAGTGTCATTGTGGCCCCCTGTTAGGATGTGGTCATATAGGGGCCAGATAAGAAATAAAGTTCTGGCCCAGATAAGGCTCATAGTGGGTCCACAGACACTCTCTGCCTGCATTGATCATTTCTCTCATTTCTGAATATAAAACTGGAATGAACATATTTGAGTTGGAGTAACCCCATATTGATCATTTGGGCTAGGGTTTATTATAGAATTATTGTACTGGAAAAAGCCAAGTGGTAGTTTCTGAAACTGCTACCCATTCCCCAGACAAAAGAGTACTCAGAAAAAAATTTTTTGCATCCCAATGGGAGTGGAAAGGTTAATATCAATCTTAAAGATGAAAAGAATGAAGGGTGGTAGACATGATCATCCCCCACCTTTTCTCACCAGCCCCCTACAAAGCCAGGCAGACTCTAAAGAATGACAGTTAACTACTGCAAACTCAACCAACTAGTAGCCCCAGTTGCAGCTACAATGCTATATGCTGCATATTTTCTTTTCTTTTTTTTTTTCTTTCTTTTTTTTTTTTTTTTTTTGAGATGGAGTCTCGCTCTGTCGCCCAGGCTGGAGTGCAGTCGCGGGATCTCGGCTCACTGCAAGCTCTGCCTCCCGGGTTCACGCCATTCTCCTGCTGGGACTACAGGCGCCCACCACCATGCCCGGCTAATATTTTGTATTTCGTTTAGTAGAAACGGGGTTTCACCGTGTTAGCCAGGATAGTCTTGATCTCCTGACCTCATGATCCGCCCGCCTTGGCCTCCCAAAGTGTTGGGATTACAGGTGTGAGCCACTGTGCCTGGCCTATATGCAGTATATTTTCTATAACAGATTAATATGACCTCAGGTATATAATGTGTAGTCATTGATTTGGTAAATGCATTCTTTTCCATCCCTCTTAGAAAGGAGGAACAAAAGCATGAAAAGATGGACAAAGGTTTCCATTTCTGGTTGTTTCCCAGGGGCTATGTTATCTCTCCTGCCCCTTATCATATTATAGTCAGAAGGGATCTGGACTAAAGATACAATTCTAAGGGTGTTATATTGGTTCACTCTACTGATAATGTATTATTCAGACCACATGAGCAAAATGTGATATGTTGGAGGCCTTGATAAGATACATTTTCTACAGAAGCAGGGAAATATATTCAATGAAGATGTAAGTGGAAAGGTAGGGCTGTCACACGGGTTTTTTGGCCTCCTTTTTCTAAGACATCAGCAGACAAGAAAAGGAGTCACTACCTTGGCAGGAGTTGATGGTTCCAATATATCTTCAATGATATATTCAATGAAGAATTATTATAGTTCTATCAGATCCACCAAGATATCAGATTGGATGGGTCCAGCAACAGTGCATCATAAGATGTGTGTGGTATGTTCAGCACTGGACATGTGCAGGACTAGAGGACAGATAAGCTTTCTGAGTGGGTGGCCCACATGTTCCTGTCATCCATCTCAACCACACTAGCACCTATCTTTGAGCTCATCCCTGTGACTATCTGAGTGTGTGATAGTTGTGATTGGTGGAGGTTCCTTATGACTAATTGACAAAGGAGGAAAAATACTGAGTTTGGATTATTTGGATTAAGTATCATGGTATGTTACTAAAGGCTGAAAATGGATGGTGGCTATCTTAGAACTCCTCTCAGATGTGATCCTGGCATTAGTAGTCAAGGGAATTCCACCCAGTGGGCAGAGTTTTGAATGGTACACCTAGTTAGGTGCACTTAGTTATCTTTGTGGCTACAGGTAAAAATATATATAGTACATTTAGGGTAATGATGAATGTCTTGCTGGTTTTTAGGGAACTAGAAGAAAAAAATTGGGCCAGACATGGTGGCTCACGCCTGTAATCCCAGCACTTTGGGATGCCAAGGCAGGTGGATCACTTGAGGTCGGGAACTCCAGATCAGTCTGGTCAACATGGCAAAACCCGTTCTCTACTAAAACTACAAAAAAAAAAAAAAGAAAAAATTAGCCGGCATGGTGGCATGTACCTGTAGTCCCAGCTACACAGGGGGCTGAGGCAAAAGAATTGCTTGAACCTAGGAGGCAGAGGTTGCAGTGAGCTGAGATTGCACCATTGCACTCCAACCCAGGCAACGCAGTGAAACTGTGTCTCAAAAAAAAAAAAAAAAGAAAAAGAAAAAGAAAAGAAAAGAAAAATGATTGGAAGATTGAAAACAAAGAGGTCTGGGAAAGAGTCATGTGGATGGACCTATAAGAGTGGGAAGAAAGTCCCTGTACACATTAAAACTCATTATAGAATATTCACCATGGAAAAGGCAATGAACAAATAAGCAGACAGAATGACCTTGCTGGTTTATATTAACCAGCCTCCATCATTAGCTACCCCAGTGCTGGCAGGATGGACTCATGGACAAGGTAAACATAGCAGCAGAGATGGAGGCTATCTATGCCTAACAGCATGGTCCCTCCCCGCTCAGTGGTGCCTGGCTACAACTGAATGTCCAACTTACTTGCAACAAAAATTAATATTGAGTATTGATATGATACAACATCATGAGGGGACCAATCCCATCAGTGGCAAGTGATTCATTTTGACTAGAATTAACACATATTCTAGGTGTGGGTTTGCCTTTTCTGGTCATAGGACTCAGCTAGTACTATTATCCAAGAACATACAGAATCATTGATCCACTGACATAGGATCTGGCATAACTTTACATGGGTTCAAAGGAGGTGTAGCAGTGAGCACATGACCATGGGATCCACTGGTTCTATCACACACTTAGCCACCAGGAACATGCTGGCCAGATAGAGCAATGGAACAACCTTTGAAAGCATAGCTAAAGTGCCAACTTACATATGATACCCTGAAACAATGGGGTGTCATCCTCCAGAGCAAAGTATAAACACCCTAAGACAATAATTATTATGTAGTGTTTGTTTCCTAGTATGCAACTATGCGTGCCTGGGAACAAAGGAGTAGAGGTAGAAGTAGCTCTGAATTCCCTCACTCCTAGAGACCCACATAGGGAAAGATGTGCTTTCTATGTACCCTCTTGATTCTAGGCTCCGTGAGTTCAAAAGTCTTTATTCCTAGAAGAACACTTTCACCATGACAAACAGGGAGTCCCTGTAAATGGAAAGGTAGGGCTGCCACACAGATTTTTTTGCCTCCTTTTTCTGACATCAGCACACAAGAAGAGGAGTCACCACCCTGGCAGAAGTTGATGGTTCCAATATCAAGAGAAGGTAAGGCTGCTGTTACACAGTGGGGACAGGGAAAAATGAAGTTTGTCACTCAAGTTATCCATTAGGTGTTCTCTTGCTTCTTGCTTCTCCTCAGTACAATCTTTTTTTTTTTTTTTTTTTTTTTTTAAACTGAGTCTCACTCTCTGTCTCCCAGGCTGGAGTGCAGTGTGCAATGGCGTGATCTCAGCTCACTACAACCTCTGCCTCCCAGGTTCAAGCGATTCTCATGTCTCAGCCTCCTGAGTAGCTGGGATTACAGGCACCCACTACCACACCTGCTAATTTTTGTAGTTTTAGTAGAGACGGGGTTTCACCATGTTGTCCAGGCTAGTCTTGAACTCCTGACCTCAAGTGATCCACCCATCTCAGCCTCTCAAAGTGCTGGGATTACAGGTGTGAGGCACGGCACTCAGCCTCCTTGGTACAGTCTTTATTATTAAATGGACAAGTGCAGCAGCCACAATTGAGAGGAACATAGTTACCAGAGTGTTTTGGTCACCTACAAGGTAAACTACCTAAATGAACAAAGATGATAGTAAAGGATGAGGGGAATCTAGAATGGATAGTAGAGGAGAGAGACAGTAAATATCCTTTATGACTTTAAGATATGCTACAACACTAGGAACTGTAAATCTTTCTACTAATCTATTCTTATAAATTTCCTCAGAAAGAAAGAATAATTCTGGAATAGTTATTTCCATTTCTTACTATACCAAACGAACAGGAGAGTAGGTAGCTGATGTCTCTTAATTGAGCCTGTCTCTGGGAATTTTCCTTGGTCAAAAAGTTGCCTCACAGAAGGTTACCTTCCTTCCACCTTATACCCCTTACATCAAGGCAAGGCAATTCTTAAGGACTGTCCCATCCCTTGAGCTCCTGAGAGGATCAGCTGGAGCCTCTCTTGTAACTGCACCACAGTTCAACTACTCTGCCTAGCCCTATTTCTTTAACTTCTTGTGTTATTCCTGAAAGCACAGCTCAGTAAAATTCTTGCTTAAAAATCCCAGAGTAACCTTATCTCTGATACCCTCTCTTGTTCACTCCACCTCAGCCAATCTGGCTCCCTTGCTGTTTCCTCTACCGGGAACACTTCCTTAGATATGCACAGGGCTAACCCCTTCATCTCCTTCAGATCTTGGCCAGAATGTCACTAGACTTACACCATCTTATTTGTATTGCAGTTAGCCCCCTCTCATGCCAGGACTTCTGATCTCTCTACCCTGATTTTCTTCTTTTTCTTCCTCTCCTTCCCCTTTTTAAAAATCGCAGTGCTTATCAACTTCCATTCCAGTTTATGTATTTATTTATTCTGCTTAATTCTTTTGTTTGTTTTTGTTTATTATTATTATTTTTTTGGCTCAGTCTCCCCTGGAACATTAGCTCTATGAGAACAGGGGTCTTTACCTTTTATTGCCCTTGTTATATCCTGAGCATCTAAAGCTATGTCTGGCCTAGACTAGTCAATTAACATTTTTGTTTATGTACAAGAGCTCCTACAGGGTAAGTACTTTGAAGCTGCTGGGCCAATGTGTGTATCATTTTCAGGTTTACCATATATTTCAACTTTACTATATATTTCAAAATTGCTTTTTTAGATGAGTGTACCAATTTATAGTCCCAGCAACTGTGTATGACAGTCTCAAAATTTTCACATTCTTATCAGCAAATGTTATTACTCAGGTGTTGGTATAAAATGATTTAAAATTTGCCTTTATTTAATTGCTAATGATTAACTGTATATGCTATGTTTATTGGTCATTCGAGATTCCTCTCTGGGAATTGCCTGTGCATATTTTTTGCCATTTTTTTTCTGTATGATTGTTGGCTTTTTTCTCTCTTATTCATTTGTAGATGTTTATTATATATTCAGTGGACTGATCCTTTGTTGACTATATGTGTTGCAAATATCTTCTCCCAACCTTTTAATTTAATTGTCTTTACCATTAGTTTCTAGTATCTTTTGATATAGTTTTAATTTTTAATGAGGTCAAATTTATTTATTGTTTTCCTTATAGTTTGTATGTTTATGCAGTTTAAAAGAAATCTTGTTTTACTTGAGCTCATAAAAAAATGATTCTATAGAAGCAAACTTGTGAATAGAAAAAAGAGCAATTATTCTAAATTTTCTTTTAAAAGTCTGAAAGTTAGCTGACTGGAATTGATTTTTTGTGCAACATATAAAGTAGAAACCCAATTTTATTTCATTTTTCCATTTAGATATCCAAATATTACAGTACTATTTGTCAAGTAGCTCCTTTATTCCTCACTGATTTGTAATGCAATTTCCACCATATATCAAGCATCCACACATACATGTTTGTTGCTCAGTCCTCAGTTCTGTTTCATTGGTCTATTTGTCTGTAGTTGTGCCAATACTATATTGTCTTAGCTGCTATAATTTTATAATAAATTATATAGGGCAAGTTTCTGCAGCTCCTTCATTTGTTTTAAAAATGTCTCGGATTCGTGACTCTTTCATTATTCCATATACATTTAAAATCAACTAGTCAAGTTCCACTGAGCACAATTGGAATCTTGATTTGCTTTGTACTGGATTTGTGTATCAATTTAGGAAGGAATGATATCTTTATGATATTGAGTTCTCATATATATAGGTGTATATACATGTCTCATATACAGGTGTATACACATGTCTTATATACATAGGTGTATATACATGTCTTATACATAGGTGTATATACATGTCTCATATACATAGGTGTATATACATGTCTCATATACATAGGTGTATATACATGTCTCATATACATAGGTGTATATACATGTCTCATATACATAGGTGTATATACATGTCTCATATACATAGGTGTATATACATGTCTCATATACATAGGTGTATATACATGTCTCATATACATAGGTGTATATATATGTCTCATATATAGGTGTATATATATGTCTCATATATATAGGTGTATATATATGTCTCATATATATAGGTGTATATATATGTCTCATATATATAGGTGTATATATATGTCTCATATATATAGGTATATATTTCAACTACTTATCCCTAATGAATAAAGTTACTAATGTTTCCATTCAGGTATCTTTTGTAAGTATTTGCTTCTGTGATAGATGTCTTTTAAAAATTCTATTTTTATAATTTTGATGGAGAATGTGATTGTGAACATGAATTTTAAAAAGTCCAGCCAACTTGCTAAACTCTCTTATTAATCATCATAATTTGAGTGTTAGATTATCTTGGATTTTTTATGTAAACCACGCAGCATGTTCCTTAAAATTTATGTATTTAGAATTCATATTCTAATTAGGCAATGCAATCAACTCTAAAATTAAAAGTACATTTAAAACATGCACCCTAACACTTTCCTTCTCACTCTTGTCCCCGTTTTCACTCAGTTTCTGACCGTTCACCTCTCGTAGGTAACCACCATTATTAATTTTCCGATTTTTCCAGGGCTTCTTTGTGCCACACACGCACACATAATTTAGATTCTTTTTACTCTCTTCTATTCGCAAATATAGCAAATTATGAAAATAATTCTGCACCTTGCCTTTCTCCCTTAGTTATAGCTGGAAAAATAAAAATTTAAAAGCCTCTTTAATAGCAAAAGGGGAGGGGACACAAGGTGCCGAGCTAGCAAACGACAGAGTCTGTCAGGGAGGTGGCTAGAGAGGCCCGGAAGTGGCTTCTGTGCCCCGCCCTGCGGGTGGTTTGCTAGTTTCAAGCACTTTGTGAGTATGGGGTGAATCGGCGTCGGCCTTCCACTGTGGGGTTAAATCTCATCCCGCGGCTCTCCTCCTGTCGGTCCTGCAGTTCTTTTGTCCCCGGGTAGAGGTGCGTTTGCAGGAGTATGTGTGTGTGTGTGTGTGTGTGTGTGTTTGTGGAGAGAGGCCCTTCCCTCCCCAGTTCCTGCAGCCTCGGCTCCCAAGGAGGGAGACCCCTGCGAGAAGCCGTGGGGGAGGGAAGGGCGCTCTGCGGCGGAATGAAGTGGTCCTCGGCGTTCCTGCGTAGAGCCCAATATGGGTGTCCCTTGTTTAGGGCCGTTACCGAGTGTCCGGGTCGGTTCTTGAGGGTATTTGGAGACGGGATGCATGGGTCACATAGACAAGCCTCGAGAATGGGAGCCGTTACATTTTTGCACTGCCTGGTAACAAGGTCAGTTTCAAGGTCTTTAAATTATTCTGTGGTACTGGCCAAGAGCCAGAACGTTGGAGTCAGATTACCTGGTTCAAATCCTGCCTCTGCCACTTACTGGCTGTGTGACTTTTCACTAGTTCCTAAGCTCTCTCTCTGCCTCATTTTACTATTTTGTAAAATGGGGATAATATTCCCTAACTCACTGGGTTGTTGTGAGGATTGAATGCATTCGTATGGGTAAGGTGCAGAGTAAGCATGATTTAAAGATTTGCTTTTATTAGTGGTACTATTATTATTTATAACTATGATGACACATTAGTGACTGGCTTTTGTACGGTTGCTTTCAATTTTACTGTCATTCATCAATTCACTTTGTAATGGATGATTTCTATATTTTAGGAGGGAAAAATAAGATACTCTGAAAAAGAGCCTATCCCAAAGCAAAGACCAAAACTGGTTTGTGTTGGACGTTGTGATACTCAAACTCTCAAAGGCTTTAAGACTCGGGGGTACCTTTTCCTTGGCTGGAGATTAGGAGGAACAATAGAAGTTTTTAATAGTGAAAAAGGACTAGGACCCCTGGTTTTTGCAAAAATCTGATGTCCTGCTTAGTGCTGGAGATCCACCAGTTTTCGAGCTTCCAGGAACGCCCTAGCCTGAAACTGGCTTCATACTAACACCCTTCATTTCAACCCAACTTTTACAGGGTTAGCTCTTTCATAGACTTGTAACTCTTTTCTGTTAATGAGAAACTTTCCTTTCCTTATCTTCAGTATATTTACTGATTTGATAAATACTTTGTGTTGGCAACCAATTTCCCAATCTTGTGCCTTCCCACTGTGATCAGTTTGGCTCAGATCCAAGTAGGGGCCAGGTAGTGAAACCTAAATGGAGTTTGTGGAATAAATGATATAAATGTATCAGTGTTGTTTTCCTGCCATAGACTTCCTCCCTTCCCCACCGTGGACACCCTCCTCATTCCACTTGGGCTCCAGATTCACTCTGGGTTGGGCTGTGGCTCTCTCTCGCCTTCCTTGACCCTACCTTAATGCTTTTTGGCTGTATTATTCAGGAAGGAAAGAAGTTAGGACATTGTTTAATTTTCTAAAATTTTGGAGAGAAATTTAAACACATTTAATTGTAGAGAGAATGTTACAATGAACACCAATATAACCATGACTCAGCTTCAGCCATCATCTTTTGGTCATTTTCTTTCATTCTTCTTTTCCCTCCTTTCCACTCTCTTTCCTTCCCTTCTCCTCCTCCTTCCCTTTTGTCTCCCTCCTTCCCTTTTACTTCCTCCCTCTTTCCCTCTCTCCTTTCTTTCCCTCTCCCTCCTTTCTTTGTCTTCCTTTCCTTCCCTCCCTCTCCCCCTCTTTATCTCTTTTTTTTCCTCATTTCGTCCCTCTCTTCTCTTTCATTTTATAGCAAATTGCAGATGGAAACATTTTAGTTCACTCACAAGTACAAGTACTTCAGTGTCAATTTCTTATATACAGGGACTTTTATCTTAATATAATCATAGTATCATGATCACACGCAAAAAAATTGACAATAATTCCTTGATATCATTATCTTGATTTTCAAATAATTGTCTCAAATATTTCTAGAGTTTTTTTTTTTTACAGTCTTTTTACAGTTGTTGTTTTCAGTGGGGTCCGAATATGGTTCACCATTTGCATTTATTTGATAAGTCTGTTCAGTCTTCTAATCTATGACAGTTCCCATTCCCTCCCACTCCTTTTGGTAAAAATGCCATTTATTTGTTGAGGAACTTGAACCTTCTGTTTTATAAAATGCCTCACATTCTGGATTTGGTCGATTGCTTCTTTTTAGTATCTTTAACTTATTAGATCTCAAACTCAGCTGCACATCAGAATGACCTAGAAAGTTTTAAAAGTTATTGATGTATTAAAAGTCCCACCCCCAGAGAGTGATTTAATTGATTTTTTTTTCATTGCAATCTCCATCTCCCAGGCTCAAGTGATTCTCATGCAACAGCCTCCCAAGTAGCTGGGATTACAGGTGTGTACCACCACACCCAGCTAATTTTTGTATTTTCAGTAGAGACAGGGTTTCGTCATATGGGCCAGGCTGTTCTTGAACTCCTGACCCCAGGAAATCTGCCTCAGCCTCCCAAAGTGCTGGGATTACAGGTGTGAGCCACTGCACCCAGGCTGATTGATCTTGATTGTACCCAAGGCATTAGGATGTTTTAAAAGCTCCCCAGTGATTCTAATATGTAACAAAGTTTGAAAGCCTTTAATGTAATTTGCTCCTATATTTCACCTGTACACTGGTATTTGGATCTAAAGACTAGATTAGATTTAGGCTCACTTATTTTGGTATTATTAGCTCATGTAGGAGTACCCCAGATCTCTTGTGGCAGCTTATTAGGAGGAAGTATTTTCTGGTACTTTTGATTTGTGACAATCAATGGCTTCTCTCAGTTTCCTAATTTCCTTCTATTCCCTACCATCCTTTGAACTGTAGAGAGTTGGACTGAGGAATAGAGGTTCAGGAAGACACGGACTTGGAATTGTTTTTCCCTTTGTAACCTCTACCAGCCTTACATTTCTTTTCTTTTCTTTTTCTTTTTTTTTTTTTTTTTGAGGCAGAGTCTTGCTCTGTTGCCAGGCTGGAGTGCAGGTGCAGTGGTGCGATCTTGGCTCATTGCAACCTCCGCCTTCCGGGTTCAAGCGATTCTCCTGCCTCAGCCTCCCAAGTAGCTGAGACTATAGGCGCATGCCATCACGCCCAGCTAATTTTTGTATTTTTAGTAGAGACGGGGTTTCACCATGTTGGCCAGGATGGTCTCGATCTCTTGACCTCATGATGTGCCCACCTCAGCCTCCCAAAGTGTTGGGATTACAGGCGTGAGCCACTGCGCCCAGCCCAGCCTTACATTTTCTAGCCTCTCCATTCCACTGAGTAAAGAGGGACTTACTGACATCCGAGTCCAGTCAAATAATTTTGCAGTCACTCACTTCTAGTTTAAAATCTAGTCCCAGCTGGTTCACAGGAATCTCAGGTTTCCCTTCCCTCTTAGATCAGGCCCAGGTCTCATGGCTTCTGGGATAGGCTCTCTTTCAGAATATCTTACTTTTCCCTCCTAAAATACAGAAATCATCCATTACAAAGTGATGACTCTGACGAAACCTGATGGCTGGTGCTGTTGTTTCTAGATAATACCATACTGAGGAAGGAGTAGATTAGGAAGCAAGAAAATCACTTTGATTTGGGGCATATTGAATTGGATTTGTTTGCAAGATTTCCATATAGGACCGTCTGGGAGGCAGCTCAGGATAGGGATCAGGAGTCTACAGCCTAGAAATAGAAGTTAAAACCTTGCGAGTGATTAAAGATAGTTCTGGGGAAGACTGTGGATAGAGAAAAGAAAAGGTCAAGAACAGAACCACCAGGCCTACTCTTATTTAAAAAAAGAAAGACCAGTGAATTATACTATTAGCCAACATGTATATGGTACTTACCACTGTCATGCCAAGTGTCAGGTTCCAGCCCATACTGAGGTCCGAGGGGAGTTGTTGGATGGGTGGCAGGTAGTTGAAAGAACACTCGGGGCTGTAGGCAGGTAAAATATGATTTTATTCAGCAGCAGCTGCTGCAGCTCTCACACTGTCTGCCTCTGTCTCGGCTGCCTCCTCCGACCGCAGCCCTTCTCAGCAAACGGCTCTGTGGCTCCTGCCGCTCCCACACTTACAGCTGTACTCCTTGGCATGCTTGTTAATTCCTGGCTCACCTCTGTCTGTCTGCAAGATGGCCAGTTCTCTCTTACAGGGTCAGCAGTTTTTCTCTCTCTCTCTGGGCACAAGTCCTATGTACAGTGTCAGCAGGGCAATTATACCATTTACAGACAATAGTGGCTGTAAGCCAAGTATGAGCTTACACAAACAGGTTATATAACAAGTGGAGTGGTGCGCCTGCGTTCCAAACTCGCTGAGTCACGCTGGCCTGCATATCTGCCTCGGCCTATTCTTGACCAAAGCACATCCATTTACCTTACACTCCACCCCCTTGGCCGAGGGAGACATAGGTTTTTGGGTACACAGGCCCAATATATAGGTTTGGCACACAGGCCTGACATATAAACTTTGGGCACCCAGGGCTGATACACACAGGCTTGACACATAAGTCTGACACATAGGCTCTGGGCACACAGGCCCAATGTATACATAGAGGCTTGACACATAAGCCTGACACATAAGCTCTGGGCACTTGGGCCACAGTAATACAGGGAGCAATAATTTCAGGTTATAGTGAGCAATCACTACATGGTGATGTTACCCCAATGTTGCTTTATATATTAATCCAGGGTTTTTGCTTCCCTACCTTTAGGGTGTTGGGGCGGGCAACAACAGGTTACTGTTTGTCCCCATACCTGGTTGGAGGAAGTCATCCTTTCTCTCATAGATCTGGCCACATGGCCTGGCCCTACATGGGTCGGTGACTAGCCACTTCTGTAACTTCTAGGTAGTTAGCCACAAGGTTAAGCCTTGATAAACTGCCCAGCTATCAGTGCAGATTACGTGTCACCTTCTTGGTGATCACCATTTACATTGCCCTGAGTTCAGTTTATTAGCTACTTTGTCCACACCTGGTATCAAACCATAGGGTGTTGGTACTAGGCTGGGCTGCAACAGCAGTCCAGGTAGCAGTAGCACCCTGGCTAGACCTATCTGTGTACCATGCCCCATTGGGAATGCGGGAATGCCCTTCCTTAAAAGGTGAAGGCTCAGGATCTAGGGGTGCCTCAGGTCCCATAACCTTATCTTGCATTAGGACTGTAGGTCCTAAGACTTCCTGTAATTGTGCTTCTAAGGGACTTGAGTTAGCATACTTTGCTGTTCCAAGTAGGCTTAAGCACCCCACTTTACAAAAGTGGATGTCTGTGCCATCCCAGTGTGTGGGTTGTTACCCATGAGCATACCCACCCTGCTATTGGGTAAGTCATGCGCGCGACGACTGTAGCCCATCCTGCCAGGCTGTCACGAGTCTAAAGGGCAGCATATGCAGTTAGTAACTGCTTCTCTGTCGAGGAATACTGGAGCTCAGCTCCCTTCCAAAGTTGGGACCAAAAGTCTACTGGCATTCTAAAGAGCTCTGTGTGATGCCATAAGCCCCAGTCAAAACTATCTGGTCACATGCACATCAAGTTTAAATGGGTGCCCCGATCAGCTACCCATAGGGCTTGTGCCTGCTGAATAGCCTGTTTGGCTGCCAGGAAGGTGGTTTCAGCCGCATCATCCCAATTCCAGGCAAGAGGCTGCGTTGCTGCTTCTAAATCTGCAAGAGAATCAGAGGTTAATATAACATCATTAATAAGATCATGACATATGTTGGGGCTATGCATATATCCCTGCAGCAATACTGTGAAAGTCCATTGTCACCCTCCCACGAAGGCAAAGTGTTCCTGGCTCTCTGGAGCAATGTCGATTAAGAGGAATGCATTGGCCAAGTCCACCACACAGTGGCACCATCCCAGTTCTGTTGTCAAGTGGCCTATCAAATCCATGATAGACGGCACAGCTGCCAAGCCGTGCAAAACATCCACCCACAGCCTGTCCTCAGGCATGGGAGAGACATCCACAGTGCATAAGCAGGGAGCTAAGCGGCCGATGCCGAGGTCCAAAGATACAGGTTTCACTTTCACTGACCAGCTTTCATAACCGTCAATAAATGCAGCTCTGCCCGGAAACTTATTCAGGTTTAGGGACCAGTGGCTTGCCGAGTCCACATATTGCCTTTGGTTGTCCGGTGTCCCCCCAAGCCTGGCACCTGGGTCAGTTCCCAATCAAACAGGAAAGACTTTACATTTCTGCCTGACTGCAGCAGGTAATCTTTGAGCTGGAACGCTCCGGCGGGACCTAGTTGCCCAGCAATGTCCTTTTCCCGAATGACTTGCACTAAGTCTATATACAACTGCCATCTACTGACAGTTTCTGGTATTTCACCGGCATCAGACCACACTGTAATTAAAGAAGCCAGCTTTTCCATCTCAGAGGGGGAGCAGGAAATGGATCAGCTCCTTTGTCCCGGAGAGACAGAATTCAGGCAGGGAGTCTCCCCCAAATGCTGCTGGCACTGCTTGCCTAACTCCCACAACTCAGTGGGGGGTACAAGCACTATAAGAAGTGTGCTTCACTATGGTAGGGGGTCTCTAGGCCCACCCTTGGGGCCCAGTGGCTGTTCATGCTCTATTTTCTGGCAGACCACTGGGTGAGCCTGTAATGGAGGTTCGTCCTCCTCCCTGCACTGCGTCCAGCAGGGACTGGGCATGCCCTTCCAGCAGCACAGTCACAAATGCCCATCTGACTCTGTTGGCAAAGGCACACTCCTTCTCGGTCCTGTGCATTTCCAGGTGCTTCAGCACCTTCTCCACACTCGTGGAGGGCCTGTCCACTGCCGCCCATGTTTCCACCAGAGCCCATCCTTGCAGCACGGCTGCCACTGGGTGCCACAGCTCATGCTGTGGCTGCATAGCCGCTCCGGGAGCCTGGGGGCTGAAGACCCACTCACCTCATCTTGCTCACTATGCCAAATGTCAGGTTAGAGCCCCAGCTGAGGTCCAAGGGGAGTGGGTGGATGGGGGGCAGGGAGCTGGAAGAACACTCGAGAGACAGCAGGTAGATGGGACATGGCTTTACTCAGCAGCTCTTTCACAGTGTCAGTGCCACATTTATACACCTCACAAACAGTAGTATCTTAGAGCCAGGTGATGAGCCTCCCCAGATTATGGCTACATAACTGTGATTATATAATGCACGGAATTGTGTGCGTGCGCTCCAATCCTGCTGAGTCATGCAGGATGTTTACCTCGGCCTATGCCTGCTTCGCTGCAGCACAGCCATGTTCCTTACAACCACACACCAGGCACTGTTCTAAGAGTTTTATACACTCACTTACTTAATGCTTACAATGGCCCTATCTGCTATCACTATCCCTATTACAGATAAGGAGAGGGAGGCACAGAGCTAGTAGGTAGTAAAGCCAGGATTTTGACGACCTCAGGAAACCTGGCTTCAGAACACTTAACCAGATTATGATGGGAGCTGAGAAGAACCAGGAAGGAGGAAAGCAGGAGAAAGCAAGATCCTTGAAGTAAGGACAAGTGAGTTTTTGGAAGTGGACAGTATCCTCAGCCCAGTTGCCTGAGAAGAGGCCATGGAAAATGGGAATTGAGGGAAGCACCTTTGGTTCCTTCTGCATGCGAAATCTTAGTGGTCTTGGCAGTTGCAGCCTACAGTGTGTGGAAGGCTTAGTGGGAGGTGAGGACTAGAATCAGGGACTAAGGACTTTCTTTCAAGAAGTTCAGTCTTGAAGGGGAAGAAAGAAAGTGGCAGATTGAGGAGGTGGCAAAGACCAGGGGCAGCCTATGCTCTCTCCAGGGGAAGGGCTTGGTGATGTTTTCGGCTGCCTTGATGTTTCTGAGAGAAACTGAAGGGCCTTCAGCCCAAAGATCCGAAGAGCCTGCAGAAATCCTTCTTTCAGCTGAATTTTAATGTGAATGTTATGCCAGTTTTTTGGGCAAGCCTCACTTCAGATATAATTGAGGGTCTCACTAGCAGGCAGCCAAGGTTTAATTCAGTTCTATTTCTTTTGGTCCAGGGCCTTCTGTCTTTTCTTTCTTCTTCCCCTTACTACAGTACCTTGACCACAGATAAGACCTGGTACAGCCATCCTTCACTATCTGTGGGGGATTCATTCCGGGATCCCCAATGATACCAAAATTTGTGGATGCTCAAGTCTTACATAAAATGGCATATAGTATTTTCCTATAACCTACACACATCCTCCTGTATGTTTTTTTTAAGAGATGGAGTCTCTGCACTGTTGCCTAGGCTGGAGTACAGAGGCACAATCATAGCTTACTGCATCCTTGAACTCCTGGGCTCAGGTGATCCTCCTGCCTCTTCCTCCTGAGTAGCTGGGACTGCAGTAGTGCGGCACCAGGCTCAACTTCTCTTGTACACTTTAAATCATCTCTAGATTACTTATAAACCAAATACAATGTAAATGTTTTGTAAACACTTTTTATATTGTATTTTTATTTGTATTTTTTAATTGTTGTTTTTGTTATTTTTTTTTCCCAGATATTTTCCAGCTGTGGTTGGTTGAATCTCTCAATGCAGAACCCACAGATATAGAATCAACTGTATTAGTTTTCTATTGCTGTATAACATTTACCTCAAATTTATCAGCTTAAAACAAAATCTGGGCTGCGCGCAGTGGCTCATGTGTTTAATCCCAGCACTTTGGGAGGCCGAGGCAGATCTTTTGAGGTCAGGAGTTCGAGATCAGCCTGGCCAACATGGTGAAACCCCAGCTCTACTAAAAATACAAAAATTAGCTGGGCATGGTGGTGCACACCTATAATCCCAGCTTCTTGGGAGGCTGAGGCAGAAGAATCTTTTGAACATGGGAGGTGGAGGTTGCAGCAAGCCGAGATCATGCCACTGCACTCCAGTCTGGGTGACAGGGCAAGACTCTGTCTCAAAACAAACAAATAAGAAAAAAAAAAAAAAAAAAAAAAAAATCAGCTTATTTGTTCCAGTTCTATAGGTCAGAAGGCCAGGCAGGCTCAGCTGAGTTCAATATTAGGGTCTTCCCAGGCCAAAGCCAAGGTGTTGGTAGGGCTGGGCTATTATCTGGAGGCTCTGAGAGGAATCTACTTATGAGGTCATTGAGGTTGTCAGTAGAATTCAGCTCTTTGGGATCAGTCCAGTCAGTCTGGACTTGCTATCTCATATTGAAAGTCCTGAGGATTAGGGCAGGAAATCATTAGGGTCATCTTAGAATTTAGACAACCACAGACCTGGTTGGTAATGGGATAACTCTGAGCAAGTCACTGAGAGGAGCTTCCTAGAGAGTCCAGGAAGTGCCCTGGATCCTCACCAATTTCAGTTTTTTTCCTGATTAGTCAGGGGCTTGGGGGTGTCCAGGATCACTCCAGGACATCCTTTGGGAACCTTACTATGGGATTCAGGTTTGGGGTGGTGTAGAGGATTAAGCTGCAGAACCACTGAACATGGAGAAATTTCTGCAGCAGTTCCCCAGAGATGTCTCTGGGCTCCTGGGCAGGAGAGAAGGGACTACTTGCAAGTTTACTGGTTAATAATGATTTCCCACCTTTCAGGGATCTTCTGCAGAAATAGCGCTGGAAGCTAGAGTGAGGCCTGAGTACTGCCTTGGCCTAGGATGGCTAGAGAATTAAGTGAAAGCACAGCCCTGGATGCCCAGTCTACAGAAGACCAGATGGAGCTTCTGGTCATAAAGGTGGAGGAAGAAGAAGCCGGTTTTCCCAGTAGCCCAGATCTGGGTTCTGAGGGCTCCCGCGAGCGCTTCCGAGGCTTCCGCTACCCGGAGGCTGCAGGCCCCCGCGAGGCGCTGAGTCGGCTCCGAGAGCTCTGCCGACAGTGGCTGCAGCCTGAGATGCACAGCAAGGAGCAGATCCTGGAGCTGCTGGTGCTGGAGCAGTTCCTGACCATCCTGCCGGGGAATCTGCAGAGCTGGGTGCGGGAGCAGCATCCAGAGAGCGGGGAGGAGGTGGTGGTGCTATTGGAGTATTTGGAGAGGCAGCTGGATGAGCCGGCGCCGCAGGTAGAAAGAACAGGTTTAGTATCTGAGCGCTGTGGCCTGTTTCCTCCTGAAATCCCAGATCAGAGTGAGGGGCATTCCTTTAACATCCAGGAGTTCTTCATCTCTTTTTTGTACCGTGAACCTCCTTGGCAGTAAGGTGAAGTCCCTGGACTCCTTCTCAGAATAATTTTTTTTTTAAAATACATAAACCATAAAGGATTACAAAAGAACGCAGTCATATCAACATACAGTTTGCAAAGTATTAACTTTGTATTAAAGTCATACTTTTTTTTATTAGTACACTAAATAATAAAACCTACGGACAGGGCTTATAACTGGCAATTACAAAGCAGTGATAAGTATCTCTTTGCTTGGTTGTAATGTGATGTAAAAACATCTGCAGGTTCTATTGGTGACAAAGTCGTGGGTACTGCTTATGCTACATTGATTTGTTGCTTCCATTCATAATTGGAAGGAAATGCTAACTTTCTCTTAAAGACTAGTTAAAAATAAGATTAGCTTTTGTCCTGTTCAAGTTCATGGACTACGTGGGAAGGAGTTCATGGACCACTGGTTATGAACCTCTGGTAGAAAATGGGCCGACTTTTACCTCCATGTTCTTCCCTGTTTTATGAGACTGTGTCCTCTTTGCATCATCCTGTGTCCCTGTGCACACACCCTCAGAGGACCTGTGTGGCCAGAGCCTTCTAAATGGTGAGCTGGATACCAGGGTTCTTGACTTGGGTCTGTTGCACCCAAGGCCTGTAACAGTGGAAAGTCAGTGCGAGTCTCTTAGCTTCATTCTTTATAAAGGATGTGGGAAATTCTGAGCTGCACATGAGAAAGTAACTTGAAAACTGTAATTTTATAATAACTATAAATGTCTGGAAGGAAACCTGCATACATATCGTATGCCAGGCCATGTTAGGTGATTTCACGTACTGTGATGTTGTTTGGGTCCCCCAAACTCCATAAACTAGAGATTGTAATCCCCTTTTCAGATAATAAAAGGTATTAATATTCTCTGAGAATTTTGCACCAGTTTCCAATGGATTTTCATAAAAGCACAAATGTATATATGAAGGAGCATAGAGTAATGATAAGAACGTGTGCTCTGGCATCATTCTACCTGAGCTCCCATCCTAGCATTGCCACTGATTAGCTATTTAAACTGGCTGTGCCTTAATTTCCCTATCAGTAAAATGGGTATAATAATAATACCTCCCTTATAAGATTGTTGTTTTCTGCGTTAAATGAGTTAACATTTATAATGCTCTTGGAAATAGTGCCAGCCACCTAGGTAGTTCTATGGAAGTGTTTGATGAAAACATGAAAATAAGAACAAATGATTTCTAGGTTTCAGGTGTTGACCAGGGGCAAGAACTGCTCTGTTGCAAGATGGCACTATTGACACCAGCCCCAGGGTCACAAAGTAGCCAATTTCAGCTAATGAAGGCTCTGCTCAAGCATGAATCTGTGGGATCCCAGCCTTTACAAGATAGAGGTAAGGATTATTTTCTAGACAGTATGAATTCTGCAGACTTCATCCAATTTCATTTAAGGATAGCCAACAAAATTCATTGATAGGGGGCTTATGTGCCCATCACAGATCAACTCTCATTTAAGACTGAGACTAAAAGGAGTATTTCCAACATAATGATGGAAAGCTTTTTCAACCAAGACTGGACATAGTAAATAAGATATTAGTAAAACTTAGGTTTGGAAAGAATTGGTTCTTGCTTGGGTTTTGTTTTGTTGTATTGGTTTTTTTTTTTCTTGTATTGGTTTTTGTTTTCTTGAGACAGGGTCTTGTTGTTTCACCCAGGCTGGAGTGCAGTGGCACTCCACTTCCTGGGCTCAAGCAGCCTCCACTTCCTGGGCTCAAGCGATCCTCTGGATCGCTCACTGCAGCCTCCACTTCCTGGGCTCAAGCGATCCTCTCAACTCAGCCTCCTGAGTAGCTGGGACTACAGGTGTGCACCACCACGCCTGGCTAGGTTTTAAAAACTTTTTTGTGGATTTGAGGTCTCACCATGTTTCCCAGGCTGGTCTCAAACTCTTGGGCTCAAGTGATCCTCCTGCCTGGGCCTCCCAAGGTGCTGGGATTATAGGTGTAAGCTACCACACTTGTGTATACCAGCTACTTGTCTTTGTTCTTCTTTAACTTGTAATTATGGAGGCCTCCAGTGTGGTGGCCAGTTAGCTCTGGGAATGGAACTGTGAGTGAAACTGTTCTTGTCCCAGTGGAGCTTACATTTAAGTGAGGAAGATGGTAAATAAACACATTAATAATACAATTCGTATGACAGTGGGAAGTCTTATGCAGAAAGTAAACAGAATCTGTAAAGCCAGCCAGCCAATCTCATAAATTATAGGACTATTGCAAATTAAAGGGTATAAATCTTCTAAATCCTGGGTCTGTTATTAAAACAATATGAAATTCACTGCATAGGAAATGGCTGTATGTGTTCTGAGATGTCCTTTCATGTGTCTTAAACACATGTACAAGTTCCCAAGATATACATCACTGGGATGTTCTAGCCAACATGCGATCTTTATTTTTAAACAGAGGTTCTAGCCTAAACCACCTGTTTTGTGCCCCTTTAAAAATTTGCTTCCTGAAGTTATATAAGGAATACATGAGGAATATATATGCTTCCTGAAGTTATATAAGGAATATATAAGGAATATATGAGGAATATATATATGCTTCCTGAAGTTATATAAGGAATAATAAGGAAACCTGAAGCTCTTTACTTTTCTCTCTCTTGAATTTCCATACGTTGTATAAAGCCAGACCCTTACTTTGCCTTTCATAGCCCAGCTTTGTCTGACTCCTTTTAGCTTTTCAAATCCAAAGCAAAAAGCACCCTAACGGCTACTAAGGACATACTCACCCAAAATCCGATTTTTCCTCCTATCTCTAGCAAAATTCAAAGGATCTTCAGATGGAAAGCTTTTTTGTTTTTTATGTTCTTTTTATTTCACAACTGCTCACAAGGATCCTGCCTTTTTGCATTGTTTTCGTGTATCTGCAGAGCACAACAGTTATCTTTAGCCATAGGATTGGAGCTGGTAGGGACCAGGAATTTTGGAAAGGAGCACACTCTGTATAAACTTGTTTGGCAGGAATTTATTTATTTAGAGAGACAGGGTCTTACTTTGTTGCCCAGGCTGGAGTGCAGTGGCTCAATCACAGCTCATTGCAGCTTCAGACTCCTGGGCTCAATCAAGTGAGACAGGAATCTATTAATCCAGTTATTTAACTTAGATTGCACAGGGCAGGGAGGCTGAATGCCAGGGTACATCTCATCCAGAGCTTCTTTCCTTCTTAGTTCTCCAGGTCCCCGTGCTTGCCCATGGAGGATGCTGCAGAGAAGATAAAGTGGTAGCTTCTAGGCTTACTCCAGAGTCCCAGGTGAGCTGGAGCCCTATCCCTCCCCCAATGCCCCTCACTACTATTGAGCTTCCTGTGAAGACTCCTCACTCCCCATTCCCCTCCACCCCAATCCTAGATCCTCCATACAGATCTCAAATGGGATCTGCATTTTCTCATCTATCTCGAGGTTGTTTATCATTAACTTTATTTAGGTGCCCACTTAAGAGGCTTTTCCTGTTTATTACTAGCTGTTGGCAGGAATGGGGCCTGGGGGTGCTTCCCAGATCTTCCCCACTCCACCATTTTGGTCAGCCCCTTCTTCAATGGGATTACCTATTGTTTTAGGGGTTGTTGAAAGTGGAAGATGTGGCCCTGACCCTCACCCCTGAATGGACACAGCAGGATTCATCTCAGGGGAATCTCTGTAGAGATGAAAAGCAGGAGAACCATGGCAGCCTGGTCTCCCTGGGTAAGACTAAAGGACACTAATTTCTGTTAAGGTTTCTTGGCATTCTTTGTATATTAGAACCTGTTGAGCTATTGGAAGCTGTTGAGCCCTGTTATGTTTGGATTCACAATCACCATTTCTGAAAGCCTGTAACTGACTAGCTCCTTACCCTTTCTTTTTTTGTTGTTTTTGAGAGATAGGGTCTTGCTCAGTCACTCAGGATAGAGTGCAGTGACACAATCATGGCTCACTGCAGCCTCAATGTTTTGGGCTAAAGTGATCCTCTCACCACAGCCTCCCAAACTGCTGGGACTAAAGGCATGTACCACCACACTTGGCTAATTTTTTAATTTTAATTTTTTGTCGAGATAGAGTTTTGCTATGTTGCCTAGGCTGGTCTCGGACTCCAGGGCTCAAGCAATCTTCCTGCCTTGTCCCCTCAAAATGCTGGAATTACAGGCATGAGCATGAGCTACTCCACCTGGCCTGCTTATCCCTTCTGACCTTGCTTTCTCCTCTCCGTGCCAGTATTCTAGTTAAGTTAAATGGGTTGAAGTCGATACAACCCCGAGTACAGGTCTGGCTCACAGGAGATGCCCACTAAATGTTGATGTCCTCCTGTTCCTATCCCTGACCGAAGAGGAAAGCTGGGAGGCCTCTTCAGGAAATGGGCCTTGGGACCATAGAGTGTGAGAGAAGTGTCCTTAGACATTGACTATAGACCCTGACCTCAGAGATGAAGGTGCAGAGGCTGAGAAGATTGCCTGATTGTCTGAGGCCACGTAGCTAATTGGTGGCATAAAATTCACAGCACTGAATCCAGTTCTGTTTGGGGACCCTGCCTCTGCCTGGGATATGAACCGAGACAACTGTCTTTATCGTATCATTGATCAGTGCCCAATTTCTGAGTCTCCACTTTCGCTGTTTCGTTTATTTATTTCTTTTGTTTTTGAGATGGAGTCTCACTCTGTCGCCCAGGCTGGAGTGCAGTGGTGCAGTCTTGGCTCACTGCATCCTCTACCTCTCATGTTCAAGTGATTCTCCTGCCTCAGCCTCCTGAGTAGCTGGGATTATAGGCACCCACCACCATGCCCGGCTAATTTTTGTATTTTTAATAGAGATGGGGTTTCACCATGTTGGCCAGGCTGGTTTTGAACTCCTGACCTCAAGTGATCTGCCAGCCTGAGCCTCCCAGTCGCTGTTTCTCAAAGGTATTTCAGAAATCCTTCCACATGCTCCATTTACTGTCACTTTCTGTTCAACCGTTTTAGTATCTAATCCTAGGTGCATGGCCCTGCCTTACAATTCTTAGAACTTAGAACGACCACATACATCCCCAGCATAGTCCTGGATCCAACCACATACATCCCCAGCATAGTCCTGGATCCTCACCGTCTTCTACCCACTCCCTCCACTCCCAGTGTGTACCTTTCCAATGGCCCCATTCCCATTCTTAGGTCTCTCTCCTCCCCAGCACTCCTGTTCTCCCCTTTTATTCCCATCCTTATTCTAGCACTTAAATCCTCATCCCAGGCATTTATAGACCTCTGTAATTCTTGCCTCCCTGGTACTCATCACAGAGCTTTCCTTCCATGGCATAAGCCACAGTTGCCAGTTATTTGTTGTTTCAGGTGATGAAAAACAGACTAAGAGCAGGGACTTGCCTCCAGCTGAGGAGCTTCCAGAAAAGGAGCATGGGAAGATATCGTGCCACCTGAGAGAAGACATTGCCCAGATTCCTACATGTGCAGAAGCTGGTGAACAGGAGGGCAGGCTACAAAGAAAGCAGAAAAATGCCACAGGAGGGAGGCGGCACATCTGCCATGAATGTGGAAAGAGTTTTGCTCAAAGCTCAGGCCTGAGTAAACACAGGAGAATCCACACTGGTGAGAAACCCTACGAATGTGAAGAGTGTGGCAAAGCCTTCATTGGGAGCTCTGCCCTTGTCATTCATCAGAGAGTCCACACTGGTGAGAAGCCATATGAGTGTGAAGAATGTGGTAAGGCCTTCAGTCATAGCTCAGACCTTATCAAGCATCAGAGAACCCACACTGGGGAGAAGCCCTATGAGTGTGATGACTGTGGGAAGACCTTCAGCCAGAGCTGCAGCCTCCTTGAACATCACAGAATCCACACTGGGGAGAAGCCGTATCAGTGCAGTATGTGTGGCAAAGCCTTTAGGCGAAGTTCACATCTCCTGAGACATCAGAGGATCCATACTGGGGATAAAAATGTTCAGGAACCTGAGCAGGGAGAGGCCTGGAAAAGTAGGATGGAAAGCCAGTTGGAAAATGTTGAAACTCCCATGTCTTATAAATGTAATGAGTGTGAAAGAAGTTTCACTCAGAATACAGGCCTCATTGAACATCAAAAAATCCACACTGGTGAGAAACCCTATCAGTGTAATGCGTGTGGAAAAGGCTTCACCCGAATTTCATACCTTGTTCAACATCAGAGAAGCCATGTAGGGAAAAACATCCTATCACAGTGACCCATGCCATACATGCCAGAGTTGGTGCTCATTTGTCACTGATCTGAAGCCACTCCCCCTGGAGTCTCAACTATAGAAATTGTGGGCTGGGCTTTATTTACCACTACACATTATCAGGTGTTAGAAAATGTAGACTGGGTTAGACAAATTATCTTCTAAGTTCTAGAAGGGGTTTGTAATCAAAACATATTTGATAGGAGGCTACGGGAGAGTTGTCTAGAAGAGGTAAGACCTGAAACTGTTTGTTCTCTCCCACTAGAATTAAATGGATGTTTAGACTGGCTACTTGCCCTAAACCAGCACTTGGTGATGTCTACTGGGTGGATGGTTGTGATTTGGGGGCTGCTTCTCTGACCATTCTTTTTGACTGTAATGAATCCTCCACAGTTGGTCAGATTCATAAAGTCTTATATCCCCCTCTGTGCCTTTTCTGCAGGTGCTAATAAATGTTTATTGAATGTACCAGTGAGATTACCTTCATAGATCTGAAAATCTGATGTTATCCAGGTTTCTGAAGAACTTCTCGCCAAGGCCATTTGTGCTTGTGTCCAATTCTCTGACCTAGATTGTGACTCAATCTAGTGTGTTTCTTACCAAGTACATAGGCAGAGCAGGGTTACTGTGATTGAAAGAATCCATTTTTTTTTTGGAGACGTAGTCTTGCTCTGTCGCCCAGGCTGGAGTGCAGTGGCACAATCTTGGCTCACTGCAACCTCCACCTCCTGGGTTCAAGCGATTCTCCTGCCTCAGCCTCCTGAGTAGCTGGGATTACAGGTGTGTGCCACCATGCCCGGCTAATTTTTTATGTTTTTAGTAGAGACGGGATTTTACCGTGTTAGCCAGGATGGTCTCGATCTCCTAACCTCATGATCCTCCTGCCTCAGCCTACCAAAGTGCTGGGATTACAGGCATGAGCCACCATGCCCGGCCAAGAATCCATATTTCTTTACCAGACTAGGAATTCTATTCTAGTGCAAATGCCTTAAAAAGCTTATCACTAAATCATTACGAATGTGTGCCATCCGTGGAATTGCTTTTTTTTTTTTTTTTTTGTAAATATGAGGTCTCACTATGTTGCCCAGGCTGGTCTCGAAATCCTGGGCAATCCTCCTGCCTCACCCTCTCAAGTACTGGAATTACAGGCGTGAGCCACCATACCCAGCCCAAATTTCACTCTTTAATGTTTTCCTGTTGCTATTCTTTAAGGAAAAAACTTTCCTATTCAGACAGTGTGAAAATCAGTCATCAAGTCAGAATAAAATGATGAATATTCTAATGCTCAGTATCTTAGTTCTCTCGGGCCTAACCAATGCCTCCTAAAACAATAGATACTATCCTGCCCCACCCTACCACCCAACACACACTGTATAGTAAACTGCATCAAAACTTATTCCTGCTAAGTTCATACTTTCTCCAGCTCAATGGATTCACACCAAATTTTTTTTTTTTTTTTTAGACGGAGTCTTCTCTGTCACCCAGGCTGGAGTGCAGTGGCGCGATCTCGGCTCACTGCAAGCTCCGCCTCCCAGGTTCCTGCCATTCTCCTGCCTCAGCCTCCCGAGTAGCTGGGACTATAGGCGTCCGCCTCCACGCCGGGCTATTTTTTTTTTTTATTTTATACTTTAAGTTCTAGGGTACATGTGCACAACGTGCAGGTTTGTTACATATGTATACATGTGCCATGTTGGTGTGCTGCACCCATTAACTCGTCATTTACATTGGGTGTATCTCCTAATGCTTTCCCTCCCCCCACCCCACAACAGGCCCCAGTGTGTGATGTTCCCCTTCCTGTGTCCAAGTGTTCTCCTTATTCAATTCCCACCTATGAGTGAGAATATGCCGTGTTTGATTTTTTGTTCTTGGCGATAGTTTGCTGAGAATGATGAGACGAGGTTTCACTGTGTTAGCCAGGATGCTCTCGATCTCCTGACCTCGTGATCCACCTGTCTCGGCCTCCCAAAATGCTGGGATTACAGGCGTGAGCCACCGCGCCCGGCCCAAGTATCACTTATGGTTTCAGAACGCCATTATTAGTGTCTGACTGTCTTGGTCTTCTTATACATTGATTCCCAAATCACGTGTGGTAACAGCATCTCAATTTTTCATGATGACGGTTTGAACCATTAATTTAATTCCTCAGGCTATCTACTTTTTTGTTAAACATACTGTGTAGACCATCTTTTTTTTTTCCCATCATGATAGTCAAAATTTTAGTCTGTGTATTCAAGTGAGAAAATTTTTAGTCAGCATTATACAAGTAGTATTTATTATGTATACATTCAGTGGAGTTGTTTCTACAAAAGTATTTCGGAATGACTATTCTGCTGCAAACTTTTGTGTAAGCGCTTCACCTTATTCCTACAATAAGGAGAAGTGCACTAACAAAATGAACAATGCAGCAAGGGCTTCAGTCGCAGCTCAGGTCTTATCAAACACCAGAGAACCCTCAATGGGAGAAGCCTTATGAGTGTGACAACTGTGGAAAGACAGTTCCTTTTTTGTTAGTATCACTTCTACTTATTGTAGAAATATGCTTTCATTATTGCATCTACTCACATTTCTCACTCGGTTTCTGGCACCAGCAATCTCTTCCATATTTATAATATCAGTCAAAAACTCTGGAATTCAAATATAACAAGACTTTTCTGGTCACCTTTGATAGTTAATGACTTGGGCATTGTGATATATTATCTCCTGCTGTATGTATTTTGTTTAGTAGAAATTGAATCATTATCCACAATCCTTTATAGAACTATCCAAGTCCCTGTTTTTATGCTAGTTTCCAAGGCTTGGTCCTTCAAGGTTTTCAGGGATCTAGGGGACACAAATCTAACAAATCCTAATGTATATTATTTGTATTATAGTAATAAACCATATGGTTACTTTGTTTGAGTGGATTCTTAAATTGAGAAAAATGCATTGCATGATTTCCAAACTTTCTGAACATATATTAGGATTCTCCAGAGAAATAGAACCAATAGGATCTGTGTCTAAATATGTATGTATATGTCTGTATGTGTATACATATATATTTGTATTTATAATACTGGTTTATGTATATTATACATAATATATATGTGTTTGTATATATATATTTATTTATTGGAAAGAATTGGTTCATATGATTATGGAGGCTGAGAAGTCCTAGGTTCTCCTATCTGCAAACTAGAGACCTAGCGGAGCCAGTGGTGTGAGCTCCAGTCCAAAGGCCAGCAGGTTCAAGACCCAGGAAGAGCCAGTGTTCTAGTTGGAGTCTGAAGGCCAGAAAAGACTGATGTCCCACCTCAAGATGGGCAGGAGGAGTACCCTTTGAGGGAGCGTTATCTTTTTTGTTTTCTTCCTGCCTTCAACTAATCAGATGGGGCCCACCCACATTAGGGAGGGTAATCTGCCTTACCTAGTCTACTGATGCAATGATTCATCACATCCAAAAATCAAACACTCAGAATAATGTTTGACTAAATATCTGGGCACCTTGTGGCCTGGTCAAGTTGACATATAAAACTGGCCATCACAATACTATAGTTTCAACATTAAAACTACAGTATAGTATTACAGTTTCGGTAAAGCATTAAAACCTTTAACCCGTGCTTCCCCCTTTTGTCAGTTCTTCCAATTGGCAGTAGGAGCCTGGGAAATAATGTTTGTAGCCTCCCTACCCTGCTTACAGATCAGGATAGGGAACGGCTGGTATGAGGCAGGCTGAGGGACAAGAGATAAACAACTAGATCACCATTGTATCCTCAGCATCTAGCAGAGTTCCTGATAAATGAATGATTCTGAAAATTGACTGGTTCTATTTGTTCTTTTGTATTATTAACATAACATAAAATCTCCTGACACTGAGTGCCAGAGACCAAAGTATTCATATTCATATTTCCAGACATAAAAGTCTTCCCTTATTTCTAAAGAAATTATGTGTTTATAGCCATTCATTCAGCAAACCTGATTGTGTTATGTCAGGTGCTAAGGAATCAAAGATGAACAAGACATTATCTCTGCCCCCAAAGAACCTAAGACCTAAACCATCTTCTGTCTTACAAGGTATTTTATCCATTTCTGTTCTCACTTTGGTGCCGACTTAATAGTTCTTCCTTCAGAGGAATGACTGCACCATGGCTGCCTGGCAACTTGCATCTCTTCATATGAGCCACATAGACCAGGATTTAACACCAGCTGATGTAAGCCCTATAACTCACCTAGAACATGAGTGCATGGTAGGTTGTGTGAGAAGCTGATACAATGCCATTTCTCACACACCTCCCTATCTACCATGGAGGCTGTCCTGAGACAGTTTCCTCTGATGAGGAATGAGGCTTTCTACCTCTCCCCATTTAAGGTATAACTGTAAGCTATAAACTGCTTATCTGCAGAACAACATCAGCTCCTCAGCAACGAAATGTTTCACCATATGTGTTGCAGTCACATGGCTTCTTCTGATGCCATCTTGTGAGAAAAAGACATAGAGAGCTGAACTGTTTTAATCCAGAAAGGGCTTATTTCTTTTCTGATCAAATACAGTCATGCACTGCATAATGACACTTCGCTCAATGATAATTTGGTCAATAACAGACCACATCTACAAAAGTGGCCCCATAAGTTTATAATGACAGGCTACGTATGGTGGTTCACGTTTGTAATCCCAGCACTTTGGGAGGCCAAGGTGGGAGGATTTCTGGAGGCCATGAGTTTGAGACCAGCCTGGGAAACAGCGAGACTCCATCTCTAACAAAAATAAAAGTTAGCTGGGTGTGGTGGCATGCACCTGTAGTCCTAGCTACTTAGGAGGCTGAGGTGGGAGAATTACTTGAGCCCAGGAATTCGAGGTTACAGTGAGCTATGATTGTGCCAGTGCACTCCAGCCTGGGTGGCAAAGCAAAACACTGTCACACAAAAAAGATTATAATATTTTTACTGTACCTTTTCTATGTTTAGATACACAAATACCATTGGGTTACAATTCAGTATGGTAACATGCTCTATGGGTTTGTAACCTAGGAGTAACAGCCTAAGTTTGTGTAAGTACACTCTACGATGTTCACACAATGACAAAATTGTCTAATGATGCATTTCTCAAAACATAACCTCTTTCATTAAGTGACACATGACTATATGCTAGCCTTTCCTTGACAAATTGGTGCCAAACATGGGGCTGGTGACATTACAATGCCCTTTCAGAAGAAAGATAGATGTGCTCCCACAGGACTGGATAGGACACATGATGAGACTTCCCAGGATCTAGTAGCACATGTTCTTGCCTAAGTGGTGGGCAAGAAGGAAGGAGTAAGAGTCTTCCCATTGTATTAATAGCTATACTGCATTGGCTAGATTATAGGATGTGAATAGACTCTCCAGGATCCAATATCATATGCCACTTCCTGATGAATGTTTAGAGGTTAAGTTACTTTAGGTAGGATTGAACCCAGTTGCCCAATGCCTTAGTTGTTATTAAAAGTTTGTTGCAGGCCAGGCATGGTAGCTCATGCCTGTAATCCCAACACTTTGGAAGGCCCAGACAGCAGTATGGCTTGAGCTAAGGAGTTTGAGACCAGCCTGGGCAACATAACGAGACCTTGTCTCTACAGAAAATTTCAAGAATTAAAAAAATTAGCTGGGCATAGTGGCACATGCCTGTGGTCTCAGCTACTCAGGAGGAGGCTGAGGTAGGAGGATCCCTTGAGCCCAGGAAGTCTAGGCTGCAGTGAGCCGAGCTGTGATGGTGACACTACATTCCAGCCTAGGCGATAGAGCGAGACCCTGTCTCAAAAAAAAAAAAAGTTTGTTATGACTGAGTGGATGATTTGCACTTAAAAATGAAAGTGCAAGTCTGTGCTTACCAGTGTGGAACAGGTCTTTTTGTGCTCCCTTGATTTCTCTCTGGCCTATATCGCAACCTCAGTTTTTTAAGGAAAGAAGATTCTCTGGTGCTCCAGCTAACTCTGCATGATGGACTCCTCCACATTACTTGGCACTCCGCGAGCTCCCGGCCAACAGACTACGTGCTCTCCTGATAGTTGCTATTGTAACCTTTTAAATGTCTGCACAAAACTTCTTTATCTGCTTTTTTTTTTTCTTTTAAGTGTCTACATTCAGCTGATAAGAGTTTGGGGAAAACTTGCAATGAAAAGAAAAAAGTTAAGCAACCTTGTGAGTGAGGGTGCCTGGAAGATGCTATTCACTGGGGCATAAATGGTCCAGTGAATGACACAAGTAGCTGCCCATTGTTGGACACTCTACAGCAAAATGTGTGTTCGTGATTTTTGCCCATACCTAGTTAAATTGTTTGCTGTTTAACTGTTGAGATTTGGTGAATTCTTTTTATATTCTAGTTATAAGTCCTCTGTCAAAGACTTGGCTTGCAAATATTTTTCCCTATCTGTAGCTTGTCTTTTCATCTTTTTTTTTTTTTTTTTTTTTTTTTTTTTTTGAGACACAGTCTCGCTTTGTCACCAGGCTGGAGTGCAGCGGCACGATCTCGGCTCACTGCAACCTCCGCCTCCCGGGTTCAAGCGATTCTCCTGCGTCAGCCTCCCAAGTAGCTGGGACTACAGGCGCATGCCACCATGCCCAGCTAATTTTTGTATTTTTAGTAGAGAAGGGGTTTCACCATGTTGGCCAGGCTGGTCTTGATCTCCTGACCTCGTGATCCACCGGCCTCAGCCTTCCAAAGTGTTGGGATTACAGGCATGAGCCACTGCGCCCGGCTGTCTTTTCATCTTTTTAACAGGGTCTTTCAGAGCATAAATTTTACATTTTGATAAATACAAAGTCATAAACATTTCATTTAATGAATTATGCTTTTGATGTCAGTTTTAAGAATCTTTGCCTAGCCCTAGGCTCTGATGCTTCTAAGAGGTCTCAAGTTTTAGGTATTATTTTAGCCCATGACCCATTTTGAGTTTGTTGTTGTTGTTGTTTGGTTTACGGATGTTCGGTGCTCTATTGCCATTGTCTGAAAAAGCTATCCTTCCTCCACTCAGTGGCTTCTGCACCTTTGTCAAGAATTAGGCGTTTTTGTTTGGATCTATTTCTAGGTTCTCCAGTCTGTTCCATTCAACTATATGTCTGTCCTTCTATAATATCCAACTCTCTTGATCACTGTAGGTTTATAGTATACCTTGACATCGGGTACAGTGATTCCTCTCACTTTATTCTTTTTCAAAATTTAGTTATTAGTCCTTTGCCTTTCCATGCACATTTTAGAATAAATTTATATCTACAAAAATTTTTGCTGAGATTTTGATAGGATTTGTGTCAAACCTAAACATAGGAAGAATCGATATCTTTACCATGTTGTATCTTCTAATCCACAAACATGATATGTCTCTCCATTTATTCAGATTTCTTTCTTCAGCATTTTATCAGCATACAGATCCTGTACGTTTGTTAGACTTCTACATTATTTTTGGAGTGATTACAAATGGCTTTGCATTTTAAATGTCAATGTCCAAATGTTCATTATTAGTACATAACAACAGGATTGTTATTTGCATGTTGATTTGTATCTTGCAACCTTGCTGAATTCATTTACTGGTTCTAGCTACATTTTGTATTAGCTTCAAAAATTGTAATAGATTATTTGGAATATTCTATGCACACAATTATATAATCTGCAAATAGGAGCAGGTTTTTTTGTTTCCAATTTGTATTTTGTTTTCTTTTGTGCGTGTACATGAAATCTACAAGCAATCTGTATGCTTTTAATCATTTTTTGCCTGTTGCTTTGGCTTGTATTTTCAGTGCTGTGTTGAATAAGAGTGGTGAGAGTGGACATTCTTGTCTTCATCCCAATGTTATGGTTAAAGCATAGTCTTTTGCTGTTAAGTATGAAGTTATCTGTAAATGTTTTGCAGATGTTCTTTATGAAGTGGGAAGTTTTTATTTCTAGTGGGCTGTAAGTTTCTGTCATGAATGGGTGTTGGATTTGTCAAATGCTTTTTCTGTGCCAATTGTATGGTTATACAATATTTCTGTTATATATATATGTTGATGTGATGAAATACACTGATTAAGTTTTAAATATTAAAACAAACTTTTGTACTGGAAAAAAAAATCCCCCTTAGTCATGGTGTATACTTCTTTTTATAAATACCTAGATTCAATTTGCTAATATTTTGTTGAGAACTTTTGCATCTAAGTTCATGAAGGATACTAGACTGTAGTTTTCTTTTTTGTGCTGCCGTTGTCTCCTTATGGTATCAGAGTAATTCTAACCTTATAAAATGAGTTGGAGCGTATACTTTCCATTTTCTGGAACAGGTTTTGTAAAATTGGTGCTAATTCTTCTTCACATGTTTGGTAGAATTCTCCAGTGAAGGCATCTGGGCCTGATGATTTGGAAACTTTTAGATTATGAATTCAATTTCTTTAATGATTATAAGACTACTCAAACTATCTGTTTCATCTTGGCCACCTGGACTTTTTGAAGAATTGGTTCATTTCTTCTAAGTTGTCAAAGTTATGAGTGCAAATTTTCAAATCTACCTTTATGATCCTTCAAACGAATGCAGGATCTGTAATAATATCCCTTTTCTCATTCTTGTTATTAGTGATTTGGCCTTTCTTTTTATCTTTGCCAGTCTTGCTAGAGGTTTACCTGTTTTATTGATTTAAAATTGTTTTATGTATTTGACACAATGTAATTTTACATATCTATGGAGTACAATTTGACATCTTGATAAATATCTATGTTGTATTATGATCCAATCAGTGTAGTGTATCCATCATTTTGTGCATTTATCACTTCTCTGTGGTAAGAATACTCAAAAGCCTCTCTTCCTGCTATTTTGTAATATATGGTATTTTATTGTTAACCACAGTCACCCTACTGTGCAATAATAGAACCCCAGAGTTTATTCTTCCTATCTAATCGTAACTTTGTACCTGTTGACCAACCTCTCTCCATCCTCCCCTCTCCAGTTTCTGGCAACCTGCTGTTCTGCTCTCTGCTTCTATGATATAAATTTTAACAGGTTTTCTTGCTTCAACTATTTTCTCTATTGTTATCCCGTTAATTTCATTGATTTCTGTTATCTTTGTTATTTCCTTCTTTCTGCTGCCTTAGGTTTGCTTTGCTCTTGATCTTTTAGTTTCTTGAGGTAGGAACTTAATTGATTTGAGACTATTCCTCTTTTCTAACACAAGCAGTCAGAGCTCTAACCTTCCCTCTCAGCATTCGTTAGCTATGTCTCACATATTATAAGTTGTATTTTTATTCAGGCCTATGTTTAATTTTTTTTTTCCCTTTGAGACTTATTCCTTGACTTAGGCATTATTTAGAGCTGTTTTGTTTAGTCCCAAATGTTTGGAGATTCTCCTGTTGTCTGTTATTTTTAGTTTGGTTCCATTGTGGCCAGAGAATATACTCTGTATGATTTCATCTTGCAAATTTGGTTAGGTTTGTTTTATGGCCCAGTATGTAGTCATTCTTTGTGAATGTTCTGTGGATACTTAAAGAAAAAATGTATTCTGCTATTGTTGGATGGAATTATTTGACAAGGATTTTAAAGCAGTCACCATAAAAATGCTTCAGGAAGCATTTAGTTAAATGTTTGAAAAAAAAGTCTCAGCAAAGAAATAGTCTCAGCAAAAGCTAGAAGATATTTTCAAAGAACAGCAAATAGAAATTTTATAACTGAAAAATCCAATTACTGAAATAACTCCCTGGGTAGAATCAACTGCAGCACTTTTGAGTTGTAGGCTTCTCTAGCACCCAATTCATGCGGTCTCCACTGTTACTGGAAGATACATGAAACAGAAACAAAAATATAAAAATAAAAATACCACAGGAATTCACCTCTGTGTCTTTCTCTGTATCCTGAAGGTCCTAAATGCCTTTTCCCCTCCAACTTGCAGTGTCTTCTTGTTTGTTTTACATATAATGCCTAGGGGTCTTAGCTGTACTTAGTGGGAGAAATAGGGAGAAGTGTATCTGCTCCATCTTGTCAGGAACTGGATGCCCATACATTATTTTTCACTTGTTCATTGGTCAACTGGCCTACATCTCTTAGAATGTAGATTCTTTGTGAAAACTAGAAATTTTGCATGTTTTGTTTACCATTTTAACAACAATACCTACATTTCCTGGCACATAAGTATTTGTTGAATGAGTAAATCAGGTAATTCAGATTGGGTGGCTGCTGAAATGATAGGAATTCTTGTTATGTGGCTGATGGATTGTTAGTATAGACATACATCAGATAATGAGAGTGAACTTGTCTAGTTATGCTTTTCTAGAGTTAATAACAGGAAAGTAAGTTAAAGATATTAAATAATTATATTTTTTTTATTTTATTATTATTTTTTTGAGACAGAGTCTCACTCTTGTCATCCAGGCTGGAATGCAGTGGCTTGATCTTGGCTCACTGCAACTTACTCCTCCTGGGTTCAAGTGATTCTCCTGCCTCAGACTCCAAAGTAGCTGGGATTACAGGCACCCACCACCACACCCGACTAATTTTTGTATTTTTAGTAGAGACGGGGTTTCACCATGTTGGCCACGCTGGTCTTGAACTCCTGACCTCAGGTGATCCGCCTGCCTTGGCCTCCCAAAGTGCTGGGATTACAGGCATGAACCACTGAGCCCAGCCTTAAGTAATTATATTTTAACAGGCACAATATTTCAAAAACAGGGTGGTGGAAGACAGCATCAGTCCTGTGGTAAAATGGTTGGGAACTCTTCTACCATTTCTGAAAACTGTTTATATCTTAAATGACTAACTTGTACAGAATTATCATGAGAAAAAATTAAAATCAGTATATTTGAGGACATAGAGATATTATGTAGATTATCTTACTAGTATAATATTGAACTGGAAACAAAAACAGATTAGAATATCTAAATAAAATTAGACTAAGTAGCTATTATGAATCTTCAGTGTTACCTTCATTAAAGTAGGAGTTCAATAATGATTCCAATTACAAAATAAGTTGACCAAATAACTCGATTGAATAAGATATATACCTTAGATTAAGGGTGAATGCAAAACCTTCTAAGAATAGATAAATTCAGAGCCCATGACAAAAGAAAATAAAAGGACCAACGCAGGAAATACAAGCAATAAACTGTAAATATTTCACACTTCTGTAGTGCAAATACCTGGCAGGAGACCTGGTGCTTAGCTGATAAAATTATTGCAAAAGCAGGCCGGGTGTGGTGGCTCACGCCTGTAATCCCAGCACTTTGGGAGGCTGAGGCGGGCAGATCATGGTCAAGAGATCGAGACCATCCTGGCCAACATAGTGAAACCCCGTTTCTACTAAAAATACAAAAATTAACTGGGCGTGCTGGCGCATGCCTGCAGTCCCAGTTACTTGGGAGGCTGAGGCAGGAGAATTGCTTGAACCCGGGAGGCAGAGGTTGCAGTGAGCCAAGGTTATGCCACTGCACTCCAGCCTGGCAACAGAGTGAGACTGCGTCTCAAAAAAAAAAAAAAAATTATTTATACATCCAACAATATCGATGAATGTTGAAATCATTATGCTGAATAAAACAAGCAAGACCCCCCCGGAAACAGAACATTCTGTATGAGTCCATTTACATAAAATTCCAGAAAATGCAAACTAAATTAGCAAGAGAAGGCAGAACAGAGGTTGCCTGGAGAGGGGGGAAGAGTGCAGGTAAGGGTGGGAGGAATTATCATGGGACATGAGGAAGCTTTTTTGGGTGACATATTGATAGTAGTGACTGTTTCACAGGTGTATACATGTTAGAACTTATCAAGCTGTACACTTATACAGTTCACTACATATCAATTTCCTTCCATAAAGCTGTTTAAAAAGTCATAAGGAAGCCAGATATGGTAGCTCATGCCTGTAATCGCAGCACTTTGGAAGGCTGAGGCAGGAGAATTGCTTGAGGCCAGGAGTTTAGGACCAGCATGAACAACAAAGAGAGACTCTGTTTCTACAAAAACAAACAAAAAAATTAGCTGGGTGTGGTGGTGTGTGCCTGTAGTCCCAGCTACTTGGGAGACTGAGGTGAAGGATTCCTTGAGCCCAGGAGTTCAAGGCTGCAGTGTGCTATGATTGCACCACTGCACCCCAGCCTGGGTAAAAGAACAAGACCCTGTCTCTAAAAAAATAAAATAAATAAAATTTGTTTTAAAAATCATTAGGTTACATTGCATATTCTAGGCAAATAAATTTGAAAGCCTTGATGAAATGGATAATTTCCAAGGCAAATAAAGATTACCAAAATGGAACCCATTATAAATAGAAAGCCTGAATAGATAACTTTCATAGAATAGAGGAAGTTACCAAGAAATTATCCCACAAAAAAGCATATGACCCAGAAGGTTTCACATCAGAATCTATCCTTCAAAGATTAACTAGTTCTGATGCTTCATAAATTGTTCTAGAGCATTAAAAATGAACACAGACTTAAATTATTTTTATGATGCAAGTAAAAGAGTGAAATCTAAACCTGAAAAATATAGTATAAAAATTATGGACCAATTTCACATGAATATTGAAGGAAATGTACTAAGCAAAATATTAACAAGTAAACCCATTAATATATTAAGAAAATAACACATCATGGCTAAGTGAGGTTTATTCTAGGAATGCAAGGTTGGTTCAATATTAAGAAATCATTTTATATAATAGTAATAGAGTTAAAAAAAACTGTGTGATTTGCAGATACTGGAAAAGCTTTTTACAGAACACAGTCCATCTTTGAAAATAATGAATTTATTAATAATACCTATGCAAAAAATTTAGGGATGTACAGCAGAGGGACACCTAGAATTCTGAGATAATCACTAAAAAGTTTTTAAATACATGGTTCCTGTATTTAGTGCCCTACTATAAAATATATAAGCCTTACTCTCCTATCATGGGTAGAGATTGGGCTACATTATCAACTTGTTGACAGCTTCTAAAGATTCTTTCCTACAGGTTTTAGAACTGAAAAGAATAAGCAAGTTACTTATTAGTCTTCACAATGTTTATTATGTGTTATCTATAAGAAAAAATATCAGTCATTATCTGTCAATAGGCTATACATGAAGTATATTTTTCTATCTTAAAAAAACAGCCGGGCATGGTGGCTCATGCCTGTAATCCCTGAACTTTGGGAGGCCAAGGTGGGCAGATCACAAGGTCAGGAGTTCGAGACCAGCCTGGCCAACATGGTGAAACCCCGTCTCTACTAAAAATACAAAAATTAGCTGGGAATGGTGGCAAGTGCCTGTAATCCCAGCTACTCGGGAGACTGAGACAGGAGAATCACTTGAACCTGGGAGGCGGAGGTTGCAGTGAGCCGAGATCGTGCCATTGCACTCCAGCCTGGGCGACAGGAGCAAGACTCCATCTCAAAAAAATAAAGAAAATAAAGAAGCCAAGCTAGAAAAATATACTCTCTGAAGGGACACCTACACGGTCTTGTGTTGGAGAATATAAAGGTAGTCTCAAATTTACAGAAATTCCCAGCAATTTAATAATATAGTTCCTTTCACTGCATTTACTGAAACATGATATATGTGATTTTTATGTCCTAGGGTACCAATACAAGCCTACTCAGACCAAAAAGAAAATAATATATATATATTTACAACAAACAGTAGACGATAATACTATTGTGTATACTTGCTGAATGAATTAAAGATATGAGATGAGACTAGAGCAGGCATGAAGAAAAAATACCTGTCTCCCAAAACAGAGATAATCATCCAGGAGACAGATCACAAATCCAGAGATGCAACTTATTTCAAAAGTCCTGGTTGCTTACACATATAGACCCCTCTGGAAGGGAAAAATAACTTCTAACATTTCCTTTTCTTGATCTAAGAAACTAATTTAATGTTTTTACTGGCTAAAATGAGCAATTTAGACTACCCATTCCCCATACAACTTGCCCACTTACATTAATTATATTAACTTTTCAATACTGTGGAGGCTCCCTTGTTGAGGTCTGATCTCTGTCTATACAAGTTTCCACAATCCTCTCATTTATAAGAGCCTCTCTAATATGAATTCACTCACTGATTTTTCCCAAGTTCCAACCTCTGAAGACTTTTCCGTACTCATCACACTGGCAGGGTTTCCCTTTACTGTGAATTCTCCAATGCTGAAGCAAGCATCTCCACATTCATCATGTTTATTGTGCAGATTCTCTGGTGCACAGTCAGTCCTGGCTTCTGGGTGAAGGTCTTCCTACATTCTTTATACGAGTTTGTATAAGGTTTCTTTGCTGAACAAAGGCCTCCTCAGTTATTACATTTATGCAGTCTCTCTCTCATGTGGATTCTTTGAAGTCAAATAAGGCCATGTGGCTGAAAACTTTCCCACATTCCTTATGGTGACAGCATTTTTCCTTGTGGTGGTTCTTCTAGGGGGAAAAGAGGGTTCCACTATAAACAAAAGCCTTTCAAAAACTTGTTGATTGCACAGATTGAAAAGAGATTCTCTTCATCGTGGACTCCATGATGCTGAGTAATGACTCACCATAAACTAAAGCTTTTACTACACTTACTGCATTGATGTTGCAGTTCTACAGACATTCCCCCCAACAAAATTCAGCATCTCCAGATTTTGTTTTGTTTTGTTTTGGAGCCAAGTCCTTAGTTTCCTTCTCAGTAACACCATCTAAAACAAAATGCACAGACAATTCAAATGTCAGTTGTCTCTTCTGAAATGAGATTTATGATAGGGTACAGTGATTAAAAATAAAATCCACTTTTACCTAAAGTGCATGCCTTTTCTAAGTCTCTAAACAAGCATCTCATTTTTGTGAAGGCACGTGGCAGGGTAGGAGTAGGGGGGTCCAATTTGGGTGAGAAGAGACAGCTAGGCAGAAAGAGACTGGAAGTGCATGGAAGACTTTTCACAAAAATGTGACAATAAAAGAAATCAGGAAAGTATAATCAAAAAAGAGAAGATCAGTTTGAATCCAAAGCTGAGAAACAAGGAATATCATGAAACCAAGAGAAAGTTTAATTTGTTAAGGACAGTTAAAAGGACTATTTCTACTCACTTTAAGTATCTTGGCTACTACTATAAACCTACAGAATGTTCAATAAATATTTGTTGAGTGGATCAGTAAACAACGGGATATGATCAAAGTTAACTTGAAACAATAGCTAAACCAGTTTCAAAATACACACTAATCTGATGTGGGGAAATCAATAAACTGGAAAATTAACAGTGGGGAAATAAATTTTCTAGGTAATATTCATGTCTAAAATGTAAGAAAGCAACACTCTGAAGCTAAAGGAGTTAAGTGGGTCAAAAAAAACAAAACCCCAATCCCCTACAAATATGGCTGAGATTTCCTACTTAACGAATCAGGTAGATAATGAGAAGGAGATGAGTAGAGACAAGTTTTCTGGGGAGAGGATGCTACTAAAAGTTCTAAAAGCTTCCCGTGAGGCTCTCCTCTTCTTTCTCTCCAGAGATGCTCTCTCATCAGCTTTCCATATCAAAAGGCAATAACACTGAGAGGTAAACTAAGGTAGGATCTTAGGTTTGATCTGAAACCTTTCATTCCAAGGTACTATCTTTGCCAAAAGCATATCTTGTTATATCATTTAGCCTGAGACCTAAAGGCAATGTGATAAAATTGGTCTTGGGAAATGGAATTTGAAGCTAAATCCTAAGTTAAAACACCCAACAAACAAAAAACCCAATATAGAAAGAGGAGGTCCCAGAGATGCACCTAAATAACAGGAGAATTAAAACCTACTATTTATGGGAAATGTTGGGTTATGGCTCCAGAGACATCTGGTGGATCCTAAAGTTCAGGTTTGCTGCTTTCTATCCTATTCCCAAAGCCTTTTGCTAGTCAAGCTATAAGTGATCCTCCCAAGCTTTCCCATCGGTGGTTTGTCCTTCATTCAAACTCTCTCTTCAACTTTTCCAGCATCATCGATTGCCTCGTCTCCACATTCTGGATGATATTATCTTACCTATATCTGCAGCTTCACAAGTAGGGGCCAGGGCCTGTTCCAGCACCTGCTTCATAATATGTATTTCTGGTCTCAGGAACTACTGGCAAAGCTTCCTAAGTCTTCTGACAGCTCTGTGAAGTCCAAGTGGCTTTTTCCAATGCTGGCAAACCTTCCCAAGTCTTCTGACAGCTCTGTAAAGTCCAGGTAGCTATCTCCAGAGAGTAGCAATTTAAAGTTTGAGGAAAGACCTGTGATTTCTTTGCCAGCCTGATTCTTTGTTCTAGGCACAGCCTTCTTCCTTTACCATCAGTCACTATTAGAGATCTCTCCTGAAACAAGATTGCCATTCTGGAATGAGAGAGCTCAGGAGAAGATTCACTCCAGCTTGGGGTTCAGAGTGATTTTTCAGAAGTATTTCCTTGTAGCTGGTCTTCTTCCTGAGGCATAAAATAACAATGTTAACAGAAGCTAAATTTTGTTTACTTCTTTAGCCAAGAACTCACTTATCTGAACAAGGCACTGAAAGAAAACGGAACTCTGTCAGGAAGGTAAATAAATTAGGAAAGCAAAAGTGACTGCAAATTATTAGCTAGCCCCATCTGCTAGCCTTTTACTCTCTAAAAGTTTTTATTAATAAAACTTTAAAGATCATGACCCTCTTCCCTTGGCTCCCCCCCACTTCAAAATACCCATATAAACGGCAGAGATAAGAACATCAGAAATGAAAAATAACAACGGCTAATATTTATTTAAAATGCACCATACATGCAATATCCTGTATAAACGGCAGAGATAAGAACATCAGAAATGAAAAATAACAACAGCTAATATTTATTTAAAATGCACCATGCATGCAGCCATTTAAGTAGACACTTATAATCTCACTGACAGAGGAATAAAACTGAGGCACAGAGAGATTAAGTAATTTGCTCAAAGTCACACAACAGCTAGGTGGATTCTGTCTTTTCTTGTACTCAGCGTCGATCTTGGGAAAATCATGAATCACATAATTTCCCCAAATGAACCCAACTTTCCTTTCACCAAACGGGGAACCCAGACTCCTTTTTCTCAACAGCCAGTTTTCCTGATACCTCAAAACTTGGAAGTCATCCTTAACTTCCCCTGGCAGCTCTCAACCTATCAGGCCCAACCTCACCAGAGACACTGAAAGGCCGGAGCGCACGAATCTGAAACCACCCGCCTCCAAAGGTCCGTCACAAAGGCCAGAAAGGTCGGTACTTTCACGTGCCGCTGCCGTCAACGGCTGTCTCAGCATTCAGCTTCTCTAGGATTCTGGAGGCTTTCTCCTCTCTGTGGTTGCCCGGCCGAACCCCGCCCCAGCTGAGCAGCGCAAGTTCCAGCTGAGCAGTCAGGTAACCCCAGGGGCCCATGCTCCCAGGCCGGGGCGCGTCAGACCCGTGCGAGGCCGGCCTTCCAGCTGCAGAACGTCGGAAGAGCAGCTCGGAAGGCAAACTTCGGATAGCAGGGGCCGCTAGGTACCTCTGATAACTAACAGGGGCGGAGACAAAAGGGAAGAAATCTCTCCTTTCCAGCTTGGGCGATAAGTGTCCCCTGCTGGCCACTGCTCATCAGTTCTCCAGCAGGAAAGTAAAAGTATACCTGGGTGGGAGCTTTTATCTCAGGGCTAGGAGGACTGTGCAGCAGTCTGGGAAACATGCAGCTTGGTTAAAGGTAAATTTTGACCTGGGTCACTGGCATCTAGAGACAATGCATTTGAGAGAGCCCACAACAACAATCAAAATAGCAGTTGTAAAGCACTAATGTGCCAAGCACTATTCTAACACTTCGTAAACTCATTTAATCTACATTGGGTTGGTACTATTATCCTTGTCATTTTACATAGGAGGAAACTGAGGGACGAGAGGTTAAATCCCTTGCCCAAAGTCACTTAGCTAGTAAACTGAGATTCGAACCATGGCAATCCGTCTCTAGAATCCAGGTTCTTAAACCCTATCTCAGGAATAAGTAGGGAATTTGGCCAGAGGAAGCTGCAGAGTCCCTAAACTGCCTCAATCTTTATCAGGGATGAAATGAGGAGACATCTACTCCTAAATTCGTTACTGAAGTAGGCAGAACTAAGGCACTAGATCAAAACACTAAGATATGCCCACTAAGCTTGAAGAGGAGTAATGATGATGTAATCATAAATCAAAAGTAACAAATGGCTTCCACTATGGAGCCCTTCTTGGGACTTCCAGGAGCAGGCCAACTGGGCTTAGGAAAATGACTGGCAGGAGCAAACAGACATATACCCTAGAGATTAACTTGAACTATGATAGGTGAAAGCTCTGGGAGCCTTGACTGATGGGTTTCTGACACCTAAATGGTGTTTTTAACGTGTATGAAGAGAATCAACTGTCTCTTCAAGAGATGAAATCAAGGGAAAACTGCTGGCTCTAAATGATGGTCTTACAATGTAAGCTAGGGGGCTAATCAACTGAAAAGTTTAAAACACTTATCATAGTTGGCTTTGTCAACATCAAATTATATACATGAGGTCATATATATGTAAAATACAAATTACAACACAAAAATATTCATACATACTTTTTACACATTTATATATATATGTAGAAATACTATACAAGTAAAAAATAATGTGTGAGGACTCCTTACCAAACGCACACAGAACGTTTGAGAGGGAGAGGATCCAAAGAAATTCCAATAAAATGAGCTGCTGTAGTGACTGTGGTATATAACTTTTCGGTTTAAAGGATAAAAGTTGGGAAGAGATTCAATTAAAGGCTATCGAATGATTATGTCTAGGTTGAACAACAAGCATTTGCTCAAATTCTGGCCTTGTGGAGTTAGGAGGGTCACCATTTGAACTGTAAAATTGGTAAGTCTTAAGCAAAGAAAAATATCATATATCACATATATGTGTGTGTGTGCATTTTTAAATCCAAGAAGTATCTTCTAATATAAAATCACTTTTGAAAACTGGCATTAAAGATAGATCCATAATGGGTTATCAACACTTGGGGACAAATCTTTAAATCTTTCTGTATTAAATTAGACAGCCAAATATTCCTTATTCTGTGAGAATAATGCAGAGTGATTTATCATTCTAAGAAGGGTGATCTTTTCATATAAAGAGCCCATTTTTAAAGTGGAATGTCTCCTGTGACACCCTCACTGTGCAGGCAACAAGAAGTAGAGCTGTTTATGCTGGCCAAACCTCATCCAAGATTTGGTATGCAGAGGGGGTGATAATATTATTACCTGAGGTGTTTGGACTCCAGGACTTTCTGAATCATTTTTCAGAATAATGACTGGAGATAAAAAGTTTTTACAGATAATTACTCAAGACACTGAATTACCACTGCAACACATGGTTTGTTCAACTGAAATAAAGAGAGGAAGTGTATCACAGAGGTTAAAAGTGTGAACTCTGGAACTGGGCTGCTTGGGTTCAAATCTTGGCCTGACCACATACTAACTTCGGGACCTTGAGCAGCTTTAGATTATCTATTTCAGTTTCCCCAGCTGAAAGTGAAATGTTGTAAGTAAAGCATTTAGTAATGTCTGGCCCTTAGTAAGCAGCTAATAAGTGTGCGGTATTGTCATTAATAAATCCTTTTCTCAATTCCAAAAGATGGCCAATAAGAACAGCTTTGTTTTGACTATAACAACTCTACAAATAATCTGTATATTAACAAAAGTGGCTACTTCTGTACTGAATACAGGAATGCAGACTTGTCTAAGTTCTTCTATCTTAGAGGTCTCTACAACCAACCTCATTATACAGTTGAGATGTCTCAATTTGGAGCCCTGCTCAATCCCACTGTCTTTCCTCATTAGCTTCATCTCGTACCTCAAACTCTGGCAACCTCTTAATACAATTTATTTTTGGAAGGAGGGCCCCATTCTTTTTTCCTCTGCAGTCACTTCCCACTGCACTCTCTGGAATCAGTTTGATTGTCAGGTTACGTTTTCATTCATAGCCCGTGTTGAAACTCACCTCACTTTTCATTACTTTAGAAACTTGGCTCTTCCCCAACCTCTCCATGCTTTTTGCCTTAAACACTTAATGTCTTGTTTACCTTGAATCAATTAGAAAAGACAAGCCAGTCAATCTTATTCTTATTCTTAATATTATTTGCAAGCTTTATGATTCATTCAAGTTTTACAACAGATACTTCTATCTGGCCATTGTTACTACAATTGATGACCGTTATTTCTACCTTGGACCTGCTTCGCTTTTATATTCTTCGTTTCCATCCCACCCCGTTATTGTTATTTCAAAATCCACATACATAAAATGCTTCAGAGGTTTCTGGTTTCCTAGGATCTTGTCACTGTCACACCACATCTATATGTTATCCACAAAATGTACTCCTGACTTCATCACAAAGCATTCTCTCTTCACTGCATTCCCTAATGTAGCACTCCTATTCCATATCTAACATGTCACATCCTCCATTTGCCCCTCAGGGCCTTCAATTTGCCTATATTGCCAATTTAGCTCCAATTAGTAGCCTTATTCTACTATATTTCCTCTTTATCCTGGAAAGCTAGTTTAATCCTCTTTGATGCCTACCTGGAAATTCCATGTCACTCCACCTTTTTTTGGTACTACAACTGTATTTAAGCATGAGAAATAACCAGAACAAAACCCCCACGTGTATTTTTATTTTTATTTTAATTTTTGTTGAGATGGAGTCTTGCTCTGTCACCAGGCGGGAGAGCAGTGGTGCCATCTCAGCTCACTGCAACCTCCACCTCCCGGATTCAAGCGATTCTCCTGCCTCAGCCTCTCGAGTAGCTGGGATTACAGGCATGTGCCACCACGCCTGGTTAATTTTTGTATTTTTAGTGGAGATGGGGTTTCACCACATTGTCAAGATGGTCTCAACCTCCTGACCTCGTGATCCGCCCACCTCGGCCTCCCAAAGTGCTGGGATTATAAGTGTGAGCCACTGCACCCAGCCTCCACATTTATTTTTAAACAAGTATGAACTGTACCCTCCTATAATAGGCATATTCCATTGTTCTGAGTCTTTGTTTATGGTCCCTTTATAATATTAGGTATATAAGAAAGATTAAGTAGTGTGCAGAAAGGCAAATGGAGGAATGTGCGCAATGACAGAACATATTAAGCAGAAAATGAACTGGAAAGACCCCAAGTAAAGGCACTCAGAGGAGTAGAAGGCAAGTTTAAAACAACGATTGCATTCCAGCGAGCAGTCAGATTAAAAGAGAGGCTCTGAAGTTACTATGAACAGTAATTTCAGTTTGGATAACAAGTCTATAAAATCAGATTAGATAAGGAGTATGCATAGCATGTTTGGTAAGGAGAACATTCTCACACAGGTTCTCATCACTAAGTAAAGTCCCCTCCACTGAGAAGAGTTTCTAACAGTGAAACAGCAAAAGAACTACCATAACTAACTCCATTTTTGTTTAAGGACCCTTTACCTATTCCTCCATGTAGGCTAATTTTAGAGCAGAGATAATATGCAAAAACAGCAATCATGTAGTTTTAAAAACTAACTCTGGGATTAAAGAAGTATGTATAACAATTATGTTTTGTTGAAGATTTGCAGGAGCATTGTGACCCAACCAATGACAAAGAAGTTCCCAACCTCCTTGGACTCTTGCTGGCGCCCAGATGTCTGTGGTCATAGGTCACCTCTTCATCCCAACTCTGTCCTCTTCCCTTTGCCCTTAACATAAAAAGAGCCGAGCCCAACATTTGTACTGACTTAAGATGGTACTTTAGGACAGTAGTCTACCATCGTCTCAGTTTGCTGGCTCTCCGAATAAATCTGCTTTTCCTCGCACCAATTTTCTTCTCTCCCGAGTTTTGGCTTTGGAGCCGCAAGCAGCTGAACCTTGGTTTGGTTACAAGTTTGCATTCTCATTATGTGAGAAATGGGAGGCAGGGTAAACTTAGGTAGAGCACAGGCCTCACATACTTAGAGCTACAGAGCTCCCAGACTCACTCTGGGTTCCTTGTTTCCTGGAGGAAAAAAACTAGGTTTCCAATCCCAGTTGCCTCAGTGCCTCATGTGTGCAACTCCAATGCTGGGGTTATGAAAAAAGCCTAACTAAGCAGTCCTCAACTTATGAGTAAGTTGTTTTTCAACTGTTCATTTGCCTTTCTCTCTTGTGAACTCAAGAAGGTTTTTCCACACAGAAAGTCATGTAAGTTCCAATCCCAGAAGCCAATTTGACACCTAATATACCTGAATTATAATACTTATACCATTATGACTTCTATGGGAATATGTGTTCATATTTACAACTTAGCTAGAAACATAATATTCCTATAGGACCAGAGACGCTTCTAGTTCCAACCCAGGGATGAAATTCTATACAGGGTTTATGGCTAGAGAGGCAAGAGACAGGGGCACTAAGAAAATGGGGCTGGGGAGTATATTACAGGAGTGAAGAGAAGATGGGACAAAGACACAGGGCTGTGTAGAAAGGTAATTAGGAGTGGGACTTACTAAGGAAGAATGCAGATTACCCTTCTTTTATTTTTCCCCTTCCCCTTTTGTCACTGTCTCACCACTTCAAACCCACTAACCAGCTAGAAGTGTGAAGAGAAGAGAGGACTGGAGTTGTGTTGGGGTGTAGTAGGAAGTTAGTCCCAGAAACTGTGGAGTTTGCTGTGGCAGGGTAGAAAAGGAAGGAAATAACAGGCCATCTCAGTAGAGATTAAGAATGATTTCTGTAAATAAAAAGACAGATCAGGAGCCATGTGTACTTCCATGTGGCTTATCTGTTGTCCACTAAAATAATCAAGACAGGTTCTCATCCAAAGCAGAATTTTTACTCAGCAAGGCAAGGTTAGAGTCAACCAGTTTTGGTTGATTCATTTTTCAGAAGCCCAAGGGATAGTATCTCTAATTTGGGGTCCTTTTATGTGCTCAAGAAGTAAACAAACCAACAAAATGTAAATCAGTTCTCAAGAGCCATTATTAGGGAATTCAGAACATAGTGCTAACATGAGATCTGAGAAATAAAAGAAGGTAAAGCATAAAACAGAGAAGAGCACCAGGCCCTCCCCTAAATAAACAAACAACACAAGGCCTTGCACTCAGAAGACCCTTGGAATGTAGGTCTGTCTCTCTTTCTTTGAATACTTAAATCTGAAGGGATGGAAAGACCACCTAAAAATCCTAGTTTTTTGGCATGATGGGGGTCTAATTCCTTGTTCACTCCAAAGAGCTGATGGCACATGTTCCCTGTAAGGATCTCCTTGTGCTAAAAGTCTGCAGTGGCCTTTAGTTTATAGGACTGTGTTCAGGCTTCCCCACTTCGCAGACAGCCATGAAGTCAGCTGTCATTCAACTCAACGCTTCTCAAATTTTAAAGTATATTAAGTAACTGTGGAGCTATAAAAATGAAGATTCTCAACTCCCATCCTAGGCCTAATGAAGCAGAATGTGAGTGGGATTCAGGGATGTTAAACAAGCTCCAAACATGATTTTGATGTTCATCAAAGTTGGAGGATCACTAGAGTAATGGCCAGGACTAGAAGTCAAAAGACCTGCACTTAGGTTACTGGTCTTTTTCTTTGTGTGGGATTATAGCTATGTTGCCATCTCCATAGGCAAGAGTATTCTCATTTTTAAAATGGAGAATGCTTTTGATTTACCAAGGTATTTTAGGAATTGAGAAAAGTGCTCTGTAAATGTCCAAGTGCTATAAAGTATTAGATGAAATTATTCACACTCTGGCCCTCTTATGTGTCTGTCCCCAAGCTGTTTCCAACTTAATGCTATTGATTGCCCAATTTGCACGAACCTTTTACTTCAGGTTGGCTAGTCTTTTCCCTGATGCTTCCAAACCACATGCACTCTTATGATGGCTTACATTTGTTTTACCCGCTTTCTCCCTTTTGACTGCTAAGTCTGCCCGTCAAATCCTTATTTTAAATAAAATCTTTCTTGACCACTCCAGGCAAAAGTAACCTGTCCTTTAGAATTTACAGCACTTATAGTCTGTTACAAAGTACCACTTTCATTCGACACCATCTGGTGCATCAATTCTACTCTCCTGTAGTCTTATATGACTAAATATGTGGATCTTATCTATCCCAAACTAGGCTACAAACTCTCTGAGAAAAGAGTTTGGGGTTATCTTCTTGTTCTCCACAGCACGTAGTACAATGGGCAGCACACAGTGAATTCTTATTAAATATCTGAGGTTTCCTTATAACAATGGTGACTGAAGTTTTGCCCCAATAATTGTAAAGCTAAATAGTATTTCTCACCGGCCTGAACTCTGTGAGATAACTTCCCTGTAGTCATCACACAGAAACAGATTTTTCTCCTTTGTGGATAGTCTGATGTTGAGTAAGAGCTGAGTTCTGCCTGAATGATTTCCCACACTCTTTACATACATAGGTACCACGTCTATTATGGATTCTCTGGTGTTTACTAAGATCTGACCTCTGTCTGAAGGCTTTTCCACACTCATCACATTGGTAGGGCTTCTCCCCAGTGTGGATTCTCTGATGCTGAATGAGGCTGGTGATTCCTCGGAAGGCATTCCCACACTCATCACACTTGTAGGGCCTCTCTCCAGTGTGGATTCTCTGATGTTCCGTGAGGACTGATCTTTGAGTAAACGCCTTCCCACACTTATCACATTTATAGGGTCTTTCTCCAGTGTGAATTCGCTGATGTTCTGTAAGACTTGTCCTTTGAATAAAGGCTTTTTCACATACGTCACATTTGTAGGGTTTTTCCCCAGTGTGAATTCTCTGATGCTGAATAAGGCCACTCTGACTGAAGGATTTCCCACATTCCTTACACTGATAGCATTTTTCTTTGTGGTGGATTTCCTGATGGGAAACAAGGGATGAGTTATAAACAAAGGCTTTTCCACACTCGTTGCACTCATACGGCTTGGCGCCGGTATGAACTCCTTGATGCTGAGTAAGTATGGAACGCCGACTAAAACTTTTATTACACTGAGTGCACTGATAAGGTTTGTCTCTTGTGTGGATCTTGATATGGTGAAAGAGGCCTGCTTTCTGACTAAAGGCTTTGCCACAGTCATTACAGTGATAGTGTTTTTCTCCTGTGTGAAGTCTCTGATGTTGGTTAAGAGCTGACCACCGGCCAAAGGCTTTGCCACATTCATTACACTTATACGGTTTCTCTCCAGTGTGTATTATTTTGTGTCGAATAAGCACAGTTCTCCCACGGAAAGCTTTTCCACATTCTTCGCATTTGTAGGGTCTATCTCCAGTATGGATCCTCTGATGTTCTATGAGGTGTGAGTGCTGACTAAAAGCTTTTCCACAGTCATCACATCCGTAAGATTCTTCTCCTGGACAGATTCTCTGATGTTCAGTATGGTCAGAGTTCTCAGTCAGGCTTACTCCATTTTCATCACAGGTAGGTTGTTTATCTTCTCTGGAGCAAGCAGAGGGCTCTTCTGTTATTTCTTCAGGTTCACGAGTTTCTCCACACCTAGCAGACTTGGACATATCATTTTCAAATTTACTGGATGTCTTCCCATGTGGTTCCATTTCTTCAGAAACTTCTTGCTTTAAATTCCCATACTCATTTCCAGTCTCAACATCTAAAACTAAGAAGGGATCATAAATGTTACCTCTTTCTACCTTTAAAATGTATCCATACATTTTAATATTAAGCAGCTGTTTAGAAATAAAAAATGCAAGAGTCTACCATCTTAGTGATAAAGAGAGCAAAATATATTTGTTTCAATATGGAAAACATATGCATCAAAAAAATATCTGGAAGGACACACGAAAAATTAGTAACAGTTACAACCTATTTCAGAGTAGGAGGAAGAGACTAGGTGGCTGGGAAAATCGAGTAGAATAGAAACTTTTCATTAAATAACTTAAAAAATTTTTGTTTTTGAGCCATGTACATTTTTACCTACTTAAAAAATTAAATGAAAATGAAAAGGATGCAGAGAAAGTAGAAATAAGGTAGCGGATCTTTCACACATTCACCAACTTTTAATATTTTGCAACATTTGTTTTATTATTTTTTCTTTTTCTTTTTTTTTTTTTTGAGACAGTCTTGCTCTGTTGCTCAGGCTGGAGTGCAGTGGGGTGATGTCAGCTCACTGCAACCTCCGCCTCCTAGGTTCAAGCGATTCTCCTGCCTCAGCCTCCTGAGTAGCTGGGATTACAGGCACGCGCCACCATGCCCAGCTAATTTTTGTATTTTTAGTAGACACGGGGTTTCACCATGTTGGTCAGGCTGGTCTCGAACTCCTGACCTCGTGATCCACCCACCTTGGCCTCCCAAAGTGTTGGGATTATAGGCGTGAGCCACCGCACCCAGCCTGTTACTCCTTTTCTTTGTAAGTATACAAATTTTTTTTTTCTTGAACCATCTGAAAGTTAGTTGCAGACATAATGGAGCAAAGGCTTATTTAGTGAAGCAGAAAGGATATAGTGCAAGTGGAAGATAGAGGTATTGTCTGATAGGATAAAGGCTAAAAATAGCAAGGAGGTCAGTATAAAGAGAGATAAATATCAGAAGGACTAAATTAAGTGGTAAAGCCAGAATTTAGAAGAATATGAATATACAAAAAAGTAAGGGTTGAAGAGTGACAAACTAGGCTGTCTGAGAGTCTATATATGAGCCATCAGATTCTGAGACGGCCTTTTTGACTTTAATGATCAGAAACAGTAGCAAGTACAAAAAAGCCCCAATGTCCTATGTTACCCATCTTCCCCTTCCTCCCAAGATGGGTCTTTCTTCTTTACCTTGCTCCTGTTGGGATTCAAGTTCTGGAGATTCATACTTTGGCTGGGCTTTCATGGACTGGAGGGACATACTGGGTTCTCCTTCTTTTCGTAGACGTACCGTCTCCTGCAAGAACATTTCCTGTTCCCCAGTGTGGACTGAGACCTGAGGAAAATGAGATGTAGCTGACAGACTCACTCTGATAACAGAAAACAAAAAGTATACTATTTGTGGCAGTGGCTGAACCCTGAAATGACCTTTTTCCCAGATATAAGCCTGCCATAACCCTACCCATTCTTCAAGGCCAATATAAATGTCGCCTCCTCTGGGGAATCTTCCCTTCTCCACCCAGATGTAATTTCTCCTGTTGTTACCGCTAAAGTATGTTGGTTGTGCCACTGTTACCTCTTTATCTTATGCTTAAAGAAGTGGAGAAAGGAAAGGGAGAAAGACAAAACAAAGGAGAGAAGAAAAAGGTGAAAAGAGGCAGAAAGGAGGAAATAAGATAGAACTTAGGGTAAAATAAAACATTAAGAGAGAAAGAGGAAAAGGAAAGGGGATATGTAAAGGTAAATAATGTAGAGAAATGATAAAAAAAAAAAAAAAAAGGCACCCTTGGGATGCCATGGTGGGAGGATTGCTTGAGGCCAGGAGTTTGAGACCAGCCTAGGCAATATAGCAAGACCCCATCTCTCCAAAAAAATTAAAAATGATCTGGGCATGGTGGTGCACATCTGTAGTCCTAACTACTCAGGGGACTAAGGCAGGAGGACTGCTTGAGCCCAGTTCAAGGTTATAGTGAACTATGATTACACTACTGAACTCCAGCCTGGGTGACAGAGACACTGTAGCTCCAAAAAAAAAAAAAAAAAAGGTTGAAGGGAACAAATGAGGAGAAAGAAAGGGAAAAGAAGGGAAGGAGAGAAATCTCTTCCATATTCATTCCCTAAGCTGTTCCCAATAGTCTCTGCTCTTCTGAGGTGCCCGTCCCACTTCTCTCTGGGAAGATTATCTTATTTTCTATTTATCCAAGATCACAATCATCTCAAAAATCATCTACTCTTCATTTTATCTATCTCCACCCTCATACTCCTCTCCATTTCTTCTATCTTAGGATGATGTCTTCTCTTTTTCAAGGCTTACGTCTCTACTTTTGCCTTCAATCCCATCACTTTTGGCTTCTCTCTGACCCTTGCTCCCTCAGTTAACTCATTTATTCAATTTCAGCCACTGGGTGGCTCCCATTCTTCCATGGGCTTATTTCCTCTTGCATTTAAAAATAACAGGTTTCTTCAGCAAGGTATTGTAAAAAGCAGGGATTTGGAATCACATGGATTACTTACTCTCTCTCTTAGTCTAGTAGCTCTGTGACCTTGGGCTAGTTACTTACTCTCTCTGAGATTATAAATAACATTTGTATAAACCACCTTGCACAGGGATTGGCATACAACAGGTTCTCAAATTACTCCCCCATTCTCTTCAAAGGTTAAATTTTATAACTAAGAAATCACCATATACTGCCTCTATTTCCCTGATACATTTTCATTTTGTAGCCTCAGTCTTCAGAATAAAAGCGAGAGTCAGCAAAATGCTATCTCAGATGTATAGAAAACGGTGTTTTGATATCTCATATTTTGAAAAAAGAAAGCCGGGGGAAAAGGCCAGTACTGCGAGCTGTGCCTTCTATTCTGGGATCTCTGGTCAGGCCTCAGAAATCAAGCTGTAAACTCCATTATATGCCCCTGCAGTGCTTTCAGAGAAAGAACTGGTTGGCAATACAAATTCAGCACATTTAAAACCAAATTACTTTTGTCTGCATCTAAGAATCCCATTCTTTGTACCTCCCTAGCTACTCTGTTTCTACTGCTCATTACTCCCTTCATGATCTCATCCTATCTCGTGGCTTTAAATACTATGCGTATTCTGAAAAGCCCCAATTCTGTAGTTCTAGCACAGACCCTTCCACTGAATTCCAGTTTATTATATCTAGTTGTTTGCTCAACTTTTCTGCTTGGATTCTAATAGGAATCTCAAAATTAACATGTCCAAACCCTGTTTTTTTTGTTTTTTTGAGGCAGAGTCTCACTCTGTCGTCCAGGCTGGAGTGCAGTGGCAAGATCTTGGTTCACTGCAACTTCCGACTCCTGGGTTCAAGCGATTCTCCTGCCTCAGCCTCCTGAGTAGCTGGGATTATAGGTGCCTGCCACCACACCCAGCTAATTTTTGTATTTTTAGTAGAGACAGGCTTTCATCATGTTGGCCAGGCTGGTCTTGAACTCCTGACCTCAGGTGATCTGCCCACATTGGCCTCCCAAAGTGCTAGGATTGCAGGCTTGAGCCACCGTGCCTGGCCCAAACCCTAAGTTTTGATTCCTGTCTTTCCACCCCAAACCCACTTCTCTCCCAGTCTTTACCATCTCTATGAATGACAAATCCACTCTATCTGATGTTCAGACCAAATACTTCGGCATAATCCTTAACTTACTTTCTCTCATATTCCACATTCTATATAAAAACAAACCCTGTCAAGCTCTAGCTCCAAAATATATCCAGAATCCAATCACATTTTACCACTCCCACTGCTACTATTCTAGTCCAAGTCACCAATATCTCTTGCCTGGATTATTGCTTATTATTATTGCTCCTAAAATGGTTTCGTTGCCTCTACCTTTTACTCCTATGGCTACCCCAGCCCCATTGTGGAACTTTCTCACAGTAGCCAGAGTGACTATTTTAAAATTCAAGTCAGATTATATCTCGCTTCTGTTCAAAATTCTCCAATGACTTTCCATCTCAGAATACAATTCGAAATTCTTATAATGGCCTACAAGTTCTGACATAATATAATCTTATAAGCATTTTATTTCATCTCCTCCTTGACAACCACATCTCCACCATGATAAGTACATTCTCACTTTAAGACCCTCTGCCTGAATGCTGTTATCCCTGATAGCTTATGGCTTGCTCTTTTCATTCAGATTTCTCCTGTAAATGTCACCTATCTGAAAAACCTTCTCTGACAAGTCTACAGAAAACAGCACAATCCCCACTTATTTCACTATTCCTTTTCTCTGCTTTTATTGTTGTTGTTGTTTGAACAGAATTTATTACCACCTACATCTTGTAGGTGTTTGTTGATTTTTTTTTTTTTTTTTGGAGATAGGGTCTCACTGTGTCGCCCAGGCTGGAGTGCAGTGGTATGATCGTGGTTCACTGCAGCCTCGATCTCCTGGGCTCAAGCAATCCTCCCACTTTAGCCTCTCAAGTAGCTAGGACTACACACACCTGCCTGGCTAATTTTTGTATTTTTTATAGAGATGGGGGTCTCACTATGTTGCCCAGGCTGGTTTGTTGATTTTTAATTTACTATCTGTCTCAGTGGACCAGAACCTACATGAGAGCAGCAACCCCTGTGTTTTGTTCGCTGTTGCATTCACAGTGCCTAAAACAGTACCTAGTCCAAACAGACATTCGGTAAATATGTGCTTAATTGTTTCCTGCAGTCTTTAACTTTGTTAGGAGTGTCTCCATTATACTAGTCTTTCAAGCTTAAAATCCCTAGTGTTTAGCTTAGAATACATTGCTCTGTAAAGAGTTCTCCATTGGTTCTTCCTTCTTTATTTAATAGAGCTAATCTGTCATCACTTCCAAACAGTTCTTACCTAAGACATGCCTCATCCTTGGTAATCACACTTTCACGATCCTATTTCTTTTTTCTGTTTGTTTGTTTGTTTTGTTTTTTAAACGGAGTCTCACTCTGTTGCCCAGGCTGGGGTACAGTGGCACAATCTCGGCTCACTGCAACCTCTGCCTCCTAGGTTCAAGTGATTCTCCTGCTTCAGCCTACCAAGTACCTGGGATTACAGGCATGTCCTGCCACACCCGGCTGACTTTTGTATTTTTAGTAGAGACGGGGTTTCACCATGTTGCCCAGGCTGGCGTTGAACTCCTGACCTCAGGTGATCCACCTCCCTTGGCCTCCCAAGCGCTAGGATTACAGGCATGAGTCACCGTGCCTGGCCTCATGATCCTATTTCAAACTTAGATATTTTTGCCACATGTTCCTACCCTCTCTATTGCATTTTGTATCACAGTGCTAGATTATACTTCTGTTTCATTATTTCCCTAAGTTTCAAACTCTTTATACCGGGGTTTCCCAGCATTGGCTCTACTGACATGTTCCTAGCATTGGCTCTACTGACTTTGTTGTCTGGGGCTGTCCTGTGTGTTTTAAGAGGTTTAGCATTAGCCTTGCCCTCTCTACCCACTAGATACTAGCAGCACCTCCCCGAGTGATCCACTAGATACTAGCAGCACCTCCCCAAGTTATAACAACCAAAAATGTCCCAAGACATTGCCAAATGCCCTCTGGTGCACAAAATTGGCACTGGTTGAGAACCACTGTCTCATTTTAGTATTAAAAACAAAACAAAAACGTTCTACATAATTTGGTTCTCTTTTACATCTTACAATTAGTAAAGCTCATTTAGACTCAAGGAGAAAAGGTTAGGGGCATCTGTCCTACAGAATAAAATCTCAATTCCAGAGGTTGAGATTCAAGGTCCTGGACACTATCTCAACTCTGCTATTTGGAATTCACCTTTCCAACCTAACTGGGCTTTCTGCTACTCAAAGAAACACAGATTCCCCACCCTGCTCTCCTCACTAACTTTCCATTGTACTCCCACATCTCATTCCCCTGAAATAGTTAATGTCTTCATTTTAAAACCCTGTAATGGAGTCAGAGCAATGGATATATCTGCAAAACCTTAATTCTTAATTATTTGTATTGTGCAACAGAGTGATGCCCCTCCAAGAGACTGCTTCCCATCCTGCTACTGTCATCTCTTTGATACTTTCTCTTGTCTTAGAAGTTTTCTAAGATGAGCAGCATGTTTATCAAACAGAATTTTGTAGCTTAATAGAGAAATATAAAATCCTTCCACAGAAAAGTTATAAATAAGTTGGGACCACATTAGCCAACTTTCCGTGAAACTCATGCCCCTTTCTGATGCACCAAACTGTCAAAAACATGCTTTGTGAAAAAATGGCTGTTCTTCACTCTGGCCTAGAAATCCACAATTTATGTTTTCTCAAGCAGAAGTCACATCTTTTTTCTCACCTGCTCTCCTGGTTCATCCAGTTCTCTCTCTAAATCCTCCAGCACAGTCACCACCTCCTCCCCACTCTCTGGATGCTGCTCCTGCACCCAGGCCTGGAGCTCCTCAGGTAGGATGGTCAGGAACTGCTCCAGCACCAGCAGCTCCAGAATCTGTTCTTTGGTGTGGGTCTCTGGCCTCAGCCACTGATGGCAAAGTTCTCGGAGTCGGCTCAAAGCCTCACGGGGACCAGATGTCTCCTGGTAGCAGAACTGTCTGAAGTACTGACGGAAGACCTCTCTGCTATGGGTGTTGTTTTTACGCAGGTCCCAATCCTGTCTGGTGGTATATTTCTCTTCCTCTATCTTTACTTCCAAAGGTTCATCCTGGTCCATGTGGGCCTGGATAGCCCAAGTAGATGCCATTTTAGCTGTGCTAGAACTACCGGTGTTTCAAGTAAGATCTCACCTGGAAACTGTATTCCTGGACAGTCCTGAAGAATAAGCCATCATTATTAATACAAACTCCACCATAAAGTAAAACTGCAAATTCTGAGAACTTAACTATGACCTTTGAAATCTGACCTCCGGATTAATGTACAATACTTACTCAGAAAAATACTCTGATAGAAAAGACTTAAGATTAGACCGATTTAGGCCGGGCACAGTGGCTCACGCCTGTAATCCCAGCACTTTGGGAGGCCGAGTCGGGCGGATCACGAGGTCAGGAGATCGAGACCATCCTGGCTAACATGGTGAAACCCCGTCTCTACTAAAAATACAAAAAAAAAAAAAAAAAAAAAATTAGCCGGGCGTGACGGCGGGCGCCTGTAGTCCCAGCTACTCAGGAGGCTGAGGCAGGGGAATGGCGTGAACCCGGGAGGCGGAGCTTGCAGTGAGCCGAGATCGCGCCACTGCACTCCAGCCTGGGCGACAGAGCGAGACTCCGTCTCAAAAAAAAAAAAAAAGATTAGACTAATTTAAAGAGAAAGACTGAGGAAAGGTGCCAAGTTGTTTCAGGACTTAAGAGTAAGACTTGTTGGTAAACTTATTCTCATTTGGTCCTAAATGAAAGACAAATGGAATAAAACTAACATTTAGATCAAGTAAATAATAATAACAAAAGGTTAGGACATCCTTGATTAGTTACTTTTATCTTTTGAATGTCCAGATGTCTGGTGGAAACCATGAAATCACAAAAGCTACAGTCATGTAAATTTATTTCTTCAGGGACTTAATCTTTCTGCTCCTCATTCTTCATTTATAAAGTGAGAAGGCTGAAGAGGTTACTCTTTAAGGCTTCCCTCTAACCTCGTGGTCTGTGATTATAATCTGAAGTGAGGAAGGCCCAGGAAAGGGTCCCTAGGACGCCGGCGAGCGTCTGTGACCCACCACTGTCCAGAAATGTCGGTAAGCGCTGAACCCAAGGATACACAGCCCGAAGCAAACGCGGAAGGTATGGGCCTTACAGCCTGGAATTGCTGCAGAGACTGGGAGCCAAACCCTCATCCTAATGTCCCAACGCACTTTGGGGAGGGAGAGCTTCCCGCGGATCCGCCTGGGTTTGGGAGGACCGGGGTCCACTCTGCACCGGCCAGGGCCTGAGGGGCCCAGCAGCTGGAATACAGCAATCTCCCGCCCACCTGCTCGCAGCGTACAGAGCACAACATCGCTCACCTGCGGCCCCCAGGGCCAGAAGAGAACTCCCTCCTACGGAGCGAAGGCAAGAGGCCTCGAACCCTTTTGGGACCCGGAACCCATCAAAAGTGACCCACAAAGGCCGGAAGCGGCCACGGGGGGTCTAAGAACCAGCCCGCGCGGGGCGCACTTCCGCGGCCGCTCTAGGAAGGGAGCGAAAGGGGCTTTCAACTCGGTAGTGTTTCCGCGCGTCTACGTGAGAGGAAGGTTGATGGCTTTCAGGCCCGCTGGTAAATGGAACGGGTTTATCTTCTCCTCTTCTTTACCCAGCCATTGTCCACACTTCCCCCGACCCGATGGGTGGTCGAGGCTTGTAGAACTGATCTTAAGACAGGGAAATCCCTTGCGTCTCCATTCACTTTGGGATTCTGTGTCTCTGAGGTTAGAGATGCCTCAAAGGGATGTTCTCCGGGGGACCTTCCCAAATCCGCGCTTAGCGGTGGCGAAGGGACTTCTTCCACACAGACTTCTCAAGGGCCAGCCGGCTGGTTTCTGCCGGCTCTTTCGCCATCCACGATTCTTTTGATGTTCTCTTTTATGTGCTGATGTATGATTATATGTCAGAAAACCCGGTTCAATGGAAAAACTATAAAAAAAGGATAATTTAGTAAAATAGCAAGATATAAAGTTAACACACTAAAATCAACGACCTTCATATATGTGAATAATCAATGATAACGAGTTACGAGATATAATGGAAGAGAAGACCATATTTACAAGAGCAGCAAAAAAGTGAAACTAGGAATAAACTTAACAAGAAATGAACAAAACTTCTATGGGGAAAGCTTTAAAACATTCCTAAAAGGCCAAGTATACATTTAAACAAACAGAAAGCGATATGAGGTTCTTGGAAAGACTCAAAGAGGTCAGTCCTCCCTAAATACGTATGCAACTGTAGTATTCCAACAAAAATATCAACAAATATTGTTCTGGAATTAGATAAACTGATTATAAAATTCATGTGGGGAAATAAGAATAGCCAGGAAACCCATGAAAAAGAAAAATGGTGAGGGTCAACCTTATCAGATACTGGAACATACCCATATAATTTTAGTGTATTAACAGAGAGAAAGAATAGACCAGAAATGGATCCAGGTATGTAAGGATATTGAGTAAATGATGAAGGTGACACCACATATCAACAGGGAAATGAAGAACTTAGAAGTTGTGCTGGGATGATAACCGTTTGGCAAAGGTAAAACTGGATTTGTATTTCCCACCACACATCACAATAGAGATAAATTCTAAATGGATCTGAGATCTAAATATAAAAAATCCACCTATACATGTATTAGAAGAAAACATGAATAATAATTCTAACACGTGGGAATAGGGAAACATTATCTAACCATATGACTCAAAATCTAAAACCCATAAAAATAATAAATCTGGCTACATGAAAATAAAATGTATTGCTTGTCAAAAAAAAATAAGGAAAGAAAAAGGCTTGCAACATATCACAGGCAAGGGCTAGTTTTCCAAATACCTAAAGAGCTCCTAAAAGTTGAGAATAACCAATAACCCAATAGAGAAAATGGCCAAAAGAAATAAATAGTTGACAGAATAAGAAATGCTAGCAGCCCTCAAACATCTGTAAATATGTTCAACTTCACTCAAAATATGAACATACAAATTAAAAACTATGCTGACTGAGGCACCGTTAGTCATCAGATTGGCAATGGTACAAAAGTTTGACAGCATGCTCTACTCATGAGGAAGGAGAAACTCTTAACATTCTAGTGGGAATGCAAAATGGTACAACCCATAGGTATGAAAGATAATACTATACAGCAAAATTATATATGTAAGTTTACCCTTTGTTCCTGCAATACCACTTCTAGAAATCCATCTCAAAGATACTTTGACAAAAATATGAAGTGACACACACACAAGATTAAATGAGATCAGGAGAGGCCTGATTTTTAAAATGCCAAATATGAGGGGATGAAATTGAGAAATTCTCAGGAGGAAAAATGGATCAGGGCTTCATCATTGATTATGTGGGGGATAAGAGAACCAAAAAAAAAAAAAAAAAAAGCCTGGTATCGTCAGAGGATGGTGGTCCCTCCACCAAGACAGGGGACACTAAATGACAAGTAGCATTTTGAGAAGAAATTTATGAGCACAGCTTGGCCATGTTAAGTTCGAAATCCTAGGAAGCATTACACTGTAGATGTTGCTATTTGTTAATGGATTGGTTTAGGGATTTGTGGGTCTAGGAGTCATGAGAAGAGAGTTAGCTTGAGATCCATATTTTGGAGCCTTCCACCTTTCAGTAATGGTTAAAATGATTAAGATATCTCATGAAGTGTGTGGTGCTAAAAAACAGCCTAGGACAGATTTCTGGAGTGCCCTTTGCCCCCTACTGCCAGCCCTATAGATTCTTCTTTCAGGGCGTCTGCGGAGAAGGGAGAGAGAGATCCCTCCTCACACCGTGCCAGGGCTCAAATCTCACCTGAAGCCGTAGAACATCTCAGAAAACAACAGACAGAGAAATTATTGGACAACAACTTGAATTCAACCTGGAAGTGTCCCTCAAGCTCACTTTGGGGTCCTTTTCCAGGCATCTTGAAGGATTTTTGCAATGCAGTTGTTTTCCAAGTTCCACTTGGCATGACTTACTGTAAGAAGCTGATATGAAAGTCTCACTTAAAAAGTCAGCTTGCACCAAGGATGATTGACTTGGCATAGTTCCCAGGGACCTAGGTGAAACAGTCAACTTTTTGTCACAGATGCAATGTAGCCAGAAGAAAAGAGCATCTAAGCACAAAGAGAGCTTAAGACAGAACTCCGAGTAAAACCAATCTCCGTCTTTTGACACTAGAGAAACACAAGGATATAGAGACAAAGAGCAGACAAAATGGATCTCCAGAATACCTTTATTTTAAACAATTTTTGTCTAACATTATTACTAACACTTTTTGGCCATTTTACTAACAAAATAACTCTAACATTTAAAAAGGAGAAAGCTTCCTGTGATATATTGATAAGCCTTCTAACTGCACTTAAAAGGGAAAAAAAGCAGATGTTGAGATCTAGGACTCAAAGACTAAGAGAAAAGGTAAAACTGTAATATTGGAAGCTCACTTTGTTACTTTGTGAAAATGAAAGCATGTATAAACTTGATTAGCTCATAATTGTGCCAGGTTTATTTAGTGAGGTTGAAAGGGGATGGAGACAATTGAGAAAAAAGTTATTTGGGAAAAGATTTCAAAAAAAGGCTTATTTTTCCTTCAGACTTTAAATCTGAGGTGGATAAAGGTATTGTGGAAAATTAAAGATGACTACAAATTATTTGGCATTTCTCATCAAGATGTGGGGTCTATGTCACTTTCCCTTGAATCTGAGTGGGGTTAATCATTAATTTGACCAATAAAATACTGCAAAAGTGATGCTGTGGTTTCTGGCCTGAGCCTTTGGAGAGCAGCAGCTTTCACTTTTTGTCTTTTAGAACAATTGCTCTTGAAGTCCTGAGCCACCATGGAAGAAGTCTGCCAACCCTGCTTTCCAGTGACTGAGTTGCAAGAATCCTTCAAGATGCCAAAAAGATGACCCCAAAGTGAGCTTTGTGTGTCTCCGAGACCACATAAAGAAGCTCTGAGACCACATGGAGAAGATCAGCCCGGCTAAGCCCACTTTTCTGGCTGTCCCTGCCAAGGCACTTGGCATGGCAGTGAAGCTGTCTTGGATTTTCCAGACAAATTATACTGCCAGATGAATACCAGCATGTGATCTTAGTTGACACCACATGAAACAGAAGAATTTCTCAGCTAAGTCCTCCCCAAATTCCTGGCCCAAAACATGATGGTGTGTTTTTGTCCACTGTTTTGGAGTAACTATTTATGCAGCAATAGATAACAAGATCAGATGTTTACCAGATTGTAACAGTTTGATTAGACTATTTCCTAAGAATATTAACTTTCCTTCGTTTCAATGACATAGTCAACATGCAATTTTCAATTTGTAGTTGATATTTAAATTTCCAGTTAGGAAAAAGCTTGATGTTGAGGACTTGCACTAAATTTTAGGCCAGGTATAGCTCCAATTTTTATGGAAATTATTATGTATACAGTATAAGGTAATTTTTTATAGGCTATAGTTAACAATTTCTTTTTTATCTTTTTTTATTATTTATTTATTTTTTATTATACTTTAAGTTCTAGGGTACATGTGCACAACGTGCAGGTTTGTTACATATGTATACATGTGCCATGTTGGTTTGCTGCACCCACTAATTCATCATTTACATTAGGTATTTCTCCTAATGCTTTCCCCTATCCCCCCACCCCACGACAGGCCCCGGTGTGTGATGTACCCCGCCCTGTGTCCAAGTGTTCTCGTTGTTCAGTTCCCACCTATGAGTGAGAACATGTGGTGTTTGATTTTCTGTCCTTGCCATAGTTTGCTCAGAATGATGGTTTCCTGCTTCATCCATGTCACTACAAAGGACATGAACTCATCCTTTTTTATGGCTGCATAGTATTCCATGGTATATATGTGCCACATTTTCTTTATCTAGTCTATCACTGATGGACATTTGGGTTGGTTCCAAGTCTTTGCTATTGTGAATAGTGCTACAATAAACATACGTGTGCATGTGTCTTTATAGTAGCATGATTTATAATCCTTTGGGTATATACCCAGTAATGGGATCACTGGGTCAAATGGTATTTGTAGTTCTAGATCCTTGAGGAATCGCCACACTGTCTTCCACAATGGTTGAACTAGTTTACACTCCCACCAACAGTGTAAAAGTGTTCCTATTTCTCCACATCCTCTCCAGCACCTGTTGTTTCCTGACATTTTAATGATTGCCATTCTAATTGGTGTGAGATGGCATCTCATGGTGGTTTTGATTTGCATTTCTCTGATGACCAGTGATGATGAGCATTTTTTCATTTGTCTGTTGTCTGCATAAATGTCTTCTTTTGAAAAATGTCTGTTCCTATCCTTTGCCCACTTTTTGATGGGGTCGTTTGATTTTTTCTTGTAAATTTGTTTAAGTTCTTTGTAGATTCTGGATATTAGCCCTTTGTCTGATGGGTAGATTGCAAAATTTTTCTCCCATTCTGTAGGTTGCCTGTTCACTCTGATGGTAGTTTCTTTTGCTGTGCAGAAGCTCTTTAGTTTAATTAGATCCCCTTCATCTGTTTTGGCTTTTGTTGCCATTGCTTTTGGTGTTTTAGTCATGAAGTCCTTGCCCATACCTATGTCCTGAATGGTATTGCCTAGGTTTTCTTCTAGGGTTTTTATAGTTTTAGGTCTAACATTTAAGTGTTTAATCCATCTTGAATTAATTTTTGTATAAGGTGTAAGGAAGGGATCCAGTTTCAGCTTTCTACATATGGCTAGCCAGTTTTCCCAGCACCATTTATTAAATAGGGAATCCTTTCCCCATTTCTTGTTACTAACCAATTTCTTAATCACATTAGACACTAAACCAAATCAGGGTTAGACCTGAAACCTTTTTAAAAAATCAAACTGTGGGATCCTGTGGTAACTATACTAAAACAGTTGTTGTCAAATCACATTTTTGTATTTTAAATCCATATTTCTCACCTGGAAAAATGTTAGTATTTAAACTCAATATATAAACATTTAACATATTGCCAAATTTTAAATTCTCATATTTATTAAAAAATACTAATTTCTGGCCAGGCGTGGTGGCTCATGCGTGTAATCCCAGCACTTTAGGAGGCTGACAGGGGAGGATCACCTGAGGTCAGGAGTTCAAGACCAGCCTGGCCAATATGGTAAAACCCTGTCTCTACTAAAAATACAAAAATTAGCTGGGCATGGTGGTGGGCACCTGTAATTCCAGCTACTTGGGAGGCTGAGGCAGGAGAACTGCTTGAACCTGGGAGGCGGAGGTTGCAGTGAGCCAAGATCACGCCACTGCACTCCAGCCTGGGCGACAGAGTGAGACTCCATCTCAAAAACAAAACAAAACAAAACAAAACAAAAAACTAATTTCTTAACTCTAAATCATCATTAGTGATAATAAAGGAAGTATTTCATTTACAGATTTGAAAACAGAAGCCAAAAGCAAAACAAAGTTTTGTGATGTGAATTCTGTGAGCTTCAGAAAGTATATAGTTGAGAAAACAGGTACTTCAGAGAAAGCATATAGTTAAGAACACAGGTAAATATGTCAATAAAGGAAGAACTTTCAGGGTTCACATGGATATAATAGAATGTTTTGTTTCCTATCTACAGCTCTAATGGGAGAGTCCATAACTAGCTGTTTAAAAAAAATCAAATTGTATCTAATTGATGAACCATTGATACCATTTGTTTTTTGCTGGTCATCTCTCATCTACCTTTAAGAAATGTGCGACAGATTGAGAAGAAGTCTGAAAACTATTTCAATAGGTCCATGCTGGTAAGCAGATACTGAGCCATATAACTGGGCATAAATTGAATAAAACCTTGTTTTAAAAAGTGAGTGAGTAAAAAAGTAAAAAGTGAGTAAAAATTTAAGCTGCCCTTCATCCCAAGGAGACAAAAGTAGAAACTGAGAATAGTAACATAATCATATATTGAAGATTGTGACTTAAGTTCTAATTGAACATAGCAAATATTCAATAGGCAGTGTTAAGAGTAAATAAACAAAATTAACAACAACAAGTAATAGAACTAAATTGCTTAGTGATATGGAGGTGACCATTAGGAGAACCAGAGATAGAAAAGGTACCCCTCAGGACTACCAGGGAGTGTGTCAAATGATAAAGTAGGTCTGCTGCTTTTCATCATAAAACCTGGTTTGCTGTTTGATTTTTTAAATATTATAAACCTTTCAGTGCAAAGTGGTCGATAAAAATTATAAGCCTATCTAACTTTGATTAAAGAAAAAGACAACAGCATGTTGGCAGTTTTCATGTTTTAAAAAAAAAGAGAGAAGAAAAAGACAACAGCAAAAGAAAAATTAAAGGGCAGTGGTGCATGCCTGTAATCCCAGCACTTTGGGAGGCCGAGGTGATAAGATCACTTGAGGCCAGGAAGTTGAGGCTTGCAGTAAGCCATGACTGCACCACTGCACTGCAGCCTGGGTGACAGAATGAGACTCCATCCCCGAAAAAGGAAAATTAACATTTTGAGTATTTGTCAAAATGCGGATGCTACTGCCCAAGGCGAACAATACCCAAGGTGAACAATATGAACATATTAACAAAATAGTAAAATGTACCTATCCTAGAAGCATCATCTAGGCAGTTCTGTTGTTTAATACAAATGGTTTCTTTGGGAGGGCTAGATTGTCCTCTGAGTTACAGGTCCTTAGGTTTTGAAATTCACAGATCACTAAGATATCATGGCCCATCTACAATATCTGCTGCGTGTGTGTGTATGTGTAACATAGACTTTGATCTTTTGATAAAACTGATATTTTTGTATGACCTCTTAGAGACCCTGTAGGAAATTACTCCCACATTGAAGACTGTTGAGTTCCATCTAGGATTGAATCAAAGCATTAAGAATATGAGTATGAATAAAGGAAAAGAGGAAGGCTGCAATCTATATCTTCCACAAACACTAAAAGAAACACTGTTGGGAGCTGCAACAGTAGGTAATTTTGATAGCACGAGGAGAGAGTCAGTGTGACACAGAAGCAGAGCATCAATTTAAGAGAAAGAGTCTGAATCTAAGAGATTTTGATATAGGTCTGAACCTCACTTCTGGCACTTAATAACCGAGTGACTGTTTTATAAAATTTAAAGATTGGTTGATGAAGGGACACAACATACTGATGATGAAAATTAGAACTTTGTTACTTACAACTCCAAAAGAGAGAAGCTGCCATGCAGGGCTACACAGAGTTGGACCCAGGGACAGAGTAACGGCAAGCTGGAGTTGCAGAAGGCAGTGTATATATGGCAAGGAGGTGGAGTTAGCTCGGTTTCAGGGGCTCCATGTGGACTGGTTAATTTCATAGCCTCTGGGTCATAGGGGCTGTCCCTAGTTGTCTAGTACCTGTCCTCAGAGAATGAGGCCCTAATAAGGGAGGCAGCTGTGGTGTGTGCACAGTGGCTTCAGAGAGTGGAGGACCAATAAGTAAAGAGACTGGGATAGGGGTTAGCAAACTATCTGCAAAGGGGAATTGAAGATTTGTTAGCCATAACTTACAAACTGGGTCAAGACAGCATTTGTGAAATATGTCACAGTGACCTTGAGCACACGACCACTCCATTGAGCTTCAGTTGCCTCACCTCTAAAAAATTTCCATGTGTGAAGTATCTTCTACTACTAGTACCTAGTTATAATACATTCACAATAAATGGAATTTACAATAATATAGACAACTTGCTTTGATGTCTGACACCAGTTTATTCCATTTCTTTGTCAATAATCTGGGAGATAAATAAGGTATTTACAGTAAAGGCAGATTTCCCACTTTAAAAGCAATCATAAAATCTGTCCTGATGTTTAATCAATATTGTTTACTATGCTGTTTTATGATAGTCTCAAATTAAAAGATAGTTTACTAAACTTACTACATAGTTTACACTGAAAAGGGTTTTCCTCCAGTTTGTACTCAGAGATGGTAAAACAGGCCTGTGTTCTGAAATGTTCGCCACACTCATTGCAATAACAGTGCTCCTCTCCAGCATGGAAAAACTGGTGCTGGTTAAGGGCTAACAACTGGCAGGATGCTTTCTGACATTCATTACATTTGTAGGGCCTCTCTCCAGTGTGTTTTTTTAAAAAAATGTCTAATACAGCTACCATTTGCACTTAAAGTCTTTTTACATTCTTCATGTAAAATGAAGATTGTAGGATTGGTCTCCTGCATAAGTTTTCTAAAGTTCAGTAAACCCTGGGCTTAAGTGCTTCCCACAGTCAGTACCTTCGAGGTATTTCTCCCTTGAAGAGTGTATGTTCTGATGTTTCACAAGACTTTTACTGAGTCACTAGTCTCAATCTCATTATGCTCACAGAGCTTGTTTTTCAGAAAATCATTTCCAGGAAGGCCTCCATTGTGACTCTCACTTTCCTACTGGGTATCTTCTTTCTCCTCTGAGTGAGCATTCTTAGTACAGATGTTGGGTTGCCCATGCCGGTCCTATTCGCAGGAGAAATCCTGCAAATAGGACCTCATAATGGATCTTCGTAGTGGATCTCTGCTGCTGAGTGTGGCCTGCTCTCTAACTGAAGGCTAACACTGAATACATTTAAAGAATGTTTTCATCTAGTGGATCTCCTGAAGAGGGATAAGTTGTGTACAGAAGCTTTTCTGCCGTCATGGCACTTACAAGTTTTCTCTGCTATATAAACTACCTGATGCTGAATCAAGGCAGACCGATGAATCAAGGTTTTACTACACTGATTCCAGCCAAAGCATTTCTCTTCCGAATGTTTTTCAAGATCATCAAAAACTCTTGCATTCTGAGTAAAGCCTTTTCAACAAGTGTTTTTCACTTGTATTAAGTCTCCAATGTCGACTAAAAACTGATCTTTAACAGTTTTTCCACACCCATCACATTACAGGGTTTTTCTTTCCACCTGGATTCCCACTTGACGAATAAGGCCATTTTTTGATCTAAGGGTCTTCCCACACTCTTCACATAACAGTGGGTGGGCTCAGAGTTTGCTTTCTTTGCTGCTCAGCGAGGTCTGTATTTGGAGTAAAGGCTCCCCCATGTACCCCATGCTGCAAGACTTTCTGTGTTCAGATGAGCCTCTGATGCTGATTATGTACTAAATTCTGGATAACGTTCGTTTTGGAGTCATTGAGTTTGACTTGTTTCTTAATCGTGGAGTGTACCTAACTGCTCCTTGAGATTCTGCAAAATTTTCCTTTGGGTCTGCCAGATAGTTCCCTATGTGGTTCCCTTTCTTCATGTTTCTTGCTTTGGACACATATTTCTGTATTTGTTTCTAGAATCACCATCTGAAGCTACAAATAGACGAACTATCCAAGGAAGAACATAAATTCAATGAGTACAATTCAGATTTATGAGGCAAGTATTTTAGGATGAGGGTAACAGGGCTTCTGCATGTAGGAGAGGGAAGTAGTTAGCAAGAAGACTGATGAAGGTCACTGAAAAAATGCAAAGCACAATAGGAAGCCAATCAAGATGTGTAGAAGGGACAATATTTGAGAGTAAGGAGACATTGTCTGAAACTTTTGCAGTGGTAAAGTGATGCATATGGGTAAGTGTAGAAATATGGACTAAGTGTATAAAATCTTTGGAAAAGTAGCCAGTGGTAAGGAGCAGGAAAGGACCGTTAAAGATGATGATTCTGAGGTTGATTTATACTCACTAATAATGGACAACCATAAAAAGGGGATCACAGTAAATATGAGAGTATGTGACAGAGACACTCTAGAAATAAGCAAGTCAAGGTTTAGTGGAAGTCTTGCTCCATTTGGGATACTTATTATCCTAAGTCAACAACTGATGGTGCCCTGGAGTCTCTTTTTATCTAAGACTTCTTAAATAGATCCTTCTCTGCTACTTAGTATAAGAAAGGAAGTTAAATATGTCCAATAAAAGTATACTGTGGTTTTGGCATTTATTTAAATGTATAAAAACATGTACACATTTATTTAAATGTATAAAAACATGTACACATTTATTTAAATGTATAAAAACATTGCTTCTCGGCCTTTTGGCTAAGATCAAGTGTAAATGTATAAAAACATTTACACATTTATTTAAATGTATAAAAAACATAAAGAATATGTAATTTGGCCAGGGGCAGTGGTTCATTCCTGTAATCCTAGCCCTTTGGGAGGCCATGGTGGGCAGATCGCTTGAACCCAGGAGTTCGAGACCAACCTGGGCAATATAGCGAGACCTCGTCTCTACAAAAAATACAAAAAAATTAGCCAGGCGTGGTGGCGCCTACCTGTATTCCACAGTGTATATTTGCCACATTTTCTTTATTCCACCACTGATGGCCATCTAGGTTGATTCCATGGAGCATGGGGTACATGGGGGAGCCTTTACTTCCATTTTTGCTATTGTGTATAGTGCTGTGATGAACATGTAAGTGCATATATATTTTTGGTAGAATGCTTTATTTTCCTCTGGGTACATAACCCAGTAGTGGGATTGCTGGGTTGAATGGTAGTTCTTTGAGAAGTCGCCAAACTGCTTTCCACAGTGGCCGAACTGTGTATAAGCATTCCTTTTTCTCCTCAGCCTCACCAGCATCTCTTATTGTTTGACTTTTTAATAACAACCATTCTGACTGGTGTAAGATGGTTCTCATTGTGGTTTTTATTTGCACTTCTCTGATGATTAGTGATGTTGCACATTTTTTCATATGTTTGTTGGATGCTTGTATGTCTTCTTTTGAGATGCGTCTGTTCATGTGATTTGCCCATTTTTTAATGGGGTTGTTTTTTGCATGTTGAATTGTTTGTTTTCCTTATAAATTCTGGATATCAGATCTTTGCTGGATGCAGATTGCAAGTATTTTTTTTTCATTTTGTAGTCTATTTACCTGTTAATAATTTCTTTTACTGTGAAGAAGCTTTTTAGTTTAATTAGGTCCCACTTATCAATTTTCATTTTTGTTGAGATTGCTTTTAAGGACTTTATCATAAATTCTTTCCCAAGGCTGATGTCCAGAATGCCATTTCCTAGGTTTTCTTCTAGGATTTTTTTTTTTTTTTTTTTTTTTGAGATGGAGTCTCGCTGTGTCACCCAGGCTGGAGTGCAGTGGTGCAATCTTGGCTCACTGCAAGCTCTGCCTCCCGGGTTCATGCTTTTCTAGGATTCTTATAGTTTGTGGTCTTACTTTTAAATCTTTAATCCATCTTGAGTTAATTTTTCTATATGGTGAAAGGTAGGAATCCAGTTTCATTCTTCTGCATATGGCTGGCCAGCTATCTCAGCACCATTTATTGAATAGGGAGCCCCTTTCCCTGTTGCTTGTTTTTGTTCTTTGTCAAAGATCAATTGACTGTAGGTATGCAGCCTTATTTCTGGGCTATTTTGATCCATTGGTCTCTGCGTCTGTTTTTGTATCAGTACCGTTTGGTTACTGTAGTCTTACAGCATAGTTTGAAGTCAACTAATGTGATGCCCTCAGGTTTGCTCTTTTTGCTTAAGGTTGCTTTGGCTATTTGGGTTATTTTTGGTTCCATATGAATTTTAGAATAGTTTTTTCTAATTGTGTGAAAATGACATTGGTAATTTGATAGGAATAGTGTTGAATCTATAGATTGCTTTGTCCAGTATGGTCATTTTAGTGATATTGACTCTTCCAATCCATGAGCAGGAAATGCTTTTCCCTTTGTTTGTGTCATCTATGATTTCTTTCAGCAGTGTTTTGTAGTTCTTTTTGTAGAGGTCTTTGAAGCTTGGTTAGATATATTCCTAGGTATTTTATTTTTTTGTATCTATTGTAAATGGGATTGCATACAACTTGCTTTTAGATGGTTCAGTTGAAAAAGGAAGAAAGAAAGGAGGAAGGAAAGGAGGAATGAAAGCAAAGTATACATGTGGCTGGGTGTGGTGGCTCATGCCTATAGTCTGAGTACTTTGGGAGGCCAAGGAGGGAGGATCGTTTGAGGCCAGGAGTTCAAAACCAGCCTGGGCAATATAGTCAGATCCTGTCTCTACAAAAAATTTAAAAGTTAGCTGGGCATGTTGACACATGTCTGTAGTTTTAGCTACTCAGGAGGCTGAGGTGGGAGGATCCCTTGAGCCTTGAACTCAGGAGTCTGAAGCTGCAATGAGCTATGGTTGCACTGCTGCACTCCAGCCTGGGCAACAGAGTGAGACCCTGTCTCTTAAAAAAAGGAAGAGAGAAAAAAGTGTACATGTGTCTTAATCTGTTCAGTATATTATAACAAAAACACCATAAACTCGGTGATGTATAAACAACAAACATTTATTTCTCACAGTTCTGGAAGTTGAGAAGTACAAGATGAAGGCACCAGCAGATCTGGTGTCTGGTGAGGGTCAATGATGGTGACTTCTTGCTATGTCGTCACACAGTGGAAGGGTATGGCAGCTCTCTGTGGCCATTTTTTTATAAGGGCACTAATCTTATATAAGAGGGTATCTCCAAAGGGCCTCACTTCCTAATACCATCACAGTGATGACTGATTAGGTTTCAATATATGAATTCTGGGGACACACAAACATTCAGACCATAGCAGCAGTATACATTCTGATAAAGCAAATTTTTTTTAAAAAAGTAGTAATTTCACCGAAATAAGGAATTTTTAAGGAAAAGGAAGTGAAATAATATATGAAAGGCAATGGAAACCTGGCTGGGTGCTGTGGCTCATGCCTGTATCCCAGCACTTTGGGTGGCCTCGGAGTTTGAGACCAGCCTAGCCAACATGGGTGAAACCGTGTCTCTACTAAAAATACAAAAATTAGCTGGGCATGCTGGTACTTGCCTGTAATCCCAGCTACTTGGGAGGCTGAGGCAGGAGGATCACTTGAACCTGGGAGATGGAGGTTGCAGTGAGCAGAGATTGCTCGACTGCACTCCAGCCTGGGTGAGAGAGTAAGACTCCGTCTTTAAAAAAAAAAAAAAAAAAAAAAAAAAAAAAGACAATAGAAACCCAATCAGGCTCAAAAATGAGAAGACTCACTAGCCATGGTTGATAAATATGGAGACAGGGTTGCCAAGGAATATGCACCAGACTGGGGTCTCAATTATTTTGGCCTCATTTTGTCTCCAACTAAAAAATTGACCTCGAGCAAGTAACATAAACTCTGCGTCTATTTTGTAACCTATGAAACAAGAAATTAGGCCATTAGATTTTAATCCCATTCCCCCTTCCTTTTTACAGACCAGTAAAAGGAATTTTTTTTTTCTTTTTTCTTTTTTCTTTTTTTTTTAAATAGGAATTTGCTCTGTCACCCAGGCTGGAGTGCAGTGGTACGATCACAGCTTACTGCAGCCTCACCTTCTGGGCTCCAGTGATCCCACCTAAACCTGCAGAGTAGCTGGGACTATAGACATGCGCCACCATGACCAGCTAATTTTTAAATTTTCTTTAGAGACGAGGTCTTACTATGTTGCAACACTGGTCTAGAACTTCTAGACTCAAGTGATCCTTCTGTCTTGGCCTCCCAAAATGCCAGGATCACAGGTGTGAGCTACTGCATTTGGCAAAAACCAGTTTTAGGAATTTGAATAAATTCCTAAAAATAAAGCAGAGCCTTTTCTCAGGTGAAGCAAAGGGGGCTGGATGCCAGAACCCTGCTTGACTGACCTGATCCTGCCCATGGCTGACTGCCAAGTAACATCTGAGGAGTCACCTAAGGTTCTGGAGAACAGTTTGAAAGCCAATGATTGTGCTGATTTTTAAAGGCCTTTTATAGGCCTTTAATATGCTTAAAGTGTCTGTAGGTTAAAAAATAAACTTGCTTATCATTGTCTGGGAACATTAAAAAAATAAATTTGTGAGGTTTAAAAACAGTATACAGTCAATTATTAAGCTCTTAATAGAGGCCTTTCCTGATTACGGTAGAGTAGCCTTTAACCACACTCCAGTCACCATGACAACATCCTATTTTATTTTCTTTATAGCATTTATCAGTACCTAAAATTATCAATACTTCTGTGTTTGTCGGTTCTCTGTCCCTAGAATGTGTATTCCTTGAGGAAAGGGATTCCCTAATCTAAAAGGGATTAATAATGAGATGATGGCATCCAATATGTGCTCAATATATTTGTCACCTAAGGATTTCAGAAACATAAGTTTCCATGTGGATTTTTACACTTCACATGTTAAAACTTGGTCATCTTATGGGTGGTTTCTACTTTCTCTTGAAAATTAACCACAATTTACTAATTTTAATAAACTAATTTTGGATGCAGCCCTGGAAAAGGGACTATGTTGTAGGCTCTCTGGATTCTGTTATGTTCTTCCAAAGTATTGAGTTTTGTATTTTTAAGCAGTAGATAACTTTATTATTTATTTATTTATTTATTTTTTGAGACGGAGTCTTGCTCTTGTTTCCCAGGCTGGAGTGCAGTGGTGTAATCTCAGCTCACCACAACCTCTGCCTCCCGGGTTCAAGCTGTTCTCCTGCCTCAGCCTCCTGAGTAGCTGGGATTACAGGCACCTGGCTAATTTTTGTAGTTTTAGTAGAAACAGGGTTTCACCATGTTGGCCAGGCTGGTCTCGAACTCCTGACCCAGGTGATCCGCCCGCCTCGGCCTCCCAAAGTGCTGGGATTATAGGCGTGAGCCACCGCGACTGGCCGCAGGTAGATAACTTTAAATTGTCACTCCCGTACTGGATGGCAACTGAAACCTAAGTTGACATTTTAGCCATAGCTGAACTACTTGAAATCTACTCTGTGATGCATGGTTCAGGAACCATGGGGAAATTTGGGTGGATTTTATATATAGAACTTGGGGCTGCCCTTATCTGTTTTTTGCCTTCCTAGGATTCCCACCCCACTCCCTTTACAGTTGCTGGGATCCCCTAAACTCTGTCCTTTGGTTCTTCAAACCAGTAAGACTGCGGATTTTCCAGTCCTTTTTCAGTCATCCCACGTGGCATAGACTGAGACCTACTCCTAGGCTAGGAGATATAACTACCAATGCACTGTCATGACAGATCGGATTAGTTAATATAATTGAAAGGACTTTCAAAGCAAATGTAATTATTAATATTGACTCTCATATACTATAACTTAGATTTCCTGAAATGCAGGCATGACACCATGTTTATCTTTGCAATCCTGTAGCAGCTTACATTGTACTACACATAGGTGTTCAAATCATTTTCATTTAACTCAAATGAGTAGTACCTAATTAGGTGTGGAAGTAACAGGAAAAGTGGTAGTTTGGAGAATTACTCTAGAAGGCAAAACGTTTTCATCAATTAACAAGAACTTTGAAATGCACAACTAATAAAACAACTTGGGAGATACAGAAATACTCAAATATGAATAGAAATTAGTCAATTTAATCATAAATCAATCACTTTATTCTAGTCAGTAACTGATTAAATAAAACAAAAGTTCAACTTCCTGTGCTACTTATCAGTGTTCACTCAGTAGGTAAAATGTATACACTCTCATGATTCTGGGAGGAAAAATCCACTTTAAATGGCAAGAGAAACCAAATTATTTGGTGCCCCTCCTTCATGGCTTTGAAATACCCAATTCACATTGCTTTCAAAATTTAGCAAGATATTATTGCATTTTGCGTAGTATTGTGCATACAATAGGCACTCAACTTTTTTTACATGTCTTCAGTTGCTCACAGCCTATGTTCTAGGAATTTATAGACGCTGCTGAATTGTTTGATCTGGACTGCAGAACACTGACCTGGAATCCACTGAACTTAAACCAGTTCTCTGGCTTATTACTTTCTAACATTAAATAAATCTTTACCTTTCTTAGCCTCTTTATCTGTAGAAAACAGACAATAACTAGTTCACAGAGTTGTAATGATTAATGGAGAACATCTGAAAACATTTTATAAGCTTTAGAAAAAACGATAAAGATGTAAATTCCAAATTGTTCACAATAGGTTTTAGTGCTAGGCACGTTTGTTATTGGGAACTAACTTGATAAACTTTTTCTCCCTGTGCCTCAAAAAAAGTTTCATGAAATAGAACAATTTATTTGTTCTTTAACCAACCTAAGAGGTTTTGTTCAATAGTTCACATACTTTTGGCAATTAAAAACAGTATATTTGTGAGGTTTTTCATGGGGAAATCTGGAAAATAGGGCTGAGCAGTGTTTTCCAAGGTTTAAGGTATATAACAATCAACTGGGGATCTTGTTAAAATGCAGATTCTGATTCAGTTGGTCTGGGGTGATGCCAAGGCTGCTGATCTTCTGACCACTTTGAGTAAAGAGTCTAAACCTATTGAAGAAAGATAGTAAACAATCATCTTGTTCATGCTTATGATTAAAGATAGCATCCAAGTAAGCTGTTTTCCTACGCAGATAACTAGTAGGTAGGCTAGGTAATTTTTAAAAACTCTACGTTCAGTTGTGAATTCATGACACTTGGAACAATTGCTGAAAATGTAACAATTTTTCTAAGAGTTGGAGGCTAAAAGCTTAAGAAGGAAGCACTTCTGAGGGCTTGTAAGAGATAATTTTCTTCCCTGTGCAACTCCTGAAAGGGAAAACAATTGCTTTAAGATAAAGTTGTTTTTTTTTTTTTTTTTTTTGAGACGGAGTCTCGCTCTGTCGCCCAGGCTAGAGTGCAGTGGCGCGATCTCGGCTCACTGCAAGCTCCGCCTCCCGGGTTCACGCCATTCTCCTGCCCCAGCCTCCCGAATAGCTGGGACTACAGGCGCCTGCCACCGCGCCCGGCTAATTTTTTTGTATTTTTAGTAGAGACGGGGTTTCACCGTGTTAGGGATGGTCTCGGTCTCCTGACCTCGTGATCCACCCGCCTTGGCCTTCCAAAGTGCTGGGATTACAGGCTTGAGCCACCGCGCCCGGCTAAGATAAAGTTTACATAGGAGCCAGATCATCTTAATCTGGGGGCTTCTGATATTGAAGTCCATGGACATCTAGTGGAAAGAACAATGGACTGGGATACAGAGCCCTAGTATTTATTAATTTGCTTCCTAGCATTGGGTATGTACGTACATATTTTGTTTTTAACTGTCTCAACTTCCTATCAGCAAAACGGGAATAACTGGTCCTGACAACTTCATAGGGTGACTATGTGAATCAAAAGGTAATATATGTAAAAATATTTCTTCAAGGCTGTTAGAAGTGTGAGGTGGTATAATGGTAAAGAATGCAGACTCTGGAGTCAGACCAGCTTCACTTCTTTATAGCTGTGTATTATTTACCTTCTTCTGGTTTCATTTCAAAACTAGACTGAGGAATAAACAAATGCCTCTGGAGGAATTTATACTGATGACCATTCAGGAAAATTTCTTACTAAGTGATTTTGAGTATCAAAGATAAAAGACAAATTATTTCTCCAGAGCTTCCCATTTATTATTTTGCATTCACATAAGAATACAGATTATATTCATGATAAAGAATATTAAGGCCAGGTGCAGTGGCTCATGCCTGTAATCCCAGCATTTTGGGAAGCCAAAATGGGTGGATAGTTTGAGGCAGGAGTTTGAGATCAGCCTAGGCAACACAGTAAGACCCCTGTGAAGTTGACTTCAAGTTGTGAAACACTGTATGATTATGTTATTTATTTTTAATTTTTTAATTTTTGTGAGTACACTGTAGGTATATATATTTATAAGGTACATGAGATCTTTTGATACAGGCATGCAATGTGAAATAAGCACATAATGGAGAATGGGATATCCATAATTTATTTATTTATTTATTTTTTTGAGATAGAGTTTCACTCTGTCTCCCAGGCTAGAGTGCAGTGGAGCCATCTCGGCTCACTGCAAGCTCTGCCTCCCGGGTTCACGCCATTCTCCTGCCTCAGCCTGCCGAGTAGCTGGGACTACAGGTGCCCGCCACCACACCCAGCTAATTTTTTGTATTTTTAGTAGAGACGGGGTTTCACCGTGTTAGCCAGGATGGTCTCAATCTCCTGACCTTGTGATCTGCCTGCCTTGGCCTCCCAAAGTGCTGGGATTACAGGCATGAGCCACCATGCCCGGCCAATTTATTTATTTATTTTTAGATACAGGATCTCACTCTGTCACCCAGGCTGGAGTGCAGCAGCACAAATGTAGCTCACTGCAGCCTCTAACTCCTGACCTTAAGCGACCCTCCCACATCAGCCTTCGAAGTAGCTGGGATTACAGGCATGAGCCACCACATCTGGATACATATGACATAATTTACAGACTGGTATTAAAATTAATGATGGTTCAAAGACTATTAGTTGATTATTTAAATGATTCAGCAGTAAAACGTAGTAAGCTTTTCTACACTATACTCAAAAGTATAAAAAGATCATTATGTTTATGGTGGTCAAAATGAACAATTAACTTGATCATCTTTCTCCTGCAGTAGAACTCAAAATCAATAAGGAGGATTTTGGCAATTTTCCTGAACCCCTAATAAAATGTATTAATAATAATAATAAATCAATAAAACTTGTTTTGTTTTCACTTTTTTTTTTTTTTTGACTCTAGGACTACTTTACTCATTTACCTGCCTGGCCCATAAACAAAATCTGAGTCTGCTTATTCCCTTCCTTTGAAGACCAGCTTGGGTATCTCCAGTGTTTTCCTAATGCAAATTAAAATTAACACACCTCTATTAAAAAAAAAAAAAAGATGCAGCTAGGTGCAGTGACTCATGCCTATAATACCAGAGCTTTGGGAGGCTGAGGTGAGAGGATTGCTTGAGGCCAGGAGTTCAAGACCAGCCTGGGCAACACAGTGAGTTTCCATCTAAAAAAATTTTTTTAAATTAGCTGGGCATGTTGGCATACACTTGTAGTCCTACCTAGTCAAGAGGCTGAGGAAGGAGAACTGCTTGAGCTCAGGAGTTCGAGGTTACACTGAGCTATATGATTGTACCACTGCACTGTAGCCTGGGTGACATAACAAGATCCTGTCTCTAAGAGAGAGAGAGAGGAAAAAAAAAAGCATCTTTCTTGTTTGGAGTCTTGGCTGGGAGGTACATGTTATACATCAGAACTTAGGTAGGAATGGAAGGCCCAAGAATTCACTGTGCTGTCCGTAAAAGGATGCTAAACATGTTTGACTTGACAAATTATCACCACTGCAGCTACATTTAAAATACATTAATCATCTAATATTCTTATTTGCATTTTATGTACAACTTAAGTTTTCACTAAAAAGTATTATTAAACAACAGTCTAAGCTTTTGTGAGAACTGTAATTTGGAACAACTAGTAAAACATCTGGAAACTGAACTGGTGGTCCACAGGCCACTCTGAATCACAAAAGTGTTTTATTTGATTAGCGGTTAGGGGAAAAGTAAGTGGCTTGTTCTGTTAAATGACAGGATTTTGGTGGGGACCATTTTGAAGGGCCAGTTCTCATCCAAACCAAGTTCAAGGTCTGGTGGGAAGAAATTCTGCCTTGCCAATTTCAGATGCTGGACACTCACAAAATTTCAATGTCAGGTGAGAAGCTATTATGCAAAGCCTTTTCCATCCATATTTATCAACTTCCTAAGTTCTCTTTTGAGTGGATTCTCTGGTGTTGAATAAGGAATGAACGTTAAAGAGAAATTTTACTATACTGATTACACTGAAAGGGTTTCTTTCCAACATGGATTCTGATATGATGAAAAAGCTGAATTCTGACTGTGAACTTTACCACACTTGTTACACTGGTAGTAACATATCTCCCTGGTGTGAAGCCTCTGGTGCTGGTTGAGGACTGACCACTGGCCAAAGGCTTTGTTGCACTTGTCACATTTATTATAGGGTCTCTCTCCAGTATGGATTCTCTTAACGATGAATGAGTCCAGTGTTTGCACTGAAAGCTTTCCCATATTCTTCTCATTTATATATCTAACTCCAGTGTGAATTATCTTATTTGCATGAAGCCTACACTCCTGAGTAAAGGCTTTCCCATACTTGTTACATTCATAGGAATCCTCACCAGTGTGAATTTCTGATGCTGAATTAGGACAGAGTTCTGAGCAAAAATTATTCCACATTCATCACTGTGGTATTTTCTGGATATTTTCCTAGTCTTTCCTCATACATTTGGACATCTACACAAAGTTCTCAGGAATACTGCCATCAAATCTGACAGTGTTTTCCTGTTGGCATGTTATTTCATTTCTTTTGTTTGGGAAGAACATTCTCATTCTTCATTTTGATCAAATCATCTGAAAGAAGAGACTGAAAATGTCAGCATAATTCACTCATTCACATATACTTTACTCAATCACTTGCTCACGAAATAAGCACTTTTTAGAACTACATGCCAGAAGAGATAACAGAAGGAACTTATGTGTATATCCACTGGTGGCATAACCATATAAAAGAATAATTATTTCATATGTCCTTAAAGCAGTAAATTTTTTTTTTGTATAGCCCAAGTGAGATATATCTTAAGAACAAAAAGAACAGAAAACATGTGTATACACACACACGCCACCATTAAGCTATTTACAGTAATCATATTTGTGGGTAATGCGATGTTTTTTATTATGAGGCTATTGTGTATATATTGTGGGACAGCAAATGAGTAATTATTTGATGTTCTATCATTCCTGGTGTCTTTGAGAATCCTCTAAAAGGAGATACAGATGAAGATAAGAGATTAAGACCCCGAAGTAGTAAATGTGAATTAGAACTATCAATGTGAACTCATGATACACACTTTCTTTTAAATTTTTTCCTAACTCTGAGTACTGGAAAGGCCTAGGACCAATGACTAAGCCATAAGCACTCCTAATGCCCTATTTTTGGTTTTGAAATACCATTTCCCATTAGGCAGAATGGGGGGTCCTTGGAAAAAGTATTAATTCTAGGACTATGTAAGGAAAACTATAAGATGGGCCTCGTACATCTTATCATACAGGTCAGCAAGAAAACTATCAAAGATGACTAGGTTCATGTCATAAGGATTCACATGCCAAACTGAAAAGGTTTCTACTGCTCAAAGAGGAGACAAATGAGCTTTAGTAAGGATAGTATTATGGACTGAAAAACATCAAATAACGCTTCAATCCAAAAGTTCCTAATGATACTATTACTAACAACTGGTCACTGTTTTAAAGGATGACTACAAACTAATTCATTGTTTTGAAAACTGATTTAAAAAGCAAAGTAGTGGGGAGTGACTTAAGCAATTATCTTGCCTTTCCTAAACAAACCATTGAATAACTAAACAAAAAATCAGGGGAAATGTCTCTTTATATAACTATTCCAGCTTTATTAAATGAAGAAAGAAGGATGCAATTAGAATGTCACCATTTTGGGACCCGTAATGGATTACTGGCTATAGGTATTGAGGATCAATAGCTGCTAACACCACAGAAAAAGAGACAAACAGAAAATAATAGGCTTCAAATAGAACACACCATCTTGCCAAAATCATTAAATTTATCTGGTCAAAAAAACTTAAAACTTGATTTTGATCAAGCCTGTACATTACTACAATTTACAGAAAATACAGAGGACAACAGAACATCTTAGACTATAGCACATGATGCAGACAGCAAAACCCATGCTGTGTGCAACTCTACAGGACAAACAACTTCATTTTCTTTAACAAGTGAGTTGGAAGAGAAAACAGGAGAGGGTACCCATATATTAAAAGAAACTTAGGAGACATATCAACCCATCACAATGTGTTTTCTTCCTTGGATCTTGATTCAAATAAGTTAAAAAACAAAATGAACAAAAAAAAGTTTATGACATCTTTGAGAAAACTGGAAAATTGATATTAAGGAATTACTGTTAATTGTTTAGGTATGAAAATAGTATTATGTTTACATTTTTAAAATTCATATCTTTTACAGCAAATATTGAAATATTTACATTTGAAAGACTATGCTAGCTCAGATATGCTTTAAAATTATATATATATAAAAGCATGGGATATGAGTAGAGTTGTAAGTGAAACAAGTTTGGCCATAATCTGATAATGTTGAAGCTGGGTGACAGGTTTGTGGGGATTTATTAGAAGTAGTACAATTGTACTTTTATATATGCTTAAACTTTTTTCATAGTACAGAGTGAAGAAAAAAAGAAAAAGAAAAGAGTTTATGGCTTTTAGTTGGTAGTATTTAAAAAAAGAAAAAAGCAGCAATGTAAAAACCCTCTAAGGCCAGTTACAAAATAATTCAATACCCTTGCAGTGAAATGTATGTCAGCTACATATAGGTATTATATGTAACTTGAAAAGATATCCATAATGTAATATTAAACTAAAAAACAAGTGGTAAACAATATGTACTGTACAATGACATTTTAGCATGCATGCGTGCTTTCCCAGTAAGCATGCACCTACTAAAGTTTTATGTTTCCTACACTCATTTAAAAAATGTACATTTAAAAATTTACTAATTGCATGTAGCCTTTTAGTAGTTTTCTATTGGCTTCAATATAGAAAAACATTCTCCTGTCTTTGCGATAAGAGGTCTGGGTTAAGGAAGTTGGCAGTATTAGAAGGGAGAAACTGAACCATGCAAGGTAACATGAGTAGCAGGATTTTTTAAAAAAAACAATTTTAAGGCAAAGAAGTGAAGAAAGAAAAGAATCATAATCCAGGCTAAAGTGGTATGCTTAGAGGAACAGGTTAAAAGTGGAATAGGCAATAGAGATTAAATGAAAGGTATGCAGAGATTTTAGTGACAAGGTTCATTTGGAAAAATGCAAAAAGACACCAACATTTCCTAACTTCTTCTTTGCTATCTCCTCCTCAGCGTTCTCCTTAACAGTGTGAAACTCCCAACATTCAGAGCTGAGTTGACCCTTTACTGGCTGGAGCCGGACTCCAGTTGAGTCCTATGAGGCTGCCAGATACACTATTTGCGTTGGGACACTTCTTGTCCCCTGTAGGAGGGTGGGGAACTGGGCACAATTAGATGGAGTTTAATGAGGGTGACATTTGCTGAAAGTTAGAGCTTAAAATCCCATTATTACTGTGGAACACACGATGGGAGGGCAGAAAGCAGTTTTCTGTCATCTGCAAGGGCAGGGATACACAGACAAAGAGGGGAAAATACACAGGGCCTACAAGTTAAAAAAAACTCACCAAACTAGAACAAAAATAAATAACTCTGGCCAATAACATGTTAGCCATTTTCTCTAACTACGCTAGAGAAGTTATCTCAACTCTCTTATCTCTCTCTGGAGATAATATCTGCTATCTGATAAGACATTTCTTCATTTTACCTTTCCTCTCAGATCATTCAGCTTCCTCTCCAAGTTCTTCAGTACAGACAGCCTCTTTCCTATACTCTGGGATGCTCCTATACCCAGGCCTGGAGTTCTTGGGCAGGATGGTCAGGATCAGTAGTTCCAAGACGTGTTCCTTGCTGTGTATCACTGGTCTCCACCACTGATGGCAAAGAACCTGAAGCTGGACCCTTGAGGCCCAAGTAAATACCCACCATATCCTCTCTGAAGAACTCCTGACCAGAAGCTCCCTTTCTGTGTGGGCTAGATTCTTTAACTATTTGACACTTCTTTCATTCTTCTGCAGTTGGTCTGAATGCATTCCTGGGTGAAACAGCTCAGAAGACTGGCTCACTGCAGCAGTGCGTATGCTTCAGGCTGATGCTAAGGCATAACACATCATTGTTGAGATCAGCTCCAAACTGGAACATATTTACTGAGTGAATGGCTGTATCAAGGCAAAAAGTGTGAAGGTAAAAAAAAAAATTTCTGTGAAAGATAAATAAGCAAAAAATGACATAAAATTAACTAAAAGACATTTCAGTTACTTCAAGAGTGAAGAATAAGACACTATTAGCTTTTAGATCTAGAAAATTCAGTGAAATATTCAGATGATTATCAAAAACAATAGGTGCAAAAAGTAATGCACACAACTTGGTATGCTTATATTGCATGTCAGATGGGTCAATTAACATTTACAGGCATACATTGGACATATTGCAGATTTGGTTCTAGACCACTGCAAAAAAGCAAATATTGCAATAAAGTGAGTTACACAATTTTTTTGCCTTTCCAGTGCATATAAAAGTTATGTTTATACTACATGACAGTCTATTAAGTGTGCAGTAGCATGTCTAAAAAATGCATATACCTTAATTAAAAGATACTTTATTGCTAAAAAATGCAGGACTCTTCACTGAGTCATAATCTTTGAGGCTGCAGAGTCTTACCTTAATGTCTGCTGACTCATGGCTGATTAGGGTGATAACTGCTGAAGGCTCAGGTGGCTGTGGCAATTTCTTAAAACATGACAACACTGAAGTTTGCTGCATCAGTTGATTCTTCCTTTCATGAACTATTTCTCTGTGGTATGTGATGCTGTTTAATAGCATTTTACCCACAGAACTCTCAAAGTTGGAGTCAATCCTCTCAAACTCTGCCACTGCTTTATCAGTCAAGTTTATGTGACATTCTAAATTCTTTGCTGTTATTTCAACAATTTCACAGCATCTTCCCCAGGAGTAGATTTCATCCTAAGAAACCACTTTCTTTACTCATCCATAAGAAGCAACTTCTCATCCATTCAAATTTTATCATAAGAATGCAGCAATTCTGTCACATCTTCAGGCTACACTTCTAATTCTAGTTCTCTTGCTATTTCCACTATATCTACAGTTATTTCCTCCACTGAAGTCTTGAACCTGTGAAAGTCATCCATGAGGATGGGAATCAACTTCTTCCAAACTCCTGTTCATGTTGATATTTTGATCTCCTCCCATGAATCACAAATGTTCTTAATTGCATCTAGAATGTGAATCCTCTCCAGAAGGTTTTCAATGTACTTTGCTCAGATCCATCAGAGGAATCACTATCTATGGCAGCTATACCCTTACAAAATGTATTTCTTAAATAATAAGACTTGAAAGTTGAAATTACTCCTTGATCTGTGGGCTGTGGAATGGTTAGCTGTGTTAGCAGGCATGAAAACAATATTAACCTTTTTGCACATCTCCCTCAGAGCTCTTCAGTGACTCGGTGCATTGTCAATGAGCAGTAATATTTCGAAAGGAATCTTTTTTTCTTCTGAGCAGTAGGTCTCAACAGTGGGCTTAAAATATTCAGTAAACCATGCTGTAAATAAATGTGCTATCGTCCAGGCTTTGTTGTTCCATTTCTAGAGCACAGGCAGAGTAGATTTAGCATGATTCTTTTTGTTTGTTTGTGTGTTTGTTTGAGACAGGGTCTTTCTCTGTTACCCAGGCTGGAGTGCAGTGGCACAATCTTGGCTCACTGCAACCTCTGCTTCCCAGGCTCAAGCAATCTACCCACCTTAGCCTCCCTAGTAGCTGGGACCACAGGTGTGTACCACCACACCCAGCTAATTTTTGTATTTTTTTGTAGAGACAGGGTTTTTCCATGTTGCCCAGGCTAGTCTCAAACTCCTGGGCTCAGCAATCCTCCTGACTTGGCCTCTCAATGTGCTAGGATTACAGCATGCCCAGCCAGCATGATCCTTAAGGACTCTAGGATTTTCAGCTTAGTAAATGAGCATTGGCTTCAACTTCAAGTCACCAGCTCCATTAGCTCCTATCAAGAAAGGCAGACTGTCCTTTGAAGCCAGGCACTGACTTCTCTCTAGTTATGGAAGTCCAAGATGGTATCTTCTTCCAATATAAAGTGTTTCATCTACATTAAAAATATGTTGTTTAGTATAGCCACCTTCATCCACTATCTTAGCTAGGTTTTCTGAATAACTTGCTGCAGTGTCTACACTAACATTTGCTGCTTCACTTTGCACTGTTATGTTGTGGAGACAGCTTCTTTCCTTAAACCTCATGAAGCAACCTCTGCTAGCTTCTAACTTTTCTTCTGCAGCTTCCTCATCTCTCTCAGCCGTCACAGAATTGAAGAAAGTTAGGACCCTGCTGTGGATTAGGCTGTGGCTTAAAGGCATGTTGTGGCTGGTTTGATCTTCTTTCCAGATCACTCAAACTTTCTCCGTATCAGCAATAAAGCTGTTTTGGTTTCTTATCACTCATGTGTTCAGTGGAGTGGTTTTACTTCCTTCAAGAACTTTTCCTTTGCATTCACAACTGGCTGTTTGGTACAAGAGGCCTAGCTTTCAACCTATCTCAGCTTTCAACATGTCTTCCTCACTAAGCTTAATCATTTCTAGCTTTTAATTTAAAGAGAGAGATGTGAGACTCTTCCTTTCACGTGAACACTGAGAGGCCACTGTAGTGTTATTAACTGGTTTCATTTCAACACTGTGTGTCTCAGGGAATAGGGAGGCCTGAGGAGAGAGAAATGGGGGAATGGTTGGTTGGTGGAAGAGTCAGAACACACACCACATTTATCAGTTAAGTTAGGCATCTTATATGGGTGTGGTTAGCGGTGCCCCAAAACAATTGCAAATTACATCAAAGATCACTGATCACAGATCACCATAATAGATATAATAATAATTTTAAATTTTGAAATACTCATTTACCAAAATGTGACACAGAAACACGAAGTGTGCACATGATGTTGGAAAAATGGTGTTGACAGACTTGCTTGATGCAGGGTTGCCACAAACTTTCAATTTGCAGAAAACACAGTATCTGTGAAGTGCAATAAAGCAAAGTGCAAGTAAAATGACATATGCCTGTATAAGTCAACTTCTCTGTGCCAAGAATTGTGCTAGATGATTTCAAAAGTTTGTCTGTTTGTTTGAGACAGAGTTTTTTCTCTCATTGCCCAGGCTGGAATGCAATGGCGCGATCTCGGCTCACTGCAGCCTCTGCCTCCCGGGTTCAAGCCTCCCAAGTAGCTGAGATTACAGGCATGTGCCACCACACTCAGCTAATTTTGTATTTTTAGTAGAGACGGGGTTTCACCATGTTGGTCAGGCTGGTCTCAAACTCCTGACCTCAGGTGATCCACCCGCCTCGGCCTCCCAAAGTGCTGGGATTACAGGCATGAGCCACCGCGCCTGGCCCAAAAGTATTTTTAATTTTAGAATAGTGTGCATGTCAGTCAGGGGACCTCACATCTGACTTATCAGTCCCAAGTTAAACAAACAGGGCCCCCTTGGTACACAAACCCAGTGGGTATTTTTCAATCCTTTTCCTACCAGATGCCCCTGCAGCACCTAACACTGCTAACTACTCCCAATCTTCTAAGAAACACTATACTCTTCTGGTTGTTCTTCCATAAGTTGGTTTTTGTAGCGTTTAGCCTAATGCTTGGCACTCAGGAAGAACAGTTATGCATTGCTTAATCACATGGTTATGTTCTGAGAAATGTGTCTTTAGGCAATTTCATCATTGTGAGAATATCATAGACTGTACTTCCACAAACCTAGATGGTAGAGCCTACTATACACCTAGGCTATAGTGTATAACCTAATGCTCCTAGGCTACAAACCTGTACAGCACGTTTCTGTATTGAATATTGTAGGCAGCTATAACACAAAGCCAAGTATTTGTATATCTAAACATATCTAAACACAGAAAAGGTATAGTAAAAATATGTTATTATAATCTTATGGAACTATTATTGTACACGTGGTCTGCTGTTTACTGAAACATCGCTATATGGCACATGACTGTATTATACAAGTACCTGTTAAATACGTTTCTAATGACTATTATTTAGTCTACTTCGTAGCTCTTATTCTGCCTGTCAAAAATGTCTAGTATCCAGCTGGGCACGGTGGCTCCAACCTGTAATCCCAACACTTTGGGAGGCTGAGGCGGGTGGATCACCTGAGGTCAGGAGTTCGACACCAGCTTGACCAACATGGAGAAACCCCATCTCTACTAAAAATACAAAATTAGCCGGGTGTGATGGCGCGTGCCTGTAATCCTAGCTATTTGGGAGGCTGAGGCAGAATTACTTGAACCCAGGAGGCGGAGGTTGTGGTGAGCTGAGGTTGAGCCATTGCACTCCAGCATGGGCAACAAGAGCAAAACTCCATCAAAAAAAAATGTTTAGTATCCTAAATTGAAATCCAGCCTTATTCTCATCCCATATTTATTCTGGGCAATCTCAACCATTTGATGACATCAGCTTTCACCTGAAAACTCCTAAGCCTGATTCTCTCATACCAATCTTTCTTTGGAGCTCCAGGCCCTTACAGTCCAGTGGTGCATTAGACCTTTTCACTTGTATGTCTTACAAGCATCTTCAACTCACCACCAAAAATTCATCATTTTCCCCTTGTGACCAATTTATTCTCCAATATTAGCCATCTCTTATAAAATTGTGCCACACTTACCTAATAATTTAATCCAAAAACCTGCCTATTTATCCCTGGCTACATTTATTTTATTTAAAGAATACACTTAGTGTGTGACAGGCAGTTCTCTCAGTACCTTTTCTTTCTCACTTTCATCAATCTAATTAGTTATCAGGTCTAGTTAAATCTGTAATCTTTAACACAGTTCCACTTGGTGCCCTCTTTATTTCTATAGCCAGTGACTTACTTTCACCAACTTATGGTTTTGGTTCTTTCTTTAACAACTACAAGTCTCTTATCTCCCTTGCTTTCAGTTTTGCCCCTTTCCAATTCATTCACCACACCACTTCTAGAATATTTCTAGAAAGCTAGTAAGATTACATTACTCCTCTGCTTAAATCCAGACAGAGCATATAACTGCCCAACTACTGTGCATTGCCACAGTTTACTGGGTGCTTCAAATGGCTTATAGGAGTACCACCAGCATACTGATCTCTTCAGCTACCGGGGTGGCCAGGAAGTGTGCATACAAATTTTCTTTATGTGCTGTGACATTAAGAAAATGGAAAAGCACACCACCCTATAAACTTTAAATTCCTCAGCATATTTCAGTTACTCTCTACTCTCTTTGCCCCACCTCTGCCACTCTTGTTGCCCAGGCTGGAATGCACCCACCTTCATTTACTTGTGGTTTTCTGAAATGGTTTTCTGATCCCTCCTTCACATACTATAACTATCCCTCAAGGTCCATTTCCTCTTTGCTATCCAACTTCTGAGAGTCCACAGAGACAGCTCTGCTATTGCCTACTCAGGGAAGTTATCTTTAACGTTCCACCTCCAAAGTCCCTATGTACGAAGTTTATTTTCCTCAAGGCAACATGTCTTTCCCATTACACTATACAGTAAGAAATGCCTTTTATCTGGCTTATTCCCATTTTTGCAACATAAAGCCTGGCCCATTATGTGGCACTCAATAAATGCTTGCTTGAATGTTCTAACTTCTGAATGTTTTCTTACCCAGAGAAATTCACGTACCACTTCCCTCTGTTTTGCAGAATTGTGGGGACCATGTAAAGTATTTTTCTTTAAGTACTAAGCCTTTACAGATACACAATATCGTGACCATTAGCATAGGGGATTTTTATGAAAACTCTGAAAAAACTGTTCAGGTTAAAACGGCCGTAGGATTCAGAAAACGTATACGGAAGCCAGCTTTTGGCCATAAGGACCTGTCAGCTGATGGATTCCGGTGAGGCCTCCTTGCTGGTAAGTCTGTGCCCTCATCTCAGAAGGGGGTGATCCATACAGACCTAGCTCTGTACAGCGCTTTGTTCAGTTCTCTGTATCTCTGAAATGTCTGATGGAGCAGACACAAAACACAAAATCCTGATCCTGAGAGATCTACGTAAAAGAGGGGAACTCGAGCAAGCCCTGGAAAAGGGGGCAACAGCACCCCCTCCGAGTACCGTTATCTCTGGATCGCTGAGAAAGTATAAAGCATCTTGCATGGGTAGAAGAGACCAGGACACCGCCTACACACACAGTCCCAGGACACTAAAACCTGAACACCTCTCTAGGAGAAAGGACGCACTTCGGCCGGCTCCTCTGCCGCCTCTCTAGGATTCTTGGAGGATCCATCAATCTCAGTGGTTCATTTGTGCACACCACCTGGCTCACCTTTGTGAGCGCAGAAGCCGCCTCAAAAAGGCTGAGGCCGACAGGGGTCGTAACCTCTTGTGTCCAGCAGCCACTCAGTCTGGGCTGACTTCTCTCTCTCCCCTGCTGAAGACACTTGACTGCTCGCACTGGATCCTCCGTGTCCTCCGTTCCCTAGGTCCCGGGTCCTCCAGGGTCTCAGGCATCAGGGTCTTTCCCTCTATCCTCAGGGAGATTCCTCAATTCGGCCCCAACGAGCACCTTAGAGCCCAACCAAGATCCTGGGATGGCTGATGGGGGTGTAGGAGTCTAGGCACAGGCACACTCAGAGCTCCTCCCACAGCCCTAGTCATGTCTCTCAGAAGATAAAGGGCTTTCCAAACAAAACAACCAACCAACCAACCAACCCCAGGTCTGGTATTATCTGTACCACACAAATTGTCCAATTACCTTCACTCTGCCCCCAAGGGTCAAATGCAATAATCAACACCCACCTGAGGAAAACGGGGAAGATGTTGGCTTGTTCTCCATTGTTTTAAACCTGTTTAAATAAATCAGGTCCCCCCGAGTAACTTAACCACTAGCAAGTTTGGGGCTTATAGATCCCTGACTACATACCCCTCTACAATGAATTAGCAGAAGTCAGGGGTGATGAGGGGAGGCCACCACCACCCCCACCCCTGCAGTCAATGATCTTGAGTCAATTGCTGAATAGCTATGAAGATCTATTGACACACTTAAGGCAGGGTCAGCTGTCTTTGGTACCATCAAGTGGCAAGAGGACTCCTCCACAGCCAACAAATGATGTGGAGTGAATGTGATAAATTATGAAACTACTTGGTACAATATCTGCCCCCTTCCCCTTCATCCGACTACCTGCTTAAAATGGCTCACTGTTTGCCTTAACACTGCAAGCTCTGATCCAGTACTCTATCTTCTCACTTTCTTCTACAGTATAAGGTTGAACACTGTACTCCATCGGTCCCTATACCACTGAAACACTCCTGTGCTTCCAGGATGTTGTCCATCTTGTCTGGTAAACCATTCACTCAATAGGTTAATCTTAGGTAACTAGTTATGTTAACAATGGGTTTGTCTTAATTAGGGGCGGGATGGGGGGGCCCTCTGTTTTGTTTGTGCAGACATATTATCCCATCCTTTCTTTCCTAATCCAATAGATCTATTACTGGGGGTTACCAGGCTAGGTGGCTACACCTAAGTCTCCAACAGCCTTTTTCATATATATTCTGCCTTAGCTTTCATGACAGAACATTGTAATCTTTCTGATTCTCTGTCTTTTCTATATGCTTGGTTGAAAAAATACTGCCTATTGCAAAAATTATTAGTATGGGGACCGTACCTCCTGGTTTATACCTGTTGTCTTGGTGTAATTATTAACAGCACTCCTTTTCATTTTCAAGTGTCCCAGATTGGACAATAAATTATATAGTTACCTTATGTGTGTGGACCACTAATATGCTAATTAGATACAGATTTTCAGGCTCTGCCTCAGAAACTGATTCAGTAGGTCTGGGGTGGGGCTGAGAAAACTGCACTTCAAACCAACAACCCAGGTGATTCTAGTGCAGCTATCATCAAGAAATAGTGCTTTCAACACTGCCCATTGGCAGTTGGCATAGAAAAATGGGGATAGGTTCAAGGAGATCTAAAAATCACAGTGGTTTATAGACTGCTTTTCTCCCTGTCCTCCATTTTATGGAAAGTAATAAAAAGTGTGAGGAGTAAAAGGCAGTGAGATTTTCACTGCTTAAGACAATAGTATCTAAAAACTTGGACCAGTTGATAAATAAGAGAGATTTCTAATAATTATTATGAAGATGAAGCATGTTTCTTGGCAACACTCTGTCTCTGCATCTATCTTTTTATTTTTCCTTTGGTCAACATTTTTTGCCCAATCTAGAGTTTTAGCATCTAATTTTACCTTCTGTCTGATTCTTTTTTATGTTCTTATATTTTGTTCTTTTTTCTTTCCATCCCACTTTGTTGTTGCTGTTGTTTGCAGATGCCTACAGTGGGTCTCAGGGCTCCAAGTGTAAGTGTCTATGAAACCATATATAATTCACAATTATCTTTGTTCATAATTGGTTTCCTTTACAAAATTTTTAAGGCAATAAAAGACAGAAAGATTACTACAAGTGCTTAAGCACTTTGGACTTCACTTTTCTCATTATCTTAAATGGAGAAGCATTTAAGATATTTATAAACTCAGAATACTATAGAATATGTATTACATCACTTTATGGAATACATATTTACTTAAGAAGTTGATTTTACTTCAAAATCGAGTCTACTATATTTTTCTTAACTTCACTCAAAAATCTGTAGCTATTTATCTTGGAAATAATTTAACCTCAAGACACAATAAAAAATACTTTTCAGGAAATATAAGTTTTTTATAATACCCGCAATAAGCCTTAAGTAGTGACACAAACAGTTTGATATGTAAGGTGTAAGAATATGTGATAGAACTAAATACACTAAACTGAAAAATACCACCCATCACTTCTCCATTTCTCTGTAGAAGAATTATGTGCAATTCTGGTTGCCCACGCCTTGTTTCCTAGCTCATATGAAAGCTGTTAGCTTTTGAACAGAAGGAATTTAACTTGGACTAAACTGGGGAAAAGAATGAAACAGAATATGTAACATTTTAAAATAGTGAGATTTTTCATCTATAGGAGTTTGTTAAACTATGGAGTATGAACAAATAAAATTCTATTCACTTATAAAAAGAATGAAGAAGTTCTGTTATGATGTGGACATCTCTAAAGATTATATTCTTTCATGAAAACAGCAAGGTATTAGAAGAGTATAAATAATATGCCATCTTCCTGAGTAATGGAAGAAATAAGATTATACATTCATATTTGCCTATATTTACATAAAGAAACACTGAAAGATACATAAGAAACTAGTACAATGGCTACTTATAAAGGGAAAGTAGACCTTTTTGTATTATTTTGATTTTTGAACCAGGTGAAGAATGAATTATCTTTTTAAAAAAGTCCTACTGAGTAAATTAAATTTTAAAAGCTAAAAATAATAATTACAAAAATAAAATGCTTTCAATGAGGAATAAATGAGAAGAGTCTTTCCTGGACTCCACTGTAAATTAAATAGAGGAGTTGTGCTTTATTGAAACATATAAATGGGTGGGTTTGTTGAGCAACTTCAGTGACTTATAAATCCTATAAATTCCATATACTTGTAATTTTTATTTGGTGATATAATGCCTCCAGTGGCTTAATAGAATGTTACACTAGGAAGTAGGAGACAGGGTTCTAGTTCCAGCTCTGCTTTTAACTGGCTGTATGATCTTAGTTACTTCCCAGAACTTCCTTTTCTCTTATCTGTCAAATAAGAGCAAGCAGAAGTGATCTCTAAGGTCCCTTAGAGTGATTCTGTTATTCTAAAGTTACTTGCTATGTATTGGGTATTTGGGTGTATTCCAAACCAGATTGTTTTCACCATAGGTTTTCCATTTCTTTGTCTCCTGGACCTTGTGTAAAGCTTTGTAAAGAGTTACTAAGTCAATGTTAAGGGAAATAAATTTTTTTATTTATGATCTTGGTGGTAATCAATAGTAAATGCTGAGAAAATGTGGAGGTTATAAAAACAATCAACATGAAAGAGTGATCATACTCTTCTCTTCAATCTTGAATATGTTTCAAATTTTCCATACAAAATATTGAATAAAGGAGAAAAAGGCAAAAACAAAAAAATGCTCATTATATGTTACGGGAAAAATACAAAGAGGCCTGTATTTTCCAATAAGAAATCTGAGGTGAGATATCAGATTTTTAGCTAAGTTTCTTAGCCTCTGCGTAAATTTAAAATCATGAGCAATATTTGTTATGAGGAGCCACTGAGCTGCTAATAACATATGGCTGCTTCAGTTCCTTGGTTCCTAAAGGCTAACTAAAAAATCTATAGAAATCTAACTTACTATAAATCTACATTTATATAGGAGGATTCATCTGCCCCTTTTTGTAGGTTACAAAACAAATTATCATATTTTATGTGAATGGAAAGAAGTCAGGAAACCTATATTATGAATTTTATTACAATTATTTTTAAGTTAATTTTTAAATACTCGGTGAACTGCATTTGAGATTATTTTGTACTCAGCCTACATATAACTATTTTAAACTTTTAAAAAAAGTTTTTAAAAACTAGGATGAAGAAGTTTTCCTGAAATAGAAAACTTCTTGCACAGATGTGTGTGAAACTAGGTCTACAGCATACATGATGAAATCAACACAAGAGGCAACATTCAGTATTGCAAAGCTGTGGATGTCACTGATCAGAGAACTCGGCAGATGTATTTAAGATATTATGCTTCTCTCTGCATAAAAGTAAGGGAATTTTTACTGGCTTTCCCTTGAACTTTTCTATGCTAGAGGACACAGCAGGGACAAAGTAAGAAATATTATCCCCTACCTGTTCCAAGGAGCTAGCTTGATTCAGCCACTGGGTGGACTTTCCGATGCTGGATTAGGTTGCAATGGTAAATGAAGTTCTTGCCACATTCTTCACATTCATAAGGTCTCTCTCCAGTGTGAATTCTCTGATGCTTAATGAGGACTGAACGTCGACTAAAACTCTTATTGCACTGATTGCACTGGTAAGGCTTCTCCCCAGTGTGAATTCTGAGGTGATGGAAAAGCCCGGCATTCTGGCTGAAGGCTTTGCCACAAACACTGCACTGGTAGCGCTTCTCCCCAGTGTGGAGTCTCTGGTGCTGGAATAGGCCTGACCTCTGGCTGAAGGCCCGCCCACACTCATCACATTCATAAGGCTTCTCACCTGTGTGTGTTCTCTGGTGCTCGATAAGGATGGAATTCTGGGTGAAGCTTTTTCCACATTCACTACAGATATAGGGTCTCTCCACTGAAGAGCTCACCCTTTGCTTTTCCAATCTGCCCTCACGGTCACAGGTATCTCCATACTCAGGAATCTGAGTAATATTACCATTCTGTTTTCCAAGAACTTGTATAAGAGATTTCACTTCCTGAGAAATCTCCCTCTTTGGGGCTAACTCCACATTCCAAGTCCCAGCCTTGCCATCTAAAATAACGATAACATGAAAGATAACATGAAGTATGAAAAATAACAGATTATCTTTCCAAAGACAAAAGAAAAAAAGTGGCCAGGAGAATGGGTGGAAGGGGACAAGTAGCCACTTTTTCTGTTTATTTTTCCACTCTAAAGCTATTATACCCAGACCTCAGGGAAAAGATGCATGGTATTATAACTGCTTACTTAATTGTCTGCCTCTCCCACTAGACTGTAAACTTCGTGAGAGTGGGGACCACATCTGCCTTGTTTATCACTGTATCCCTGGTACCTGGCACAGTGCCTGGCATACAGCAGACACTAAATAAATGGGTTGAATTGATAAATATTCAGGGAATGAGGTAGGCTGTCTGAGGAAATCCTGATCCTCACCAATCTCTTGAACTGGGCACACCTCTCGCAAATTATACCCAAGTTGCTCTTCCAAGGTTTGGAATTGGTCATTTGATGACTCCTGAGCTGCTCCTGGAGTTGCCTTCTCCTTTACAAACTCTTCCTGTTCATGAGCATGGCTCAGGACCTGGTGGAAATCAAGGACAGTTGGGAACCCAATATCAGAGAGAACATGGCAAGGAGGCCTCCTCAGGGCCGCTGGATAGAAAAGAAGGACCAAGAAGCTGGCAAAGAAAAAACAGAGGCAGAGAGACTAAAAGCCTACAGAAGATCAAGTCTGGCATAAAAAAAAAATCCTCCTCCTCTACCTTTTCTTGTTGCACTGAAACCCCATACTTGTTCTTATAGGTACAAATCCCTGTTCTCCCATCTTCTCACCTGCTCTCCTGGGTCATCCAGCTCTCTCTCCAAATCCTCCAGCACAGTCACTGCCTCCTCTCCACTCACAGGACGGTGCTGTCTGACCCAGGCCTGGAGCTCCTCAGGCAGGATAGTCAGGAACTGCTCCAGCACCAGCAGCTCTAGGATCTGCTCCTTGGTGTGCATCTCTGGTCTCAGCCACTGATGGCAGAGCTCCTGGAGTCTTTGAAGAGCCTCCCGGGGCCCAGGGGACTCCTGATAGCAGAACTGCCTGAAGCGTCTACGAAAGATCTCTCTGGTATGAGGGTTATTTCTTGACAGGCCTGATTCTGGCCCACAGGAATGTTCCTCCTCTTCCTCCTTTACCTTCACTGCCAGAAGTCCTTCCTGCATCTCTGCAGTCTGAAGGGTCAAGGTTATGGCCATCAAAGGTTTAACTATTCAGAAAAATAATCTATTCTTGATAATTCTCCCTTGATCTTTTCTTCTGGAAACCCCGAGATCTAGACAATAATTTACGAAGAAAAAAATATAAAAATGCAGAAAACCTCAGGACAAGGAGGGACTGGAGTATTTACACTAAAATCAGTCACTCTGTCTCATGAAGGAACACCAAAACCTGATTAATGATAGATACTTTAGAAATACAAATCCAGATAATATAGGAAGAAAAAAGAAATGGAACAAAAACGCCTACAGTTTTCTGAAGGAAGGTACTGTTTCAATCATCCTGACCGAAACAGCTCAAATCAGCTTGAGTATATTGGGTTTCCATTTGAATAGCAAGATACTAAATTCAGGGTAAATTTTAGCTGTATGAAGGTAAAAAAACACTTTGGGCCCAAGTGGTCACAGATGACACCAAGAATCAAGAAGAAAAGGGAAACAAATGGAGGATGGAGGGAAAGTAAAGAATATAAAAAGAATAAGAACCGTAAGAAATGCACTTGGAGAGAGGAGGCAGAGTCCCTCCAGCCATAGAAGGTAGAGTCCCTCCAGCCATAGGAGGTATGGAGGAGGGAGATCTAGGTTTAAAGTGTGTAAGGTCTTGGACTGAGACATCAACCTGCAGGTATTCCCTCCAGAGTCTTGGGCTTCATGTTTTGAGCCTTGGTCTCTTCAATCTATAAAACAGGAATCCTAAAACCAACACTGCCTATCTTTCTAGGTTGATACAAAGATAAAACGAGGATAATGAGCACAAAGAAGTTGGCTACTTAGTAAACTCCAAAGTGGTAACACTTATTTTTCTTATGTTATTGTATGATTAAATGAATATCCTAGTGGTTTAAGGCTAAGGCAAAAGAATCAGAAAGTAGTTGACTGCAGTGGTCTAGGCTCAGAGATACTAAAATGACGGAAATATTGGTTCCAGTACTTTAAAACAGGAGTAGAATTTGACCTTTCTCTTGCCCTTTAATTTCTTTGAAACTTTTTCTCTTTGAAGCTACTTGAAGGTGGAGAGTAGGCAATTTTATGTAAAATAAAATTACTGCTAATAAAAAGACAAATGTCTATGACTCCTGAGGTCAGGAGTTCGAGAATAGCCTGGCCAACATGATGAAACCCCGTCTCTGCTAAAAAATACAAAAATTAGCTGGGCTTGGTGGCACACGCCTGTTATCCCAGCTACTCAGGAGGCTGAGGCTGGAGAATCGCTTGAACCCGGGAGGCAGAGGTTGCAGTGGACTGAGATCACACTACTGCACTCTAGCCTGGGCGACAGAGCAAGACTCTGTCTCAAAAAAACAAAAACAAAAACAAACAAACTTATGAGCAATCTTTACCAGGATAGTAATTAATGAAGAAAATTTTCTGAAAGAAAAACAATTATATGACCCAGTGATTTCTAAGCACCATCTTCGAGTAGAGACTTTCAAACTTTTTTGACCAGGACTCTTATTAAGAAATATTTTATATTATAACCCAGAACACACATGCATATGTATATATGTTTGTGCATTTATGAGATACACAAATACCTAAAATAATAATTTCACAAAACACTATGTATCCTTGCTCTATATAGTGACATACAATTATTTTTAAACCTATTTCATTAAAAGACAAAACAAAAAAGCCTGGGAACAGATTTTGTGGGTTATAAAATCTATGTGGTGGGTTGTGACACACCACATAGATTTTATGACCCACAAATGAATAATAACCTGTAGAATAAAATATTTTTGTTTTAAGTAAAATTGTTGTAATCCATTGCAAAAATAACCCTACTCTATTCTGTTTGTTGTTTTTTGTTTTTGTTTTTGTTTTTTTGAGAAGGAGTCTTGCTCTGTTGCCCAGGCTGGAGTACAGTGGCACAATCTCAGCTCACTGCAACCTCCGCCTCCTGGGTTCAAGCAATTCTCCTGCCTCAGCCTCCTGAGTAGCTGGTATTACAGGCACCCACTACCATGCCAGGCTAATTTTTGTATTTTTAGTAGAGACAGGGTTGTACCATGTTGGCCAGGCTGGTCTCGAACTCCTGACCGCAGATGATCCACCCGCCTTGGCCTCCCAATGTGCTGGGATTACAGGCATTAGCCACCGCGCCCAGCAACCCTACACTATTCTTAAGGTGTTGACATGCATTGTGAAATTAAATAACTAAGAATAGGGTATTTTATTAGTCTGTTCTCAAGCTGCTACTAAAGACATACCCAAGACTGGGTAATTTATAAAGGAAAGAGGTTTAATTGACCCACAGTTCAGCATGGCTGGGGAGGCCTCAGGAAACTTACAATCATGGTGGAAGGGGAAGCAAACATGTCCTTCTTCACATGCAGCAGCAGGAGAAGTGCCGAGCAAAAGGGGGAAAAGCCCCTTATAAAACCGTCAGATCTCATGAGAACGCACTGTCACCAGAATAGCATGAAGGTACCTGCCCCCATAATTAAATTGTCTCCTACCGGGTCCCTCCCACGACACATGGGGATTATGAGAAATTGGGAACTATAATTCAAGATGAGATTTGGATGGGGACACAGCCAAACCATATCAGGTATTTAAATTACAAGTGAACACTGATCACATTACAACCCGAAGAAAAATTAGATTCATATTGTGATTATTGGTTATATTTATCAAAGGGGAAACAAACTACTGGCATGGGACAGCATCCTTCCGGATAACCTGCACACATAATCCTCTCCATAAAGTTCTGACATCTTTGGTTTGGTTACCTTCTGTAATCACTACCCCAGGAAATGTACAGAGGATTTTTTTCCTCTAAAGACAGAATCTGCAAATTCATGTTTTCCCCCACTTTTTTTTTTTTTGAGACGGAATCTCACCCTGTCGCCCAGGCTGGAGTGCAACAGCACGATCTCAGCTCACTGCTTCCCAGGTTCAAATGATTCTCCCCTCAGCCTCCTGAGTAGCTGGGATTACAGGCACCCGCTACCATGCCTAGCTAATTTTTGTATTTTTTTGGTAGAGACAGGGTTTCACCATGTTGGCCAGGCTGGTTTCGAACTCCTGACCTCGTGATCTGCCTGCCTCAGCCTCCCAAACTGCTGGGATTACAGGTGTGAGCCACCACGCCCAGCCTTCCTCCACTTTTCTTGGTGCGACTCACCACCACTGTGACTACCATACTATCTTTTTCTGTCATAACTTTTCATACACCATTCATTCACTTGGCAGATATTTATTCAGAGCCTACCAGCAAATATATATTCAGAGCCTACCATATTCCATGTACTGTTCTAGGCACTGGGGATACAGCTGCAATTATAACGAAGTCCCTAGTCTCATGGAATTTACATCCTAATAACAGTATTAATAATAGCGGACATTTATAGTGCTTTTAACGTGCCAGGTATTGTTACAGATGCTTTATATATATTAACCCATTTAATCCTCAAAACAACCATGAATAAGGTGCTATTATTACCCCCATATCACAGATGAGAAAACTGAGATATGAAAAGTTTAAGTTACTAGTCCAAAGTTCAAGTCAGTTACAGATAGTAAGCAGTGAAGCTGCAATTCAAACCCAACAAATCTGACATCAGAATTTACAGTCTCCACTGCTACAACACTAACTTCTGTTGGGGAAAAGAGGGGCCAGGATGAGGAAAACGGGTCAGAGGAAACAGATAATAATTAAGTATTTGTGAAGTAGTGATAAATGCTATAGAGAAAATAAAGGTAAGGAGAGAGAGAGTAAGGGGAAAGAAAGGTTGCTATTTTATAGAGTCAGGGAAGGCCTTGATAAGGTAATGGTTGAACAGACCTGAAGGAAGTGAGGAGCAAGTCACATGGCTATCTGGAGAAAGACTGTTCCATGCAAAGGTAACTGCCAAGTGCAAATTTTTGCAGGTGGGAACACACCTGGATTCTTCAGGTAATAGCTAGTTGAACAATGGCTGGAACAAAGAAAACAAAAGGGAAAGTAACAGGAGATAAAGCAGGGAGCTTGGGAACTGATCATGAAAGGCAGTGGTAAGGGCTCTAACTTGTATTCTATGAGATATGGAAACCACTGGGGATTTTTGAGCCAAGGGGTAACAAAATTTTACTTCCATTTAACACAAAAGCATAACTCTAGCCGCTGTGTCAATGACCTTGGGGTTAAGTGGAGGCAGAGAGGGATGCTATGATAATCATCCAGGGAAGAGATCATCATGGCTTGAAACATGATCTGCTGAATTGGTTCTAGGGTAAGAAAGTTTTGTGGTAGAAATATCAAATAGCTAAATCCAGAATATGTACTCTCACATTACTCAATAAACGTACCATGGATTCAAAGGATGAAACAGCCACTTATGCTTTCTTGTTTTTTCAATCTTTTAGGGTCCGAAAATGTCTTTTTCTTATTTACCACCTGTGCCGCTTGGTTTCAAGTCAAAGTTTTTCTATTCAAAGGCAATGCAGCTGAAGCTTAGAGCTCTGCCCAGAAAAATTCATTTCTGGGATGTGGTGTTTCAAATCTTTATACAGTTTCCCAAATACAAATTTCCCTATTTTCTCTGTATACTCTGGGTTCATTTTTGCTTTCCTTCACCTGATTTTGCTTTTATCTGGTGGCCTTAATACCCAGATCCTTGCACCAGCATACCTGAGTTCTTCTTTGAACCTGGTGTCTCCAAAAGGCTTCCCCAGTTTTTTGTAATACTGCCCTCCTCGTCACAAACATAGAGTTCCTAATCTTCCATTCAGGATCACAACCTCAATGTATATGCCAGGTATATAATTAGCATAATAAGTCTTACCTTAAAAAATACATCTGCATTTTAAAGTTGGTTCCTCCTAGAGCCTCAGCAAGCTGAACACCCCCAAATCTACCATCATCCTCATGGAAGGATGCTGTTAACCAAGGACATGCACGTAGGTGAAGACTAAGCAGCATGTAATACAAATGTGCCTTTATCATCATATATCCCACGACCCTCACCTCCGCTGACACCATCTATGGCTCCTCACTAATTGGATGAATTCCCAAACTCTCAAGCACAGTTTAAAACCAGTCAGACCTTTAGCTTCTGTTGTCTGGCTCCACTCTTGGTTTCCTCTATTCCACAAGCAAAAACTCTCAGCTCCAGTCAGGTTTTTCTTCTCATTATTCTAATCAGGCGTTTCTCATCCCTGCGCCATGAGCTTGGTCTTGCCTTCTTCCCTTATTCGAACCTTACCCAATCTCTGCAGCTTGATTCAAATCTCACATCCTCTCTGAAGTCTTCTTTACCCATTTCAGCTCACCCTCTTCCAACTGCCCACTCATATGTCATGTACTGTATGAGTCCCACCTTTCACCCTCAGTCACAATTTATCTTGTACCATTACTTCTCTTCAGAACCTTTTTTAAATCCAAAAAGTAGAGAGGAATATAGAATTCTTTCACCAAGTTCTATTACCCTGAAATAAACAGTCTTAAATACTGGAATGTGTCCTTTTCTATGCATTTGCAATCGTATATACACATGTATACACATGTGCACACATAGAGTTGATATAAGCCCATATATTTTATTTACCTTAGACAAGCAGAAGGTAGTATGAGATAGCAGAGAACACAGGCAGATCTGGTTGTTAATTTTTTTTTTTTTTTTTTTGAGACAGAGTCTTGCTTTTGTTGCCCAGGCGGGAGTGCAGTGGTGCGATCTCGGCTCACTTGCAACCTCTGCCTCCCAGGTTCAAGCAATCCTCCTGCCTCAGCTTCCGGAGTAGCTGGGATTACAGGGACCCACCACCACTCCTGGCTCATTTTTGCATTTTTAGTAGGATGGAGTTTCACCATATGGGTCAGGCTGGTCTCGAACTCCCGACCTCACGTGATCTGCCCACCTCGGCCTCCCAAAGTGCTGGGATTACAGGCATGAACCATAGTGCCAGGCCATCTGTGAATTTTAACGCAGTGATCTTGGGCAAGTTAGTTGATTTTTCTAAGCCTCAAGCTCATATATGAAATGAGGTCAACAACTGCCTTGCCAACTTGTTGAGAATATTAAATGAGATAATGCATACAAAGTGTTTTTGCACAAAACCTGGCATATAAACATGCAAATTAATCTTTTAATAAGATAATGTACAATTTTGGTACAATGGTAGTTTAATTAATAGTTGCTACTTTCCCTTAGGGCCAAGACTGTAATCTTTTTCTATTGCTCAAAGAACAAGATGAGTGGGTGAAAACATGCACACAAACCAATAAAACGGCTGTTTCATCAGGTTTGCAGAAACACTGAAAGATATACGTCTTCAGATATATTCTCTCCAATCAAATCCTAACTAGAAGCCCAGGACTACTGAGGTACAAAAGAAGGACGGGATTCAAATGAGCGAAGTAACTTCCCGGGTTATAGCTGTAAAGCTAATATAGGAACAGAGTGGAGTTAGCATAGCAAAGGTTTTAAGAAAATGGAGTCTGGAGCCAAATTGCCTGTATTTGAATCCTGCCTACACCCCTTACTCGCTCTACGACCTTGGGCAAGTTACTAACTTCATTTTCTTCTTGTATGTTAATTTTAAAAAGGGGCGGGACAGAGAGGTGGGGTGTAGTCTACATAATAATAGTGTCTATCTCATAGAGTTATGAGAAGCAGATAATATTTGTAAAGTGCTTAGAACAGTGCTGGGCTGGCACATAGTAGATGCTATTTATTCTTTTAAAAAATTCGATAGCAGCAAGAGCCTTTATACTATGTGAGTTAGACTAAGAAAGGCTGTGGCATAGTTTAAAACTATCCCTGCTCATTCTTTAAAATAAGTCCACAGTAGAGAATAAGACATCGGAAAATACAAACATTTCTTCATATCCGAATCTATTTGAATCCTAAGATGCAGATACGGAGAGTTCAGAGTGCCATCAGTACAGGGCAGAGAGGTTGAAGAGCTCAGGAACAGACATAGGGTGGGGGAAAGGGGTAGGGGCAACGACGCTGACTTTTGGTTAACAAAGCCCTTCCAGGCTGCGGAGCAACCTCCTCTGCCCTTCACCTGCCCGGCCCATCTCTGGCCAAGAAGACCCTGCCGCCAAATCCCCACACCCAGTCCAGGTCGCAGTGCACAGACTGGCCCTTCCGAAGCCCCTCAGCGGTAGCCCGACTCCGAAGCTCACCGAGGCATCCGTGAGAGGAGATGCCACCTAGCGCAGATCACATCTGCTCTGAATCCTTGACAACCGCAGCCCAAAGAATGATAAACTACAAAGGCCGGAAATGCGTCACCGCGGCCCGCTCTCCGCGAAACAGCGGTTCCGGCTGTGTTCCTTCTAGGAAGGCCGGAGGTTTCCACACCTCTGTGGTCGTCACTCTGAATCCCGTCTGTAGTCTTAAGTGAGATACTAGGTGACACATTGTCTTCCACGCGGCAATATAATAACGGCCAACATAGTGTTTTAACACGTATTAATTCATTACCCCGCATAACAACCCTGTGAGTTAGGTACAATTATCTCCATTTAACAGGTGAGGAAACTGAAGCACATTTCTACATTTATTAGTTGCCATTTCCTGCAAAGAATACCCTTTCTTTTCCCTGCCGTCTCATTTTATCACGATGAACTCATGGATTCCTTTACAAATAATTACTGTTATTATTATGTTGATGCTCAAATTATTTAAAATTTGGTCAGTTGGAGCCCTTTCACACTGCTCCCTCTCTTTTCTTTTTTTGACAAAGTCTCCAGGCTGGAGTGCAGTGGATGCGATCTCAGCTCACTGCAACCTCCGCATTCCGGGTTCAAGTGATCCTCCTGTCTCGGCCTCCTGAGTATCTGGGATTACAAGAACACACCACTATGCCTTAGTGAGGCTGGTCTTGAACTCCTGTCCCTCAAGTGATCCGCTCCCTCGGCCTCCGAAAGGGCTGGGATTACAGAAGTGAGCCACCGCACCCGGCCACAAACAGGTTTCTATGTCCTTTGATAAGTTCCCAACAGTTTTTGTGCACTTCACTTTCTCACAAAAGATATTTCAGTCCCATTTTATACTATTCCTACCCTAAACCTAGAATCACCATTGCTTCATGAAGCTACAGTACATCAGTGAAAAATGGTATATAGAAACCAAGATCTGGATTTCGGGCAATGAATAACCTCATTGCTACTGTGTCTGGCATTGGTTCCTGCCAGTCTACTGTGTCCAGAATTGGCTCCTTCCAGTGGGTTCCTGCTCTGACTTCAAGAATGAAGCCGCGGATACTCACGGTGAGCATTACAGTTCTTAAAGATGGTGTGTCTGGACTTTGTTCCTTCTGCTGTTCAGATGCGTCCAGAGTTTCTTCCTTCCGGTGGGTTCGTGGTCTCACTTGACTTCAGGAGTGAGGTCGTAAACCTTTGCAGTGAGTGTTACAACTCCTAAGGGTGGCGTGCCTGCAGTTGCTTCTTCCTTCTGGTGGGTTCGTGGTCTCGCTGACTTAAGGACTGAAGCTGCAGACCATCGTAGTGAGCATTACAATGCTTAAAAGTAGTGCAGACCCAAAAACTGAAAAGTGGTAAGGTTTTATTGTGAAAAGGGAAAGAACAAAGATCCCACAGCACAAAAATCAATGCTAGCAGGTTGTCACTGCTGACTGGGGCGGGGGTGGTAGCCAGCTTTTATTCCCTTATTCAGCCCCGCCCACATCCTGCTGATTGGCCCATTTTACAGAGTGCTGATTGGTCCATCTTTACAGAGTGCCGCTTGGTGTGTTTACAAACCTTTAGCTAGACACAGAGTGCTGATTGGTGCATTTTTACAGAGTGCTGATTGGTGCATTTACAAATCTTCAGCTAGACACAGAGTGCTGATTGGTGCATTTACAAATCTTCAGCTAGACACAGTGCTGATTGGTGTGTTTACAATCCTTTAGCTAGACAGAAAAGTTCTCCATGTCCCCACCCTAACCGGAAGCCCAGCCAGCTTCACCTCTCACTACTAGGACATATTATTGCCTCTAGGCTCCTTCAGTGTACAAGAGCTAGAATATATGAATATGTTATATATATAATATATTATATATAATACGTATTATATATTATCCTATATATCATATATTATATATTATATATAATACATATTACATATTATCCTATATATTATATATTATATACGGAGGATTTTATATTATATATATGTGTATTATATATAACATATATAATATATTATATACTATATATTATGTACATAATATATATTATATACAGATATAAAATCCTCCATATACATATATAATATATATATGGAGGATTTTATAAGATACTTTCTGTTCAAAAACAACTCCACAGAATTCTTTTACATTTTTCACCGTTGCACATTTGTTTTTTTTCTTTTCACCCACAGTGAAAACTCTGGCTCCCAACAGCATAAATAAATTCACTCAAACAAAATAGTTTCTTATAAACAAAATAGTTTCAAGATTATAATACCAATACATCACTAGCAATAACATATCTACTATGTAGAATTCAAAATTTCTTTGCTTGTTTTGTTTTTGAATTATATCCCATTAAGGGAGTATAGCTGTATAAATACCTTATTTGAATTAATTATTTTCTCTGTGGTTATATTTTAAACGATATATGGTTAGGAGCATTTGTTTCTGTTTATATTCCATTTCAGGGTTTGCTTTCATCCCTTTTTAATTTTTTTGACAATTCAAAACATTTACTTAGTTCAAAATCCACACTATATAAAAAGGTATGTTTAGAGGAGTTCTGCTTCCATCCCCAGTCCCTTTACCACATATACTCATACCCAATTTTCATTATTTATTTATCCTCTCCTTCCTTCCTTCTTCATTCCCTCCTCCCTTCCCTACTTTTTCTCTTTTTTCTTGCAAAAATGAGTATTTATCTTCTGTACCCCATAAGTTATGTTATATACATTCTTTCATGCCTTGCTTTATCATCTAACAGAAAAGCCTAGAAATGTCCTGTTTTTGAAGTAGTCCTCTTTTTTCACACCTGCATAATAACTCATTCTGTGGATGTACCATAATTTTTTTAACCAGTTTCTTGGGGGTGGGTATTTGGATTACTTCCAATATTTTGCTTTAACAAATAATGCTGCAATGAACAATAAGAGAGAGACTTTTGTAGAGGTTGTGTTATTTTGTACTCTCAACAGCAAAGTGTGAGAGTGCCTGTCTTCACACAGCCTCATGATCTGTATGTTTTCAGGCTTTTACATATTGCCAGTATGATAGGTCCTTTGATATTTCTTAAGGAATCACAAACGCAATGCTGAAATCCCTGCTAGAAATGGATTCACAGTGCCAAATTTCAGCAAGGATTATGGAACAATGGGAATTTTCACATATTTTTCATGAGAGTGTACATTGGTGAAACCATTTTGGGGAAACTCTGGCATATCTACTAAAGTTGAATGTATGCGTATTCTGTGACCCAGCCACCAGAAACGCATATGTGCTTGCATCTAAAGACATGTCTTAGAAGCATTTTTTGGTGATTGCTTTAAACTGGAAACAACCCTAATGTCCATTAACAGTAGGATGGGTTTTAAAAAAAAGTTTATTCAGACAACTGAATACTATGTAACAACGAAAATGAATGAACTACAGCTACAAACCACGTTGATAAATTTCACAAACATAATAGTAAAAGGAGCCAGAATAGTGAGTAAAAGAAGACAAAAAACACGACATTTGACCTCTCGTCCCTGAGAGGCGGGTGGTTGTTAGTTCAGGGGGTTATGGGAGGGCTCTGGCATCCGGGATGGAGGCGCGTCGCTTTCTGTGGCTGGCGCTGGATCCACCCTGGGTCTCCAGCCACGGCTGCAGAGAGGGTAGCGCGGTTTCTTAGGCCAGAGTGGAGTGGGACAGGAGGTGCCCAGAGACGACTGTGGTGGCTTGAGACATGGAAGCGCTGCAGCCTTTGAGCCCAGTATCCAGCATTGCAGCCGCCGCGGCGGTCTAAGAGCTCAAACCCTTTCAGGCGCGCGCAGGAGGAGGAGCGGCGGGGGCGGCGGAACAAGACGACCCTCACTTAACGTGGCCGCTGTCGCCGTGGGCATGCTGGGGGCGTCCTACGCTGCCGTTCCCCTTTATCGGCTCTATTGCCAGACTACTGGACTTGGAGGATCAGCAGTTTCAGGTCATGCCTCAGACCAGATTGAAAACATGGTGCCTGTTAAGGATCGAATCATTAAAATTAACTTTGATGCAGATGTGCATGCAAGTCTTCAGTGGAACTTTAGACTTCAGCAAACAGAAATATATGTGGTGCCAGGAGACACTGCACTGGGGTTTTACAGAGCTAAGAATCCTGCTGACAAACCACTAATTGGAATTTCTACATACAATGTTGTTCCATTTGAAGCTGGACAGTATTTCAATAAAATACAGTGCTTCTGTTTTGAAGAACAAAGGCTTAATCCCCAAGAGGAAGTAGATATGCCAGTGTTTTTCTACATTGATCCTGAATTTGCTAAAGACCCAAGAATGATTAATGTTGATCTTATCACTCTTTCTTACACTTTTTTTGAAGCAAAGGAAGGGCACAATTTGCCAGTTCCAGGATATAACTGAAGTCAGCAACTAAGTCTTCCTTCAAAGTTGTGATTTTTGGGAAAATCATGTATCCTATCTTCTCAAAGGAGAAATATTGTACAATAATATGAAGACTTATATTTTAAATAATTATTTTTTCTCAACTAATTTATTTCACTTAAAATTGAGAGAACAAGTTCAGCTTTTATCATAACAAACCCACATGCCTAGCTAGAATATATGAGTGACTATTCAATACCATACTGAAGAGTTTGATAGCATTAAAATAAGCCGCTTTGTTTTTTAAATATGCAGGCATGGGTTCAGCTTAATTCTATAATTCCCTTCCAGATTATTAACTCTTCATACTTATAGCAAAGAATCTGACAATGTTTTTCAAAAATGAATGCTCAGGGTTATTTGTTTCAAGTCATAGGCCAGAACTTCTGACCATGTTTATTATGTCTAAAAGAGTTGGTTGCTATTTTCCTTCATTATAAACAGTCAGTATTTTAAAAGCTCAAAGTAGAAGAGGAGTCACCAAGCCCTAACAGCTTGTCCAAAGATTTAAATTCTTATTTCAAATTTGATTTGTCCTTTAAGATTTAGGGCTATTTTATATTCAGAGTTCTGAATAATTACTTTGAAATTGTAGTATCATGAAATTGAAATAAAATACATCTACTAGGCTGCTAGCCAAAGCATCATCATTACAAGTCCATGAATGCTAAAATGTACAAGTGGGATTGTGAAGATTTACTGACATCAAAAGTTCTTCTGGAAACAAACCTTTGTAAAAAAAAAAGTGTAAATTATTTTAATAGTGATTTATTTGTCATCAAATGTACAACTTATTCTGAATATTTTCATTTTCTGTGTTCCAAACAGAAATGTTAAGTTGCAGTAAAAAGAGAAAAAAAGACTATTTAGAATTACAAAGAATCATATTTAAAGGCTGCCCAATGTAGAGTCTAGTGACCTGTTCAGGACACCTGAAATATAATTAAATGACAACATCAAGGTTTTAACAATTTATAATTCCAAACCAGAGGATTATAAAGAAGTGCAAATTGACTTTTACATTCAACTTTAGTTAAATGAAGGCACTCAATATTCTTCCTGAATAATACATTCAGTTTCTCACATTTTATGTTTTCATCTGTTCCAATTATTTTGTAGTAAAATAATCTACTCTTATCACAGCTGTGTGACGATTTCTAAATGTAGGAAGGCCTGTGAAACATATGACACTGCAGTTAAATTTGTTGGCCTAAGGACTAAGTAATTTTTCTTCTGCTGAAGTTTTAAGTGAGTATTTGTTCCAAACAAGTTCTGTTGAAATCTCACGCTGTTGTCAGGAATCAATGTTATCCTGGAACTGTTATTCTTCTATTTAATCTTCATCATAGCAGAAATGCTCCACTGTGGCTTTGACATGTTGGTAGGTATTGTCTTCCAGGCTTCAAAGCTGCACAGAGTCTACCCTTTAGAGAATTGGCACCTTTGATGTGGCTAGTGAGCTGATCATCTACTTTCTTCTAAAATAAAGAGAAGAAAATGAAAAAAAAAAAAAAAGATGAAAAACACACCCTTCATGATTTCATTTCTATAAGGTTCAGAACAGAATAAACCAATATCTGATGTTAGAAGTCACAACAGGGAGAAGGAAAGGAACAAAGTTTAGCAGGGAGCACAACTGGGCCTTGTGGGGCACAGGTAACGGTTCTATTTCTTGACCTTGGTAGTGGTTATATGAATGGTTTTACTTTGCAGTATTTCATTTCACTGTGCACATATTGCTATGTATTTCTAAGTATATGCATATTTCAATAATTTTTTTAAAAATATGCAAACTACTCATTTTAAAGCTGAAAGAACCAGAGCTCAGATACATGAAGTGTGTTGCTGAGCTCAACAGACCCAGGACTCATATCCAGTTTTCCTGATCCGCTAGCTCCCTTGGCTTTGAGGGGTTAGTTAACTAGGTACCCTTACATGTGGATCTTTTTTTTTTTTTTTTTTTTTTCTGAGATGGAGTCTTGCTCTTGTTGCCCAGGCTGGAGCGCAATGGCATAATCTCAACTCGCCGCAACCTCCACCTCCCAGGTTCAAGCGATTCTCCTGCCTCAGCCTCCCGATAGCTAGGATTACAGGCGCCCACCACCATGCCTGGCGAATTTTTGTGTTTTTATTAGAGACGAGGTTTCGCCATGTTAGCCAGGCTGGTTTCGAACTCCTGACCTCGGGTGATCCACCCACCTTGGCCTCCCAAAGTGTTGGGATTACAGGTGTGAGCCACCGCACCTGGCCATATTTTCTTTATACCTCTAGAATCCTACTAGAAAGTGTTGTGAGTCATCTGGAATGATTATTAAGCATTATTTAAAATGGCCCCAACGTGTTTATTTTAATAGCTAATTTATTAACAGTCATACTATTCCAGTTTGTATCATCATGAACAAGTTAGCAATATACACTTTTTTTTTTTTGAGATGGAGTCTCGCTCTGTCACCCAGGCTGGAGTGCAGTGGTGCAAGCTCCGCCTCCCGGGTTCACGCCATTCTCCTGCCTCAACCTCCCAAGTAGCTGGGACTACAGGCACCTGCCACCGCACCCGGCTAATTTTTTGTATTTTTAGTAGAGACTAAAATACAAAATAGTTTCACCATGTTAGCCAGGATGGTCTCCATCTCCTAACCTCGTTATCCAGCAATATACATTCTTATGCACGCCTGTTTTGCACAGACAATTTTATTTATAGGACATAGGTTCTCATAAATAGTATTGATAGATGGAAAAACATATGTATTTTTAGCAATAGATGCTGTTAGTTTGCTTTCCAAAAGGCTGTAACCACCTCACACTTCAAAGAGCAACAAGTGTTACAACTTTTCTAAATTTTTGGTCAGTTTACTGGTATCTCATTTTATTTGTGGATGTGTCTCAAATTCACATCTCCAGATTTGATTTGAATCCATGATTGAATGTCATGATTGTTTTTCCTTCTATGTTTAAGTGCCTTAAAGGCATCTCAAACAAAACATGTTCAAAGCCAAACTTGTAATCTCTGCACCCAAATCTGATCTTCTTCCAACATCCCTTTTGTTCACTTGTCCAAATCAGAAACTTGGGCATTTCTGTTTTTTAACCCTCACATAAAATCCATCAAACTCCTATCAAATTTATCTTCAAAATATTTATGTACTTATTTATTTTATTGATGCATAATATTTGTACGTATTTATGGGGTACAGGTGATATTTTGTTGCATGCATAGAATGTGTAATGCTCAAGTCAGGGTATTTAGGATATCCATCACTACAAGCATTTATCACTTCTATCTGTTGAGAACATTTCAAGTCCTCACTTCTAGCTATTTTAAAATGTATGATAAATCGTTAACTATAGTCACCCTACTCAACTAACATTAGAATTTATTCCTTTAATGTAACCGTATGTTTGTATCCATTAACCAACCTCTCTTCACCCCCACACCTACATCCTTCCCAGCCTCTAATAACTATCATTCTACTGTCTGCCTTCATTAGATCAACTTTTTTAGTTCCCGCATGTGAGTATATGTGATACTTGTCTTTCTGTGTCTGGCTTATTTCACGTAGCATAATAATCTCCAGTTCTATTCACGTTGCTGCAAATGATATGATTTTCTTCTTTTTTAATGGTGGAATAATATTTCATTACTTAAATGTACCACATTTTCTTTATCCATTCATCCACTGATGGACATGTACATTGATCTGGTATCTTTGCTATTGTGAATAATACTGCAATAAACATGGGGGTCCATGGACCTCTTTGATATATTGATTTCCTTTCCTTTTGATAAATACCAGGAGTGGGATTGTTGGATTGATAGTTCTATTTTTAGTTTGTGAGAAACTCCATAGTGTTTTCCATAATGGCTATACAATTTACACTCCCACCAACAGTGTATGAAAGTTCCCCTTTCTCTGCATCCTCATTAGCATGTTTTTTTTTCATCTTTTGATAATAGCCATTCTAACTGGAATCATATGATACCTCATTGTAGTTTGATTTGCATTTCCCTGATGATTAGTAATGTTGAGGTGGTGCATGCCTGCAGTCCCAGCTACTCAGGAGGCTGAGATGGGAGGATCGCTTGAGGCCAGGAAGTAGAGGCCTCAGTGAGCTGTGATTGTGCCACTGCACTCCACTCCAGCTGAGCAACAGAATAAGACCCTGTCTGAAAAAGTAAAGAAAAGAAAGAGAGAAAGACAAAAAAGAAATGGCAACCATCATCCCAGAATTTGATGGCTTTCATTTTTGTGCATTTTAGATTGTGCATCTATCTATAACTTTAAAAATATCCGTAAGTGGTGTGTGTGTGTGTGTGTCTATATATATATATATTTTAAAACTATTTCTTTACTAATCTGTTTTGCTTAACGCTTTACATGTTTTGTGTTTTGTTTTGTTTTGTTTGAGAAGGAGTCTCGCTGTGTCACCCAGGCTGGAGTGCAGTGGCGCAATCTTGGCTCACTGTGACCCCCGCCTCCTGGGTTCAAGCGATTCTACTGCCTCAGCCTCCTGAGTAGCTGGGATTACAGGCATGTGCCACCATGCCCAGCTAATTTTTGTATTTCAGTAGAGACGGGGGTTTCACCATTTTGGTCAGGCTGGTCTCGAACTCCTTCCTGGCTTTGTGATCTGCCCACCTTGGCCTCCCAAAGTGCTGGGATTATAGGCGTGAGCCACCACGCCTGGTCGTTTTCACTACTGTACACTATTCCAGATTATAAATGTACCCCAATTTACTCATCATTCTCCTATTGGTGTGAATTAAATTGTTTACAAACAATGTTGTCATGAACATTCTTGTACATCTTCTTTTGTGCATGTGTGAGGACATCACTAGTGCATTTAGCTTTTTTAAAATGACATTTACCCAATAGTGAAATTGCTGAAGGGGATATGTTTCTCTTTATTGTATTGGATGTTGTGAATATTTGACATATTTGTGGCTACCCAGAATACTTGGAGCACCCTTCCTATAGCTATGACTTTCCCCCATTATAACTTCTACCTTTTTAAGGTAGGTGCTAGAAAAACCCATTTTTTAACTTCTTCTGCAGGTAGTGAGCAGGCATGTAACATAGGTTTTGCCAATAAGATGCATTCATGAAAAACTTCAATTTAGAAGAGAGCACTGTGAGGAAGGGGATGCTATGCCGAATTCTGTAAATGAGGTAGCAGTGTGGTCATGTTAAGAACTTTTAGAAGCAAAAGTGACCAAGATCCATGCTGTAGTGTCCTGTGTTTCGTGTTCATATTGAAAGTGATGATAATTATCCACTGTTGTGGGATTGCTTGTATGAGCAGTCTGGGAGTGAAATTTGGGCATTTTTTTTCCTGACTGCATAATTCTAGTGTTTCTCTGGCCTTTCAGGAGACTCTAAGTCAACTGATATTCTTAATAAATTCTTATACTATTTCATCTGTAGAGTGGATTCTGATGCTTGCAACTAAGAATTCTAACAGAAACAGTTATTCTCAACCCTTCTTCTCTCATGGTACATAAGTAAGTGACAATTGTATAACAAACTGGAAGTGATGTATAAAGCTGCTTGTGGCTAGAAGCAACCAGAACTATAGTTATTAATTTCCTATGGTCTTGCCTGGCCTCTGTAAGGAGATCCGTATCTCAACAGCACACCTGTCACACATTCATAGCCCAACTATGTGCCACAGTGGGCTAGCTGGAAATCTGTGCACTAGATATTGCTAACTTATTCTCAGTTTATACTCCTTCTAATAGTGTGTGAGAGTTCTTGCTGGTCAACGTCCTCTTTGACCTTTTTTTTTTTTTTTTTGAGACAGAGTCTGGCTCTGTCGCCTATGGAGTACAGTGGCTTCTTCGACTTTTGATATCCCTGGACTTTAAAACTTATTCCGGTTTTATTGGTATAATTTTATATATGATTTTTAAAATTTGCATTTTTCTATTACTAGTGAGAATCTTCTAATTTGTATTTCCTTATTCGTTAATTACTGGTTTCATATCATTTTATGCTTTCCTCTTTGACTGCTGGTCTTTTTATTACTGATTTATAAAAAGCTCTTTACACGTCTTTGATATTTAGGATTCTTCACTTGCCTGGGTTGCTTTGAAGGCTGCAAGAGCATTTGTAGTAATTATACATTCATAATTTTGTATTCTACTTTTGAAAAGGGTCCCCCAGATTATACAGGATTCAGGTTCTACAAAACCTGGATCCATCTCTGACATCCCAATTGGAGGCCTATCTCTCTGTTTTGCTTATTGGTGTCTTCTGAGGCACAGAAGATTTTATGGTTAATTTAGTTAAATTTATTTTTATTTTTATATGGATTGTACTATTTGGATATTGTTTAAGAAAAATTTTTCTAACCCTATAAGATTAAAATATGATCTTATATTTTTTTCAAATGATATAAAATTTTGTTTTTATAAAGTAATATTTTACATTTAGGATACATTTTGGAGGGGTATGATATGAGTCAGTGATTCCATTTTATTTGTATTTTTCTGCATGAATACTCAATTGTCTCACACTTGTTATTGAATAATTCATTTTTCTTCACTAATCCTCAGGCCCATTTATTTATGAATAAAAGTATTTTTTTCTCTTGGTTTTTTGTTCTGTTCTGTTTGTCTAGTTGTCCATCTATGACTACAGTTGAACAAGGGTATATCAAGAGGCAACTAAGTGAACCATCTGAGCTTCATATGTATTCCACCCTGATCTCACTATGTAAAAACAGCTCTACCTTCTCTTCTCTTCTCTTCTCTTCTCTTCTCTTCTCTTCTGATCCCTGGACACAAAGATCTCAAAATGCCTAGGTGGCAGTTGTAGCTTTTACTTCAATGGGCTTCTTGCTATATCCCCTGGCAAGAGTGGACTGTCTTTGAGACTAGGAGTCTAATTTTGCCAAGCTCAGAATTGTGGGAATGGGAAATACAAATCCCCAAGTGGTCTACTGGAAGTAATGATTAATGGGGCCACTCCTGCTTCCATGTTTTGGTTCCTGGACTCACGTTTTCTTCCTTTTGGAGACACAGCACCATTTAGGAGCTCTAATTCAGTAGTACATACATTGCATCCTGGAGAATGCCGTATTACCTCTGAGCTGGTGCTGCAGCTGTGCCTTCAGCAAGCCAGTTCAACTCTCTGTCAGATCAGGTGCTTCTAGATAATGTGGTTTGGAATAGGACCAGTGAGTCCCATCATTATGGGCTTACTGGAAGCGGGTCTCCTCACCAGTTTGTATGGTCACACACTAGCTTTTGTGAGATTCCATGCATATGAACCCAAATATCCCTATATAGTGGTCTTGACTGGGGCTATATGAACAAGAATGTTAAACCCATACCAAGAATAGCTAAGACATTGAAAGTCTTAGCATTGGTATCTATTGCTGGAACTTTGGACCTTTACAGGCAGCATCTGTTATTTCTGCTTTAGTAAATGGGAGTTTATTCTATTGCACTCTTGTGTAGTCTTTATCTCTGCCACCTTGGCCACTCCATTCACATGCTCATTGTGCTAGTTATGTGTCTGCTGGTTGTTATGATAATTGCAGTCCCTTGGTTGCTGGTGTTTAAGCTCTACCTTCTTACTTCACGTCCCCATTGCCAGCCAATGGGGAGCTCTAGAATAAAGGTTTCTCACTAGAGAAGTCCCAGGTATGCGAGAAATTGGCAGGCCCTGGTATCTTCACCATCTTCAATCTTTGGTTTGGAGCTCCCCAGCATGAAGTTGGCCTCAGATAGAATGCTGTAGCAGATCTCAAAGGTTGTTACAGTTAGAGACTGTTAGGTGACAGACTCTAACTAAAGGAAGATCTGAGCTATACACCTCTACAGGGGCAACTGAATTGTGATTGTTGACTGCAGCAGTGAATTGGCCAGACCAATTAGCCAAGCAGTGCTGGACAGGTGCAGGCAGACCTTATGGTCTATGATTATAGTGTACCTTGGAGGCTTACAGACAGCCACATAGCAGTCTAAGGCCACGATGCCAAGAAGGACACATTCAATACAGGCTAGCCAGTGAAATACATAGGCCTGGGCCATACAGCCTATTTAAGTGATGTTCTTGTTGGGCCCCCTAAATTGAACAGCATTTGAGGTACTGTTGTGGTGGTGAAACAGAGATATAAGACGGAAAGACTGGTGAGAAGGAAATACATAGGACTATGAAGTTGGGAATCTAGTTGAGAGACCAGAATAATAGCACTATTTCCCAACAATGTGAACATGTAGAAGGTCAAGAGGACACAGAAGAGAAGAAAATCCAGCCATGGATATTTGACAAAGCCCATGAGAATGAAATCCTCTGGGAAACTTTCATTCAAGTACTTCACTGAATCTCAGTGACACCAACCTGCTAAAATCAGGTAAGATAAGAGTGATTTTTAAAATGTTCTGAGTTGGTAGAAGTTCTGAAGACAGAACTTTTTCTAGGAAAAAATAGTTTTAGTAGGGAGAGATGGGACACACCCTAAATAGAAATCATAACAATAATAATGAATAATGAATCAGTGAATGAATGAATGAATATAATAATTACTATAATTAACATTATGAAGTAATATTTGAAAAGCTCTTTCAGTAAAGAAAGTGGTTTCACATTTTTCCCCCAACTCAAAACCATGTGTGATAGGTTAGTAGACTTTAGTTGTTATGGCTTTTATGTCTGACTAAGGAAACCAGTGGAAGGTGGGCTGCATATTCTCCCAGATGCCTGGCAGCAAAGGGAGTATGTCACCTCAGTTTGGTTAATCACATGATTCTACCCCTGACTTGAGTCTGGGTAGAAATTATGCAAAAGAATGAAGAAGGAGAAAGGGATTGTCAAAAGTACAGAGAAGCTGCCTTCCTGGATTGATGTCCCATAATGACAACTTCAAACGATGTGTCCTATATGCTTTCTTCCAGGGGTGGCATCTTGGTTGTTTTGCTTCTCCTCATTTCTGCCTTTTGTGTGTGTGCCAAGTTTTATTCTTTACCCTTCTTATTGATTCTATGAACTACTACTCTTCTAATATTTTCTTTTTGCTTATCTTTTTGTTATCAGACTTGCTTTTCTTGTTTACAACTGACTGATACAGAAAATGGCACCAGATAATAAATTGAAAATATTCTGCAGGTCTCTTCTAAGTCAGAGCACTGATGATAAAGAGTAGGACCCAAGAATTAGAATGAGGGTATATGGTACATACACAGTGTTCATGATACCCCACCCCCACCTTCCTATTCTAGACAAGATGGTCTTCCTCTTTTGTCTGATAAAGTTGCCTTGCTTGAAAATCCCATACCATCAAGAGAATGAAAAGAAAATCCATAGACTGAAAGAAAAAGTATTTGCGGAAGACATATTTGATAAAAGACTGTTAAAAATACATCAAAAACGCCAAAAAAAATCAATGATAAGTGAAACAGACAACCCAACTAAAACATGGGCCAAGGTTTTAACAGACAGCTCACCAAAAAAAATATACAGATGGCAAATAAGCATATAAAAAGATGTTCCACATCGTATGTCATCAGGGACATGCAAATTGAAAGAATGAGATACCACTACACACCTAAAATGTTTGAAATTCAGAACACTGATGACACCAAATACCAGTTCAGGTGTGGAGCACCAGGAATTCTCATTCATTGCTGGTAGAGAATGCAAGATGATACAGTCACTTGGAAGACACTTTGGTGATTTCTCACAAAACTAAACATAATCTTACCATATGACCTAGAAGTTGCAGTCTTTGGTATTTATTCAAAGGAGTTAAAACCTTACGTCCACACAAAAATGTGCACACAGATGTTTATAGCTGCTTTATTCATAATTGCCAAAACTTGGAAGCAACCAAGATATCCTTCAGTAGGTAAATAGATAACTATGGAACACCCAGACAATGAGATATTATTCAATGCTAAAGATAAATGAACTATGAAGTCATAAAAAGACATGCAGGAAACTTAAATGCATATTGCTAAGTGAAAGAAGACAATAAGAAAAGGTTACGTACCATATGATTTCAACTATATGACATTCTGGAAAAGGCAAAACTACACAGACAATAAAAAGATCAGTGGTCACCAGGGATTAAGGGGGAGGGAGGAATAAACAGGTGGAGCACAGAGGATTTTTAGAAGGCACCGAAACTACTCTGTAAGATACTATAACGGTGAACACATGTCATTATAACTTTGTACAAACTCATAAAATGTGTAACACCAAGAGTGAATCCCAATGTGAACTATGGACTTTGGTTAATAATGATGTGTCAATGTGGGTTCATCAGTTGTAGCCAATGAACTACCCTAGTGGGGATGTTGATAATGAGGAAGACTATGCATTTGTGGGGGCAGAGGGTTATGAACCTAAAATTGCTCTAAAAAATGAAATATTTACAAAATGCTGTACCTCCTTACTGAGACGGACACAGGGTAAAAGGAAGCCAAGTCTCCTCATGGCCCTCTCCATACCTATCAAGTAAACAGGGTTAGATCCCAGCAGGCTCTTCCAAGGCTAATTAAAAGACAATGCTGAGCAAAAGGATAATACATAAGAAACATTGTAGGAGTTTGCTAGTTTGGAGCAGAGATTTGGAGATTAGATGTGAGAATGAATTCTGAGAGTGCTTTACCAAAGAAAGTACATATTTATTTATCATAATGATTACCTCTACCAGACAGACTTGTTTCAGTCTGCTGGCTGGATCTGTAAGTGTGATTTTAATTTCTTTCTCTGCTGGGTGACTAAAATCTGGTTTTAAAGTGATCCACCTAAACAATGTTGATTTATGAGAATTCCCTTAGTGTGTGGTCTATGAACCCTGAAGGGATTGTGGGTGTATGTAACACATGAGTTAAGTCAATAAATAAGAACAGACTGGTTATGAAGACAAGATCATTATTGCACATGGCTCAGTTGGTTTCAAAGGGAAAGGACCATATCTACAATCAGACTACACCCTTATTCTAAGCTATTTTAAATGAGTGACATCATGTGATGATGGGTCAGCACAAAGTAACCCCTCTCCTTAAAAAGCAACTCAAAGTACAAGAAACCTTGACTTTTATCAATTCTATCTTTATAGTATATGAAGGAGAATGTTTTGTATGAAATGTGAGTAATAGTGATACATGCTTGTGTCACGTAAAACAAGAGATAGGCATCTAATTCATGATTAACTAAATTTTTTTTTCAGAGACAAGTTCTCACTATGTTGCCCAGGCTGGTCTCAAATTCCTGGACTCAAGTAATCCTCCTCCCACCTTGGCCTCCCAAAGTGCTGGGATTACAGGTGTAAGCCACTGCACCCAGTGAAGTTAACTACATTTATGTGCAAGTATAATTAGAAAGAATTCTTGAAATGAATACACTGAGAGAGGTTTCTGCTTGATCTAGATTTGCGTCTCTTCTTATCTTGCACTTGTACTTGAAGCTGGAGCAGTTTTCTTTATAGAAATCACATACTCCTTACCCAGCTGGTCTGCCTTTCATCCAGCTCCAAGCCAATAATTACATTATTTATGCCACTTTGGATAACTATGCCAAACCCAAGAAATTCTTCTGATTAATTCTATGCAAATCTGCTTATTCTTTTATTTTTTCTTGTTTTATCCACCTATGAACCAATGTATCTACTCTTTATTATGTTAGTTTGTTCTTACTGGGTTTTGGATTATGCATTTAATTAGGCCATTTTATCTTTGTGTTGTAATTGTTTAATGTAAATGTTCAAAATATATATTCATGCCTTGCATCTTCATAGATATTGATTCTGTAAGTCATTGGTGGACCCAGGAATTTGTATTTTCAACCATTACTTCAGATGATGCAAGTGGTCTTTGGACCATGCTTTAGAAATATTTATACTTTAGGAAATTATTTATTCGATAAGAATTATTTGAGCACCTATTAAGGATTATTCGCTATTCTAGGTGCTAGGGGTACACAATTGGAAAAAATAGATATTGCCCTTCCAGATCTTACAGTGCAGTTGGAGGGAACAGACGCCAGACACATAGATAAATAACTAATGGGTCATGTAGTGATAAGTACTAGAGAGAATAATAACTCAGCACAAAGGGATATAAGGCATGCTAAAAGGATTTTTATTATATAAAGAAGTTGACGAAGTCCTCACTGATAAAGTGACATTTTGAGTAAAGACCTGAATAAAGAGAAGGAAGGAGATGTGAAATTTGGGGAAAGAGCATTCAGGTAGAAGGTACAGCATAAATCTTGAAACAGAGGTGTACTGGGTGTGACTGAGTAGAAGCAAAAATATACTGCAATAAGAGCTCAGTAATTGTGGACTGCTTGTCAGAAAAAGTAAAATTTTAGCTGTCTGTTTAGAGAGGAAAATGAGAATAGAAAGAATGGATAAAAGGTCATAGGTAATTTTATATTTCTTCTAAATCATAAGCCTTACTCACCAAGAGTAAGTTCATGTCTCCAAATCCAGTTTTCAGATGGTGCAGGTATCCCTCAAGATCACCCTTTGAATGGGAGAGCTAAATTTGCCCTGCATCTCCTCTGCCGCCCACTCAGAAGGAATTAATTCTGAGCATTTTGTATCTAAAGGGCAAAGTAGTAACTGCAAGAAATGATATGAAATACATGGCTCCTCCATTTAAAGACCTTATAAACTAATTTTAGAGACAAATATTTCATAAGATGAAATACATTCAAAAGAAAATTATCATACTTACAATTCCCAAAACATAGAATGTAGTCTTAATGTTTAAGTTCAGAGAATATATTAGTTGATTATTCAGTCATTTATTTATACATTCACTCATTAAATTAATATTACTTATGTGCCTACCAAGCATGGGGCACCATATTATGCAGTGTGGGATAGGAAAAACCAACCATACCCACCCTCTGTTCCAAGAAATCTATACACCAGGACCTTTCTACATGTGCATAAATAACTAACAACAACCAAGAATGTGCTAAGTGTCATCCTCGATGACAAGGACAGTTTGAAAATGAAATAAATTACTTGTAAGTAGGAATCCAGCCGATGGTGGGATCATGAATGTGAATGCTATTTGTTTTTTTTTTTCAGATAGTGTCTTGCTCTGTCTCCAGGCTGGAGTGCAGTGGCGCGATCTCAGCTCACTGCAACATCTGCCTCCCGGGTTCAAGTGATTCTTCTGCCTCAGCCTCCCAAGTAGCTGGGACTACAGGTGCTCGCCACCATGCTCGACTAATTTTTGTATTTTTAATAGAGACGGGGTTTCCCCATGTTGGCCAGGATGGTCTCGATCGCTTGACCTCGTGATCTGCCCGTCTCGGCCTCCCAAAGTGCTGGGATTACAGGCGTGAGCCACCGTGACCGGCCTGTGAGTGCTATTTAACTAGATCTTGAAGATACAGATTCCAGGCTAAACATGGCATATATAACATATGCATTTGTCTATACCTACTAAAATGGGGGTAAAAGAATAAAAAAGTGTAAACTCCTAAAAAGAGGATGAGAAAGGAGATCACAGCAGAAACACAATGTCAACAACTTTGTAGAAGCTGATAATTAGGTGGTTTAGTGGTAATTGTCTTAGAAGACCTGAGAAAGCAGAAAACTTACTCAGCAATGCTGGGAGTCAACAAGCAAATAGATTCATATGGGAGAAACCCATAAAGGCATAAGAATTGGAGGAACCAGATCACTGAAGGTGAGGGGTGTGGCATGGACTTGAAAGCAAAAGCATTGTCTGAGAGACTGTATTAAAAACAGCTAGAGCCCTGGATGCCCAACTTCTTCAATGATAGCAAATACCTGTTTCTCCCCTACCCTGGCACAAGGCAGCAGGTTTGCTCCTTTGTAAGGGTGAACTAAAGGCACCCTAGGCTTGGGGACACCAGCAAACCTGAGAACAGGAGTAACGGAGCCGAATTAAAATGGGGCAACTAAATTACAGTCTGCCTGCTGACTTATGAGACCCCCAACTCTTAACCCCTTTCAATAACCAGAACATTGGTAGTCATGCCTATACAGTCTAAATAAGAATTTTGAGGATTTATCATTTGAGAAACAGTTCTGGAAACACCTACATTTTCAAATGAAGATTTTAAAATGAAAATCTGCATCTGCACTTGATCACCCAACAGCAAAACCCACACATCGCCAAGCTCCACATATTAACACAGAGCTGTCAATTAGCATGGTAGCGTCTCACTCTTAAGTAGGAATGGACCAGGATAACTGAATGTCCTAGGAAAGCTTCTGATTAGAGATACAAAAATAAATACATAATTAAAAAAATAAACAGAATGAAAACAGTGTAGGGAGGAGAGGTTCTCAGATAACATATAAAAGATATTGACACCTTGAAACATGAACAGGATTACTGGAAAAGGGAGGGTACAAAGTACATGAAATAGCAGTTGAAACTTAAGAATATGGTATAAATTAAAAAATTTAAAAGGCTGAAAGGTTGTGGAAATTTTTCAGAAAGTAGAACAAAAATATATAGAAATGAATAAAAATATATTAAAAAGGATTATGTACATGACTTGTCAGAGTTTAGGGGAATTAATTAATAACACATCTGCCTTCTCTTCCTGAATTTAGAACAAAATGAAAAATGGACATTGATGCCAGAAAGACTTAGGTCAAAATGTTCACCTTGTTGTTAGTGCTGTTTGAAGATCATGGTTTTAGTTATGCAATCAAATCATCTTGCTTTTTCTGCATCCCTGAGAGGATGTACCTGTCAGTCATTGACTCAATTGGACAGCCACCCACTCAACACATGCACACACACACACACCCACACACACACACACACACAGAAAATGGATCTGTGCGTAGGTCGGGGTATGGAGAAGCAGAGCAGAATGAATCTTGAAGACAGACTGGATTCAACCAGACAGAAGGGAAGTGGCTGAGTCAAACATGCTTAGTTGCATCTGTCAGATTTACCAATCTGATAAATTCCTCTTCCTTTCTCAAAACTGAATGACAGAGTTGAGAAAAACTAGAAACATTGTTCCCAGACATTTCCTCCCTGGTGAATGTAATAAAAATGCTTGTACTCTGTGAAAAATGCACATTAGAGAATCAGTGTTCCCTCCTCCCTCATCAAAGTTCAAATCTGAATAGTGGAGTTCTACCAAGAAAGAATTTTAAAGATAGGGCAGGAAATTAGCAAAGAAATTCACAGTAAAAAAATATTCCCAAACTAAGGACAAACTAAGGACCTGGTGAGTGGCCAGGTATTCAGCACAATGAAAGGCAAAAGACTAACGTCTAGTTGTGTTATTCTTGAATTTTCAGACTAATCAGGATAAGATCCCAAAGACTTCCAGAAGGGGTGTGTGTGTGTGTGTGTGTGTGTGTGTGTAAATTAAAATTATATTGGACTAGCAGCAACACTAGATGTTAAAAGGTAAGGGGTAATGATTGAAAAATTCTGAAGAAAAATAATTTCCAACCTAGAATTCTATCTGCAAAAAATCAATCAAATTAGAATAAGACATTTTTGGGTAGTTTTTATTTTCCAGAAACAGCTTCTTAGGAAGCTATTAGAGACACCAGCTTGGGGACACCAGCTGGGTAGCTGGACAAATTGACATAGAGGTGTCTGGAAGAAGCGGGAATCCAGCCTATGATAAATAAATCCTCAAGCTAATCCTCATATGCCAAGCTTAGAATTTATCACTTTTTAGGAGGTCTTTCTTGATTAAATTGTCTATTTCAATCAATCTTCACATATAGGCTCCTTTCTGTTTATTGCATTTCTAATCTCCCAGCATCTCAGATTAAAGCTTCGATTACTTTTAACTCCTTCATCTGTCTTATACCCATGACTTGTCCTTGATTTCCACTGCCACAATCCTCTCTCCAGTAGCCTTCCAGATGACCCCTCAACTTCCAACTCTTCTAATCTTTAACCCCTCATTATCCTGCCATAATATTTTTATTATGAATCTCTTTGCTAATTTTCTGCCCTATTTTTTTTATTCTTTCTTGCTGGAACTCCACTATTCAGAGGTTATGTGTCACCAAAATAAGGGATTAAGTAGAAAAAGAGGAAAACATACAAGAAACAGAAAACCCACACAAGAGGATGACAGGAACTTCCAAGGCAATGGTGAAGGCAGGGCTCTGGATACTGCTAGAAAACAACCAGGATTGAACAGGCACCAGGAGCCATGTCTCCAAGAAAAGAGTAAGAATGAAATTGGTAACATCTGTCACACTTAGTATGACACAACTCACTGAGAGGAGATTTTTAGGTAACTATAGGTCATTACATGATTCCACCATGGCTAATGTTTATGCATTTTGAAAGTGTAGGGCCGGGCACAGTGGCTCACACCTATAATCCGAGCATTTTGGGAGGCCAAGGCAGAAAGATCACTTGAGTCCAGGAGTTTGAGACCTGCCTGGGCAACATAGCAAGACGTCATCTCTACAAGAAATACAAAAAATTAGCCGGCTGAGGTGGCATCTGCCTATAGTCCCAGCTACTCTGGCGACTGAAGTGGGAGGATCACCTGAACCTGGGAGGTCGAGGCTGCAGTGAGCTGTGATCACACCACTGCATACCAGCCTAGGCAACAGAATGAGACACTATCTCAACAACAACAACAAAAAAAGTGTAAACCTTGAATGCTGATCTAGCCCAAAGTGTGATATGTGAGTATCTGAAAGGTGAGGCATACGTTTTTCTCTTTTGCTCACTTGCTTGCTCTCTGTTATTAAGGGTTAAAAAGATCTTATTTTCTTATGATAAGTAAGAAATAATATTTAAAACTGAAAAATTCAAATAGAGTAAAGCTCATTATTAGAAAAATGGGCAAATAGGTCAGGCATGGTGGCTCATGCCTGTAATCCCAGCATTTTGGGAGGCCAAGGTGCCGGATCACTTGAGGTCAGGAGTTTAAGACCAGCCTGGGCAACATGGCAAAACTCCATCTCTACAAAAAATACAAAAAAAAAAAAAAAAAAAGAAAGAAAAATAGCTGGGCGTGGTGGCGGGCGCCTGTAATCTCACCTACTTGGGAGGCTGAGGTGGGAGAATCGCTTTAACTGGGGAGGTGGAGTTTGCAGTGAGTTGAGATGGTGCCACTGTATTCCAGCCTGGGCGACAGAGTGAGACTCTGTCTTTAAAAAAAAAAAGAAAAGAAAAGAAAATAAAAGAAAAAGAAAAAAAAACAATGAAAAATGGGCAAATAGAAGAAAACATTGAAATATTAAGAGCCTGTTGCTTCAGGAGAACAGGAATTGAGGGTGAGGAGTGATGAGGAAGACAACTGCTATTTCACATTGCAAACTCATAGTATTATTTTACTTTTTAACCTTGAACATATATGTATTTAATAAAAATAAAAAATAAAGAATAGAAGGTATCTTAATATTTATAAATGATTATGAAGAACATTAGAGGGATATGCATTGTTTGAAAGGTGAAAAACACACATCATTGATTATTGCAGCACAGCATGCATAAAGTGGTGTAATGGCAAATCAGGCTGTAAAAGTAACTTGGATTCAGGATATGGAAATCTTAAATACTAGGTTAAGAAGTCTGATCAAACAAAGATTTTTTAGGAGGGATGTGCAATGATTGGAGCAGCACTTTAGAACATTTCTTATGGCGACAAAATGGGGAATTAAAAAAGAGCCTGGTACTTGCAGATGTTTTCTTGTGGAAAAATAAATAAATAAATAAATAAAAGCCACGAAGTTAGGAGGTCATCTGGAAGTCTGGAAGGCTACTGGAGAGAGGCTGAGAGGATCAGCTGTTTAGTGACAGTGGAAATCAAGAACAAGGCATGGGTATAAAAGGAAAGAGTTAAAAGAAACTGAAGCTTTCATCTGAGATGCTGGGAGATTAGAAATGCAATTAACAGAAAGGGGCCCCTATGTGTGGACTGATTGAAATAGATGATTTAATTAAGAAAGACCTCCTAAACATGGTAAATTTTAAGCTTGGCTTGTAAGGATTAGCTTGAGGATTTATTCATCCTAGGCTGGATTCCTGCCTCTTCCAGTCACCTCTAGGTCAATTTGACCAGCCACTCATCTGCAAAATGTCATACAACTACCTGAATTCATGGCTAGGAATGGTTTGTTGCCGCTGGTGAATGACCAAGGGCAGGGACCAGGACAAATATAGAGGCAGAGGCAGTGGCAAAGGAATATGCCTCCACAAACAGAGAAGACAATAAGCTACATTTGACAGAAAGTAAATGCATTAACATATAGAATGGCAGAGGAGAAAAGCAAAACAAGATCCTTCCCGCTCAAAAATATTCTCCATATTTTGCTTATTATTCATTGTTTATATTGTTTGATTCTCAGATTGACCTTCAGAGTGTTGGCTTTTAGAGAATTGATGTTTAGTGACTTGACTTGCTCTCTCATGCCTTCCTTTTTCCTAGACAACTGGATCTTTTGGACATAACTTGGGATTGAGATGAACAAGTGACAGTCATTGATTTGGCATAATGCTTCACTGAGGCATCTTACCTTTGCTGATTTTATCCAGCATTCAGAACCTTCATTTTCTCTCTCAAAATAAAATAAAATAAAATAAAACTAAATCCAAGGCTATTTAGGCTGGTGTGAGTAGAAAGAGACATCACTAGAGCATACCTCTTCCATTTGAGCTTGTATTAAGCAGGCATTGTCGGCTATTGAAGTCTAGATAGGAGAAAAGTCTCAGGAGAAAGTCCTGAGAGATGGGAGCAGGTACGATCAGGCCAAGGCTTAAATAAGAGCCACAAAAGGTCTTAATACAGCAGGTAGGGTGAATGTAATTCTGAAGGCAGAGAACATTCTCTCACTCCAAGTCTGATTAAAGGCAGTTAAAACCAGTTCTTACCCAGTATATAAGTGATCCCTTAGAGACTGTCACTGTGAGTGAATCTCCCTGGAGAAACATTTAACCCAGTCTTGAATTTACCATTTTGGTTATGATTATAGATTGCATCAGTTTTTCCACTCATTAATCTCATCTTAATAGCAAGGGAAGGCAGATTTGCCCCATCAATTTTCAGAAAGCAAATAAATATTGTGTTAATAATAATAATGATAATAATAGCTTAATATATCCTAGACACTTTACATGAATTATGTAATGCTTTCTAACAACTCCTTGAGGTGGACACTATTAATTGTCTTTTTCATTGAGGTATTTGAAACTTAAAGAAGGTAAGTAATTTGTCCAAGGTTTGCAAGGCTCACACATTTCCAGAATTCAAACACTGAGTGCTTTGCACACGTTATGAGTAAACAATTGTTTTTCTTATGTCTATAGTATTTGGGGTATGTGCTTATTTGGTCTTTTCAATCATATTAAAAGCTTCTTGAGGACAAGATTCATGTTCTTTTGGTCAGGTGCAATGGCTCATGCCTGTAATCCCAGAACTTTGGGAAGCCACAGCAGGTGGATCACTTGAGATCAGGAATTTGAGACCAGCCTGGCCAACATAGTGAACTCCATCTCTACTAAAAATACAAAAAAATTAACTGGGCGTGGTGTTATTTGCCTGTAGTCCCAGATACTTGGGAGGCTGAGGCAGAAGAATAGCTTGAACCCGGGAGGCGGAGGTTGCAGTGAGCTGAGATCACGTCACTCCAGCCTGGGCGACAGAACAAGACTGTCTCCAAAAAAAAAAAAAAAAAGATTCATGATCTTTTTCAACTGGCTTATGCACAATGCCAATCAAATTAAGGTCCTACTTTTATTTCTTAAGCAGGCTGGTTTAATTTTAACTCATTCCATCACATGAAGAATATCTCAAAGTGAATCACTCCTTTGGACAAGGTAGAACAGAAGCAATTTAAACAGTGCTTTAAAGGCCAAATCCTTGTTTAATTGACAATACTTTTACCTCAACATTTTTCATCCACAAAGCTCCCTTTCTAAGTTGCCCTTCAGAAGCTGTTAGATGCTGTCACTAAGTTGTTCAGAGCTATGTCACACAGTTCCCCCTTCTTCCTACTTGTAAATCTAAACAATCAAGATGAACGGAGTATGAATCCAAAACAGAAGCAGATATACACAGCCCAAGAGATAGACAAGATGCATATACAGCTTGTTCGTATGGCCTGTTCATTCTTCATGGAGAACCTCCTACATAGATATCTAACATTTTATTTTCTATTTAACTTCTCCAATACTAAAATGGCTAAATAGCTGTTTATTAGGCTGCTAACTTCTCCTCACAGAAAATGGAAAGTTAACTCAGGTTTCCTAACCCACAGGGCTAAGGTTTGAGAGCAGTCTAAATAGCTTAATTTTGTTTAGCTGTGTGGCCAGAAACTTCACTCTTGACTCTAGTAAAATAGCAGGCTTTATACGGGTGGCTCACACTTGTAATCCCAGCACTTTGGGAAGTCGAGGTGGGAGTTTGAGACCAACGTTGACAACATAGCAAAACCCCATCTCTAAACGCAATTAAAAAATACACTAAACATAAAAGTCACAAATTCTGACTGGTGAAATACAGAGCGCTACGGAAGCAGTCATATTTCAGAAAAAAACCTATAACATGCCAGGGCTTTCCATGTTCTGGGAATACAATAAACAAAAACAAGTTCCTATCCTCAGAGGTATTTTGCTGAGAGTTGTTTTCCTGGGAAAAATATCATTTATCTAATACTAAAGAATATGAACGAAGTACATAACAGCAGAGCATATGTGAAGGTATGAGGTGGAATGCTATTGGGTCTGGAATTTTAAGAGTTCTTGGTCTCACTGACTTCAAGAAGGAAGCCACAGACCCTCATGGTGAGTGTTACACCTCCTAAGGTGGCACATCTGGAGTTTGTTCCTTCTTATACTCAAATGTGTCCAGAGTTTCTTTCTGGTGGGTTTGTGGTCTTGCTGGTTCAGGAGTGAAGCTGCAGACCTTCGCGGTGAGTGTTACAGCTCTTAAGGCTGCGCATTGGGCGTTGTTTGTTCCTCCTGGTGGGCTCGTGGTCTCACTGGCTTCAGGAGTGAACTTGCAGACCTTCCCCGTGAGTGTTACAGCTCATAAAGATAGTGTGGACTCAAGAAACGAACAACAAGATTTATCGCAAAAAACAAAACAACAAGACTCCCACGTAGCGGAAGGAGACCTGAGCGGGTTGCCACTGTTGGCTCGGGCAGCCTGCTTTTATTGTCTTATCTGGCTCCACCCACATCCTGCTGATTGGTAGAGCCGAGTGGTCTGTTTTGACAGGGCGCTGATTGGTGCGTTTACAATCCCTGAGCTAGACACAAAGGTTCTCCATGTCCCCACTTAGATTAGCTAGATACAGAGTATTCACACAAAGGTTCTCCAAGGCCCCACCAGAGTAGCTAGATACAGAGTGTCGATTGGTGCATTCACAAACCCTGAGCTAGACACAGGGTGCTGATTGGTGTGTTTACAAACCTTGAGCTAGATACAGAGTGCCGATTGGTGTATTTACAATCCCTGAGCTAGACATAAAGGTTCTCCACGTCCCCACCAGACTCAGGAGTCCAACTGGCTTCACCCAGTGGATCCCGCACTGGGGCTGCAGGTGGAGTTGCCTGCCAGTCCCGCGCCATGCGCTCGCACTTCTCAGCCTTTGGGTGATGGATGGGACTGGGCGCCGTGGAGCAGCGGGCGGCGCTCGTCGGGGAGGCTCGGGCTGCACAGGAGCCCACGGAGGCGGGGGAAGGCTCAGGCATGGCGGGCTGCAGTCCCGAGGCCTGTCCCGCGGGAAGGCAGCTAAGGCCCGGCGAGAAATCGAGCGCAGCACCGGTGAGCTGGCACTGCTGGGGAACCCAGTACACCCTCCGCAGCCGCTGGCCCGGGTGCTAAGTCCCTCATTGTCCGGGGCCGGCAGGGCCGGCCGGTTGCTCCGAGTGCGGGGCCCGCCAAGCCCACGTCTCCCCGGAACTCCAGCTGGCCCGCAAGCGCCGCACGCAGCCCCGGTTCCCGCTCACGCCTCTCCCTCCACACCTCCCTGCAAGCTGAGGGAGTGGGCTCCGGCCTTGGCCAGCCCCGAAAGGGGCTCCCACAGTGCAGCGGTGGGCTGAAGGGCTCGTCAAGTGCCGCCAAAGTGGGAGCCCAGGCAGAGGCGGCGCCGAGAGCGAGCGAGGGCTCTGAGGACTGCCAGCACGCTGTCACCTCTCACTATATCTGGTTGAAGTGACTGCTATGAGCTTGTGAGCTCGTTTCAGAGACTTGACTGGATCAAGCAGGAGAGGAGCTCAGAATAAGTGATTTGAAGAGGAAACACTATAGACACTAACTCTGGAAGACAAGCAGATTTCTTCTGTGATACTTGGAATGAGTGATATGATTGTCCACATTAAAACAGTAGAAAATAATCCTGCCTTTTAAAAACATACACTTAAATATGTTGATTAGGAAGAAAGAGTACTTTGGTTAAGTATAAAATAATAGAAGATTTGTGGCAAGATGATTGCTGTAATATACCTGCTGAGTCTTTCTGAATCACTCCATTAAAAAAGCATAACAATTAGGATAGAAAACCAACCAAACAAAATCCCATCAGCAATATCCTCAACAAAATGAGGTAATTAAGTATTCTCACAAACTGTCAAATATGACTGAGTAGGAACTACTCACCAACAAATGCAAGGTACAACAACTGTAAGAGAGGAAATGAGGAGAAAGGAAATGAACGTCTGATGGCCCTCAGAACTGGAAAATCCAGAAATTCGCCTGCTAAAAGGAGGAGAGGGCTCCACCTAAGAATAGAAGCTCAGCAAATTGATCTAATTACAGTGGCTAAAAGGGAGAGTCTTTACAGGTTCTGATTCATAAGTAAGTGCAAGGAGCCCAGGTTGTCTGGGCCCTGTGAACCCTTGAAATGAAGGAATTTTCTGTAGTAAAAACCCACACCATGGCAGGGCACAGGGGCTCAGGCCTGTAATCCCAGCACTTTGGGAGGCTGAGGTGGGCAGATCACTTGAGGTAGGAGTTCTAGACCAGCCTGGCCAACATGGTGAAACCCCGTCTCTACTAAAATACAAAAATTAGCCAGGAGTGGTGGTGCGCACCTGTAATCCCAGCTACTCGGGAGGCTGAGGCAGGAGAAGCACTTGAACCAGAGAGGCAGAGGCTGCAGTGAGCCGAGACAGCGCCACTGCACTCCAGCCTGGGCAACAGAGAGAGACTCCATCTCAAAAAACAAAACAATCCCACATTCACATTAAACAACTAAGAACAAAGAAAAAAGACGTAAAAGTAGACCTAAATAAATGGACATTCATTCTATGCTCTTGGATTGGTCATCATAAATATATCACTTTTCTTTATAAATTAATATAAATTATATTAAATTTATAAATTTAATCCAGTATCAGTAAATAAAAAGTACTACTCATTTAGTCACAGGAACCTAAACAGAGCCCAACTATCTTCTAGAGTTGGGGAGTTAGCATTCAAGGAAGCCAAAGTAACTAAAATTCACGGGCAAAGTACCAAGGAGAAGAGGGCTACAGAGAGGGAGAGTTCTGAAGATCTGCAGAGGTTCTTTGGCAATTAGAAAGACTTTTAGTTGAGTTCTATGTCCCTTGACATACCCTCATCATCGTGTTGTTTCTGAGCACTTTCATACTTTCTGGCACTACAAGATTCTCCAGGCTCATCTTGTATATTTCCTACCCAGTCCTACAATTCACCACTTCTCCAAGGAGCCCTGGTTCCTTTTATTGGAAAACAGTTTTAGAAACCAAGATCTGGGCAATAGATGTCCTTATTGGTAATGGGATATTGTTGCCTTTAGGCCCTCTCAGCTGACAGACCAACAAAATACATGCATGTGTGTTTCATGTGTACATACATAATATGTATACATATTATATACACACAAATATCTATAAATATATATCCATTTGTATCTATATTAAGCTAAATTTGAGTTCATACTGATATCTCCAATTTTAATCCATTACCACCTGTATCATTCTAGCCTTCTTCCCTTGCTTGTCTATAAAATTTCCCTCCCAAAGTGAGAAGCCTGGCTCTCACCATCTAGCATTCATTTATTTAGTTGTTCAATTCCAGTACCCATGTAGAGGGGTTTCAGAATTTTTAATCCATACTCCCCTGGTAAACGACTTAATCAACTAGAGTACAATGTTATATACAGTTCTTTTTGACTTTAGTCTTGCAGACTCTACTATATTTCCAAATTTACTTAGTTCAGCAGCTTTCTACTCTACTTCCTTCAATGAAGTTGTTTTATAGATTTGTAACACAGGTATATTCTTTTGTCACAGTATGAGTTCCATCCTGGGATGCTGATAGGAGAATCTTTTTAATAGGTGATGTATAAGAAAACCGTTTGCTCCCAAGGCCTATTATTTTGGTTACTTTTTCAGCAAGTTCCAGCATATGTCTAGTTTTGGGGCAAATAATTTGTGATTATCAGTAAGTTTTGAAGTATTGAGACTATCGGATGCAACTTTTAAAATATGTTAGGTCAACTATTCCATAGTATGTAAAATCATTACAACTGTATAAGAAAACAGCTGTGGCCGGGCGCAGTGTCTCATGCCTGTAATCCCAGCACTTTGGGAGGCCGAGGCGGGTGGATCACGAGGTCAGGAGATTGAGACCATCCTGGCTAACACGGTGAGACCCCATCTCTACTAAAAAAACAAAAAAAAGTACAAAAAAAAGAAAACAGTTGCAAAATCGTGTGGATTGTCTACTGCGTTTTTGAATAAATAAAAATAATGAAATTGGCCACTATGATCATATGCAGCCAGAATCTATTACATTATGATGTGCTACAATTATTTTCTGAATACACAGTGTTCCACTGTCAATGACAGTTGTTTGATGTTTTCTTCATTGTTTTTCTATTCTACAAATAATTTATTATCCAGATGTAGTCTTTTGATAGCAGTTTGAGATTCAGAAATTTCACAAAAAGCAAATAAAACAGAAGCATAATTCTATCTGTTAAACAGATATGTTGCTAAACTTAGAAATGCTTTGAGGTGTTTCTACATATCCAAATACTTGGTGGCCATAATCAAAAGCACACTGAATGCACCAAAATGCATATTTATGAACCAAATTTTTTGTGCATAGCATAATTTAATTCAGAGAAGAGCTTTTAGGCATGTAATTTAATCATGATGATCCTGATTTTTATTATTGTGTAAATTTCTATATATGTTTGCTACCTCAATTAGAATATATGAGGCTAACATTTTTATGCACTCTCTTAAATATTTTATTTAACTGTTGATCTATTTCCCTAATTATTTTAAAATTCTGTATTGTTTCTGTACATATATGAATAGAAAAAAAGATAGTTTTTTTTTACTTGCTAGTAGAAGTTAGTAAATTGTTAAGCTTTGGGATTTTTATCATAAAATGAAATAAGAGCTTAAAGTGTGGTTTAAAGAACGAAACACTTGGCCCCAAAAAAGTTTGTTCAAATAATAATAATAATGCTGACCCTTATTGAAAGCATTTTTGTTAAAAAGTAATTTATTTGTATTTATTCTTGAAAACATTCTTATAACAATTCCATTATCATTAAACAAACAAGGGAAGTGAAGCCCAGTGAAGTTATGTAGTTTGCCAAAACTACATAGTTATTAAAGAGGACAGCTGAGGGATGTACGCAGGCATTCTGATATGACTTCGAATGGATCCCTGTCCAGGGTCGGGATCTAATGAGGGGCAGCATGTAATAGGGTGCAGCAAAGGTAAAGTTGAAAGTCAATTCACTGTTTAAGGATGTTACCTAGGGTTGTTAGAATAACATGGCGATCAGAGTCATCCTAAGATCACTTCTCATAAAAGATAAAGGAAAACAAAAAATAGATCTGCTAGTGCCTTATAAGAAGGGCATAGAAATCTTGGTTTCTACTCATACACTCCTCGTCTTCTTTGTTTGCTTAATTTTTCTCCATAGAATTCACCACAATCTGACATAATATTTATTTTATGTTTTTATCTATTCATTATCTTCCATACTCTTCTAGATAATAAGGTCCATGAGGGTAAGATTTTTTTGGGGTGGAGGGATGGTGAGGGGTTGGCATTTATTAAACTGCCTTACCCCTGGCACTTGGAGCAGTACCTTGCACATAGAAGGCAGTCAATACGTCTGTGTTGAATTAACGGTCAAAATAATGAGATATGCAAACACATGCAAATGAAACTAATCAAGTAAGGTTGGCCCTTATTAGCTTTGGATGTTTGAAAATTTTCTTTGATTTGCTCTATTCCTTCAGCACTTTTGTTCCAGCCCCAGAGATGCACCAGCCTCTGGCAAATATAGCTTCTAACTGGCTGTCACTATAAAGTGTTCCTAGTTCATTTTATAAGAGGGTTAACAGGGTTTTAAAAATTATTTTCCTCCTGTTCTCTTCAAAAGGCAAGTAGGACCCTGCAAATATGCTAATTTCCCATCTGTTTTATGGTAGACTTATTAATTTATGGTAGTATATTAATTTATATGAACTCTTCTGAAATCAGCCAAAGAGCTGGACATTATTGGATTCTAGGGATGACATAATCTACATCTACATAGGTTTTGAATCTGTGCATACACAGAGAAGCTCAATAAATATTTGTTGGAAAAAAAGATCTGCTGCCAGAATTTAATTCAAAACTTCACAAAGTTCTCATTTTCTTCTTTGAGCCTGGGAATTTTGCCTTCACATAACCTATAATTGATTGCATTAGAACTTGCAGTATAGTGAATACAGTGGAAGATTTAGGTACAGTCGAGGTTAATGAAGAACTGGCTTTCTAGTGAAAATGAAAACCTTAAGGCTCTACTGGGATTCGAACCCAGGATCTCCTGTTTACAAGACAGGCGCTTTAACCAACTAAGCCATAGAGCCTACATGTGCAGTGAAGTTGCCTATTGAATCTATTCCTGCTTTTAAGTAAAAGATTCTTGGCATAGCGTCTCTACAGTCTGCAACAGTTTGCCGTGAGAGAAGGGGCAAACTCCAAAAATACGTTTTGCTTACTTAGATGCACTGCGGAACTAATACAAACGAAAAAATTTTCGGGCAGCTTAAATGTTAGGACCATTAATGCTTCAGCTAGTCCAAGGATAACCACAAGTAAAAGTCAAGGCTACTTAGTTTGTCCAAATGTGATAAAGTTTCCTAAAATTAAATTTTGCAGGTGCTACTCTTTATCATTTTAATGATTCGTCGTTCCAATGTCCTAAGGGAAAACCTCTAACAAAAGAAGTCCACAAGAGACTCGTAGGCTACCGAGTTGGGCGTATGGTGTTCTGACAGTCATTTGCACTCAGGAGGCAGCTATTTGGAGGACCGGAGCGTCAACCCCTTCCCAATGTGAGCATCGCTCTAGAGATTGTCTTCTGGGCTTATTTTTCTTTAGACTTGATCTCAGCTCGCTCTCAGGACCAGTCAGGTTCTATTTTATAATATCTTACTTCTCTGGGCTGCACTTGGCAAGACAGGGGAATCGGTTTGAATGTGTCTCTGGGTTAGGAAAGGTTAATACATTTAGAGCTGATTAAAGGAAACTTCCGAACGTTCTCTGGAATCTCAGTCTTGTTTCCAAAATGAATTATTTGAGCAATTAATTCTGAAGTTTCTACCAAGATTTATAATTACAGAGCTCAGGGCGAAAATCAGAAATCACCTTCATTTCTTTGCCACAAAAGCAATAAGGAAAATTATCCTGGGATTTAGATGGGAATTCCTTTGGATTGCTAGATAAATTTTAGGGAGAACTGATAAACTTTTAATCCATACATATGGCATAACATTCAATTTATTCTTTTATTAAATTTATTCCTATAAATTTGATGTTTATGTTATTATAAATTATACTTTAAAATTTTTTATTTCTACTTTTTTTTTTTTTTTTGGAGACAAGATCTTACTCTGTCACCCAGGCTGGAGTGCAATAGCGCGATCTCGGCTCACTGCAACCTCTGCCTCCCAGGTTCAAGAGATTCTTGTGCCTCAGCCTCCCGAGTAGCTGGGATTACAGGCACATGCCACCACGCCCAGCTAATTTTTTTGTATTTTTTGGTAGAGACGGAGTTTCACCATGCTGCTCAGGCCGGTCTCGAACTCCTGACCTCAAGTGATCCGCCCGCCTTGGCCTCCCATAGTGCTAGGATTACAGGCGTGAGCCACCGCGCCCAGCCCTTGTTTACAGCTGGTGTTTAAAAGTACAATTCATTTTTATATTTACCCTGCATAAAGACACCTTATTAAATTTAGTTATTAATTCTAATAGTTTGTAGATTTTGAATCTTCCACAGACACAATTTTAATAAAGGATTACATTTATTAGATTTTAAAAATAAAGGAAATCACCTTCATTTCTATCTATGCCTGAAATGAGGTTGACAGCAGACACAATAAAATCTGTTGTCACCAGTCAGTGCAACTAATTTAATAATAAAAGCTTAAATTAGTTACAACTTTGTATTACTTTTAGAAAATTAAAAATAACAAATATTTGTATTTATAAAAACATTAACAGGGATTGCTAATATGTTTGAGGCTGACTCTGCTGCTTCATAAATAGAATAGTAAACAACAGACATACTGAATTCCCACACTTGAATCTTCTGTCAATGTATGCCTTGAGTAAATGACATGCTCAGGTATTATGAGAGAGTGAACAAACCATTGTTAGGCCACCAAAATAGTTTTTTTTCTCCAATGGAAACACTCAAAAGTTGAGAGAAAAAAATGGTTAAGACTGTAATCATTGGCAACTTAAATCAATAGAAATAGGCAGATTATTCAAAACATGTGTTGGGCTAATTGGACAGCCACTTAGGAAAAGAAAAGCTTAAAGCTATGAGACTAAAATAAATTCCAAATACAAGCAAATTGTAAAAGTAAAGAATGAAACAAACCCACAGTTATAATTACTAGAAATTCCAAGACAGAAATTTTATATAACTTTGGTACAGAAAACTAATTTTTTACACAAAATTCAGAGACAATGAGAGTTTAACATAATTCACTGCATTAAACAACATTTAAAAAATTCCACTGGGATGTACCCTCATCCCCTCAAAAAAGGCATAAACACAGTGACAAAACATCAAGTAAAACTGGGGGGGAAAATATTTGTAACTTATGTTTTAAAGAGTTAATTTTATTCATTTCTATCTGTTGCCTGAGATAAGGTTGATAGCAGACACAATAAAATCTGTTGTTCCCAGTTGGTGCAACCAATTTAATAATAAAAGCAATATAGAAGTAAGAAGTAAAAGAAGTTTAAAAAATGAAACTATAGAAATACAGTGAGATAATGTCTTTAACATATCAGATTGGCAAACAACAGCAAAACAAAAACAGTTGTTTGTGGTAGTGTGCCGAATAGCACTTAAAGATGTTGAATTAGTTTTCTGTAGCTTCTGTAACAAATTACAGTACCACAAACTTGATGGCCTAAAATAAGTGACTTCTTTTCTCACAGTTCTGGAGGCCAAAAGTCCAAACTCAGTATCACTGGTTTGAAATCAAGGTGTTGGCAGGGCTATGCTCCCTCCGGAGGCTCTAGGGAAGAATATGTCCTTACCTTTTCCCAGCCTCTGGTGGCTGCTCGCATTCCTTGGCTGGTGGTGGCATTGCTTCTATCTGTGTCCGTGTGGTCACATTGTCTTCTTCTCTTCTGTAACTGTATAATCTCCCTGTGCCTCTCCCTATTAAAGGCACTTGTGATGGTATTTGAGCTCCACTTGGATAATCCAGGATAATTTCTTCATCTTTAACTTTTTCTCCGAAGACCCCCCTTTTGGGGGTCTGTGCAAAGTAAGGTAATATTCAGAGATTCCAAGAATTAGAGCATGGATATCTTTTGGGGCATTTTTCATTCAATCACAGGCACTGACATTCTTATTCCTCCATCTACAATCTATGTGATTTAGACGACTGTGATTATGTGATTAATCGGTCACAACTCCAATTTTCTTTTCTGTAAAATGTGGATTATATGAACATCCTTATATATTATTGAGATTATTCTATGACTCAATATATGTAAAGAATTTATGACAATATCTGGGGCTTAGTTGGAGCTAAATGACTGATAATTGTCATTATTACAATGTTCTGTGCTGGTCAGGGTGTTGAGGAAACAGGTCCTTTCTGGGCCCTATAGGAGAATAAATTAGTAATATTTAGGGAAGGAGAATAAGGCAAGAGCCACCAAAATCATCATCACATACATATGATTTGATTTAGCGATTGCATTCTTAGAACGTTTTCTAATCCCAGGCACTTATTAAATGCGGATATACAAGTTAATTTATTGCAACATTATTTATATTGTTAAAAATGGCTGCTGAAATAAATTCAGATACATTTATAAAACTAAATGCTATACAGACAAAACAAAGAGGGAAGAGGCTCTTTCTTTGTTGACATGGAAATTGCTGCAACATACATAAAGTGAAAAAGGCAAGGTGTAATAGAATGGGTTTGGAAAGCGTATTTATAGTGAAAAAACTATATGCAAAGAATATGCCTTTAATAGAACTCCAGATTTTAATATGGTTGGTTGCCTGAGGGTCCAGAATTGGGTGTCCGGCAGGATGGGGTGGGGGCACAAATAGACTGTCATTATGTATGTATTCTTGAATTTTTGTAATTTTGAATCATGTGAGTTGTACTTTTTGTATGAGCATTTTTAAAACATAAAAAGGAACATACTCCCTTGGAGAGGAGGTCTTAGAAATAACTGATGGCAGTCTGATTTTGCAGCTGCTATTTGGTTTTCAACCTACCATTATCAGGATTAAATACCTACCTTGTGCTCGCAGTGGAAAATGTTTTTCTTGCAAATCTCAATGAGCTTTAGATATCCCTACTAATTTTGCAATAAACCTGGCAGCGGTGGGATTCAAACCCACGCCCCCGAAGAGACTGGAGCCTTAATCCAGCGTCTTAGACCACTCGGCCACGCTACCACGCTAGTCCAGTATTAGGACTCATCTTAATGATTTAAAAGACACAAGATTATTCTGCGTCTTACTATTTTTTTTTCTCAGAGCATTTCTACACAAATGATTCCGTAGCGGTCTCAACTACCGATAAAATCTACAAATAGGTTCCTAGTCCCAGTCCTTTGTCCTGCAGCTGAGATTTGCATTTGTCTCCCATGCTGTTTCTAATACCTGAGAGTAAAGGGACAGGAAGCCAGTACCTAATATCCAACAAATCCCAAGAGAATCGGTTCTTAAGAACATGATTAGAAATCCCACGCCTAGGCCGACGCAGCACGGGGACTCTGAGGACTCTGAGATCGAGTCTCCAGTTTGTCAGCTGCGTTTGGGGGTCTGGAGCAAGATGTTATTTTTGATGTTTGCAACCAGAAAACAGAGGAGCTGTCATCCCCATCCACCCGGAACTCGCGTCTTGGTTTATGTGTCTGTGCGTGATTCCCTCTTGTGAAAGAGGTGGAAAGAACTATGCAAACAGACCTGCTTTTTTAGCTGAATGTGTTCATGACCTTAGTTTTTAAAGTTCAGGGCGAGGACCAGTTTGTATTTGGTGCGGAGTATCACATCCTCTCCGGACCCTAACAGGATGTGTCGCCTGCTCGCTCCAACCCCACAAACGCCGTCTGGGCTGGCACTCCGACTTCTTCTTCCCTGTTGCAGCCCCAACGCCGCTCATCTTCTTATTTAGTCCCACCTGTCCCATTAGATGCTGACCCTTTTTAAAAGAGCCACAGTTGGAATATTTCAAATGCCAGCAGCTCCACTTAATAGCTGCAGGGTCATTGGCAAGTCACTTAAGCTCACTGGATCTCACTTTCCTCATATGTAAAACCGAGACAATAAAACTTGCCTTTAAAAATTACAGCAGAATGTTTTGATACAATGGATTTTGGGGACTCGGGGGAAAGGGTGGGGGAGGGTTGAGGGATAAAAGACTACACATTGGGTACAATGTACACTGCTCTGGTGACAGATGCACCAAAGTCTCAGCAATCACCGCTAAATAACCTACTCATGTAACCAAACACCACCGTTCCCCCCAAAACCTATTGAAATAAAAGAGTTAAAAAACTATAGCAGAATTTTTATTTTTAGCAAATGCATGTAAATTGCTTAAAACAGCACCTGGCTCATAATAAGCACTCAGTGAAGTTTACTATCAGTATTGGTATCATTTATTAGCATTTACTGAACTTTTTATATCAAGTGCTCAGTCTCATGAATGACAGTGAGATCTCTCATTTTACAGTTAGTGAAGTTTTTTAAAGTAACATATTTACAAGACAGTCGAGTGAATTATTTTTCTTAAGTTAAGATGGCACGTGGAAAATTTACACCTCAACCCTACAATTTCAAACGTCGGACAATTTTCACTTTGTCAGATCGCTTTACCTTGTATATTGTTTCTCCCTTCTCAATCATTTCACCTCATCTCTTCCCCCTTGTCTCACCTCTATTTACACTATTCTGGGGCTCTAGACCTGTAAAGATCCTTCAGGTGACATGGTTAGGGACACTGATTTTAAGGAGAACTTTGGCAGGCAAGGAGGTGTAGCTTCAGACCCAGGTAAACCTGCAGCTATGATCTCATTAGAACTTATCTGCTTTCTGCGTCTGTCATTGCTTCCGGCTGCGAATCTTCAGGCTGTGGACCCAGCTCAGTCCCCTTGCGTCTATATGTCACCTTCTAGTTACATAATTTACACATGTTGTGCTGGGGGGTAGTGTGCAATCTAATGAAGTCTAACATCTCCCAGGAGAAAGTGGTGTTTAAGGCACAGTGGGAAAATCCACTGTGTTGTACATTTATTTAAACAAGGGGAAAGTCCCGAGATGATTTTTGCAAGTCATACGACATACTTGGAAGGACAGTAAACACATGACATAGCATACATTCTCATTTTACACTCTATTTTTAAAATCTAACTTTTCAGAAAGTTCACATAAACTTGAAAGAGTATAATTAACGGATTTGCTAAGACAGCAGTGCCTTCTTAGCCCTGGAGGCAGCACATCAGTCTCATAATCTGAAGGTCCCGAGCTTGAACCTCAGAGAGGGCATGGTGATTTTGTACTTTCCATATACTTTTGCTTGAGAAAGAAATATCCCACCCATTAAACTTTTCGGTATGAAATCTGGATTCCTGGATCACTGACAGACAACACAACTGAAAAATGAGGCTGCAGTCCCTCAAGAACCCTACCAACTTCCTTTGTGAGCTAGATGCTATTTTAATGCCCTGACTGCAGTATTATACAATACCACAATCTACACCAAATACCATAAATCTGTATCAGTTGCCTATGGCAGCTTTTGAAAATTACCATGAATTTTGTGGCTTAAAATAATACAAATGCATTATCTTAAATTTTTGGGGGACAGAAGTTTAAAATGGGTCTTAGGGAGCTATAATCAACATGTGGCAGAGCTGATTTCCTTCTGGAGGTTCTAGGGAAGAATCCATTCCTTGCCACATTGCTCGGCTCATGGCTGCATCATTGATCTCTGCTTCTGCTGTTACATCTTCTCCAACTCTGGGGAGTCTCATGCAGCCTGGTTGATGCATCTGTTTGGTGACGGGGAGTGCAAACTCAATGTCACCCGACTGGCGCAGTTTGAGAAAACTGACCATAACTCTGGTGTTGCAGCTCTAGTTTTGCCTTCACCCAATGACAGAACCAGCAGGACAGGGATCGAGATAAACCTATCCCATTCTTAGTTTGTGTTGATAGGAACAAGAGGGCTGTATTCCCTACTGCAGGAGGCTTCCCCAAGAGGAAGAACCCTCTAGAAAACTGTCCATGAAGTCATAACTGTCTTGCGTGGGAAGGCAATAGACAGGTAGAAATAGGATCCTGCTCCCCGACAAGATGTGGACAACGTGGTCCCGTCCCAGTGACCTTGGAGGCTTTTATGAGACAAGATCCTCCTCAAAGGCAGGTCCTCCTGCCCCGTCAGAAATGGACCAAAGGGCCCCACCCATAGCGCATGAGCACCTGCCTGCCATGGATCATGGTGTCACTCCTGAAGCCCTCCAATGCTATCGGCTTACCTCTACCCTTGCGAGAAATCAGGATTCTTGTCTTTTAAACCTCAGTGTCCAAAAACCCCATACACATCTGAACCCCCACTCCTTTCTCCCCTTCTACCCTTGCTGGTATGTAGGGTCACTTGACCATAGCAAAAACCAGGAGACCGTGGCCCTACCCCTAATTGTTCTTTCTGGAGGGAGTAAAGTCAGGACACATGCAAGAAGAGTGGTCCTCCACCCCAAGGGTGGCCACGCTTTGACTAAGAGTGGATGAGGACCCTCTGCCCAATGTGCTGAACTCTGTGAGGTACTGATGGCCGTGCAGGCTACTCCAACAGCAACTCCCTGCTATTTATTTATAGACTCATGGGCTGTTATAAATGGGCTAGCCATATGGTCCAGTGACTGTTGGACAGATAATTAAGCAGCCAGGCCAACATGGTGAAATCAAAGGAAATATACTAATAGAGAGATATTCCCTTTGCATGGTTAGGAGGACTCAATATTATCAAGATGTCAATTTTTCCCAATTTGATCTATAGATACAACATAATCCCAATCAACATCTCAGCCAGTTATTTGTGGATATTGACAAATAGATCCTGAAGTATATATGGAAAGGCAAAAGATGCAGAATAACTACACAACATTAAAGAAGAACAAAATTGAAATACTGGAGAAACACCTCTGCCATGTGTTCAGATATCTATTCAGACTCTAATCTGACCAAGGCACCTTCTTCACAGCCCAGATAATGCAGCAATGGGCATGTTCCTATGGCGTACAATGACCTTGATTTGCTCCATCACTTCCAGGCACCCAGAGTGGGAGGGGTGGTGTTAAAGCACTAGAATGAATAACTCAAGCAACAACTACAAAAAGGACCATCAGGAAGGACAACTCAACGAAGGGTGGTACTCCTGCTTAATGAAAGTATTTGGACCTTAAATTGTGCCCTCCAGTGAAAGGGAAACATGGCATTGCAATGCCTGCTGGGCAATGCTGACTTTGGAAGCATGGTTGCCTGACGTGTCTACGCCTGAGGAATCCCTATCTCAGTATATCCAACCACAGTGTTTGGAGGTCAAGGCTGTAGGGAGCCACAATTGAGCCACTGCACTCCAGCCTGGGTGACAGAGCGAGACCCTGTCTCAAAAAAAACAAGCAAGCAACAACAACAAAAACAAACAAACAAAAAACTAAAACAATCTATGCAGTAGGTTGACATCCTGGACTATTGCTTCTGGTGGTAGACTGTGTTACACTCTTTGTTATCCTCCACCCAGTGACAATGGTATTTCTCTCATTTGTTTAAGTCTTCTTTACTTCCTCTCAGTTATCTTTTGTAGTTTTTCAGTGTGCAGGTCTTGCACACATTTTTTAACTTACCTTTAAGTATTTGATAGTTTTGAAGCTCTTGTAAACGGTATCTTTTTGTTTTAAACATCCAATTTGTCTTTCCTTTGAATGTTTCACTAACTTTGGATTCTTGGAGTTTAATCCCAGGAATGTCCTGCTTTGTCATGATGTGTTATCATTTTATAAATGGTTGAATTTGATTTGCTGAATTTTTAAGGATTTTTTTTCTTCTTAGGAGGAACACTGGTTTGCAGTTTCGTTCCTTGTATGGCTTTGTCTGGTTTTGGTATTAGGGTAATGCTGGCCTGATAAGTGAGTTCAGATGTGTGGCCTCCTTTTTTGCTTTCTGAAATAATTTGTGTAAAATTGATATTATTTATTGCTTAAAAAGTTGGTAGAATTTACTTTGGAGCCATCTGGGCCAGATTTTGTTTCTTTGTAAGAATGTTATAAAGCATGGATTTAATTTAGTTAATCGATGTAGGTCTATTTAGGTTATCTATTTCTTCTTGAATACACTTTTTGTGTCTTTCAAGGAGTTTTTCCATTTCATCTATGATGTCAAAGTTATTGGTAAAATACATTCATAACATTTCCTTGTGTCCTTTTGTTATTTGTAGAAGCTCTAGTGATATCTACTCCTTCATTTGTTTCTTTTGTTTTTCTCTGTTAATATATTTTTTATTTTTTAAATATAGAGATGGGGTCTCGGTATGTTGCTCAGGAATTAGTTCGTGAGCCACCATGCCCAGGCTACTGTCATTTGTGATATTTGTGTCTCTTCTCTCTTTTTTTCCTGAAGAGTATGGCTAGAAATGTATCAATTTTGTTAATCTTTTCAAAGAACCAGCTTTTGACGTTATTGTTTTTCCTTATTGTTTTTCAGTTTTCTATTTCATTGGCATTTACTCTAGTATTTTCCTCTTCTGCCTGCTTTGGATTTAATTTGCTTATCTTTTTTACTAAGTTTCTAAGGCAGAAGATGAGAACATTGATTAGAGACATTTCTTCCTTTCTAATATAAATGTTTAATGCTAAAATTATCCCACTAAGTATGGTTTTTGTTGCATCCCACAAATTTTGATATGTTGTATTTTCAGTTTTATTCAGTTTAAAGTGTTTTCTAATTTCTCTGTGATTTCTTCTTTGACTTATGGGTTATTAGAACTCCATGGTTTAATCTCCAGATATGTGTGGCTTTCTCAAATATCTCCAAATGTTATTGATGTTCAGGTTATTTTGCTGTGTACAAGAAAAAACTCTCTGTGATTTTAATCCTTTCAATGATTATGCATATATATATATATACACACACATACACACATTGAAAGAATGTGTATATATATATATTGTCTTCTATGTTATCATATATGTGTGCAGTCACTCAGATAAAGATGTGGACTTCATAGTTTTAAAACATGCCTGAACTTTTTCTTTTTTTTTTTTTTGAGACGGAGTCTCGCTCTGTCGCCCAGGCTGGAGTGCAGTGGCGGGATCTCGGCTCACTGCAAGCTCCGCCTCCCGGGTTCACGCCATTCTCCTGCCTCAGCCTCCCAAGTAGCTGGGACTACAGGCGCCCGCCACTACGCCCGGCTAATTTTTTGTATTTTTAGTAGAGACGGGGTTTCACCGTTTTAGCCGGGATGGTCTCGATCTCCTGACCTCGTGATCCGCCCGCCTCGGCCTCCCAAAGTGCTGGGATTACAGGCGTGAGCCACTATGCCTGGCCAGAAATTTACTTTGAAAGTCTTTTTAGGCCGGACTTGTTGGCTGGACATGGTGTCCTGCGTCTATAGTCCCCAGTTACTTGGGAGGCTGAGGTGGGAGGATCGCTTGAGGCTGGGGGGTGGAGGTTGCTGTGAGCTGAGATCACACCACTGCACTCCAGCCTGGGAAGCAAAGTCAGACTCTCTAAAGCATACCCCAAGACAAAGGATGTGCCTTAATGAGTATGTGATTTATTGAGGAAATGATCCTCTGGATGGGGAAGAACAAGTAACAAAACAAAGATGTGGTCTCACATAAAGTCTAGCTTTGGCCTGACCCATGAGACAGGGGCTCTGGAATATAAATTGCATAGCAGAGTGGTCACTGAGTCAAGGGACTTGACTTTTATACTCCTTCCCCCATCCGTCAGTTATTAGCTGCTGGGAATGGAATGGTGGTGTAATCTACTAGATGTCTCCAAACAGCCAAGGGCGATTCATGGGACAACTTCACAGAGTTACACCATTGTGGGGATAGGTGTGTAACTTCCCAAGGAGTCCTTCCTGTCCACTGCACCCAGAAAGACCACAACATTGCAGTAAAGAAAGAGTTTAATAGACACGAGGTCGGCCATGCCCCATGGGAGATGGCGTTAGTACTCAAATTATCTCCCTGAAGGCATGGAGGTTATGGGTTTTTCAAAGACAGTTTGGTGGGCAGGGGACCAGGGTAGGGGGCAAGCTGATTGGTTGGGTTGGAGATGAAATCATGGGGAATTGAGGCTGTCCTCTCATGCTGAGTCAGTTCCTGGGTGGAGGCCACAGGATGGGTTGGCGGGTCCAGGTGAGGACACGTGGTTGTCAGAAATGCAAAAACCTGAAAAGACATCACCATATTGTAGGTTGTGCAATAGTGATGTTATCTGCAAGAGTAATTGGGGAAGTTGCAAATCATATTACCTCCAGAATAATGGCTGGTAGTTATTTAGAATTCAGACCCTTCTCATCCTCTAACTTGGTGGCCTTTCATTAGTTTTATAAGAACAGTTTAGTCTTTGGGAAGGGGTATTACCATTTAAATTATAAACTAAATTTCTCCAAAAATTAGTTTGGCCCATGCCCAGGAATGAGCAAAGACAACCAACCAGTGAGGCTGGGAACAAGATGAAGTCAGCATGCCAGATTTCTCTTACTGTCATAATTTTGCAATGGCTGTTTCAGGTGTAGTGGCCTGTAAAAAACAAACTAGGAAGAAGAAAAAGAATTGAGAGGGTTTCCAAGATTCTGTGCTACTGTAAAACAACTAAAGAAGTGGAATACCCTAGGTTTGTAATTTTAAGTTGAGGTGTGAATATCCCAGATGTCATCTGTTATTTAGGAAAAATAATAGATTTCATTTACTTGCTAGTATAAATCACTAATTTTGTTTTAATGTTTTGTGTTAGTTTCCTAGGGTTGTCATAACAAATTACCACAAACTGGGTGGCTTAAAGTGATAGGAAATTACTTTCTCACAGTTCTGGAAGCCAGAAGTCTAAAATCAAGATGTGGACAGCGTCATGCTCCTTTAAAAGCTCTTGGGAAGAACCCTTCCTTGCCTCTTTCAACTGTGATGATTGCCAGAGATCCTTGGTGTTCCTGTAACCACCTAACAGGTTCCCCTTGCCTGCTGCCTAGACACAACCAACTTATCAAGACAGGGGAACTGCAATAGAGAAAGAGTTTAATTCATGCAGAGGAGTACAGGAGACTGGAGTTTTATTATTCCTTAAATCAGTCTCCCCCAAAACATGGGGATTGGGGTTTTTAAGGATAATTTGGTGGGTAGGGTTTAGTGAGTTGGGAGTGCTGATTGGTTGGGTCAGAGATGAAAGCATAGTGAGTTGAAGCTGTCTTCTTGTGCTGAGTCAGTTCCTAGGTGGGGCCACAAGATCAGATGAGCCAGTTTACTGACCTGGGTGGTACAGCTGATCCATTGAGTGTAGGGTTTACAATAGAATAGTGATGTTATCCCCAGTAGCAATTTGGGGAGTGTCAGAATCTTGTAGCCTCCAGCCGCATGACTCCTAAACCATAATTTCTAATCTTGTGGCTAATTTGTTAGTCCTACAAAAGCAGTCTAGTCCCTAGGCAGGAAGGGGGTTTGCTTTGGGAAAGGGCTGTTATCATCCTGTTTCAAAGTTAAACTATAAACTAAGTTCCTCCCAAAGTTACTGCAGCTTACACCCAGGAATGAACAAGGACAGCTTGGAGGTTAGAAGCAAGATGGAGTCAGTTAGGTCAGATCTCTTTTACTGTAATAATTTTCTCAGTTATAATTTTGCAATGGCAGTCTCACTCCTTGGCTTGTGGCCAGTAACTGCAATCTCTGCCTCCATCTTCACAGGGCCGTCTTCCCACTATGTCTGTGTCTCTGTGTCCAAACCTCCCTCTCTTCGAGTAAAGATCCCAGTCACTGGATTATGCCCCACCCTAATCCAGAATGACCTCATCATAACTTGATTACTTCTGCAAAGACCCTAGAAAGGCAGATTTATTAGAGAAAGTATGAAAATAGGTTGCAAGAAAGCAATGGCTAAATCAGCATGAGAGAAGCTGACTGCAAAGAAACAAAGGCTTGCTGGAGACTTTACAGAATAGGGTTTATGCTGTAAACTGAAGAGGGCTTTGTGCAGTACTGATAATGCCAAAGTTGAAATGAACTGCCTTGCAGGTGTGTGGTGATAGTTGAGCACAGGAAGATTGTGAGTTGTTTGTACAAGAGGGCTATGTGTCCTGGACCATGAAGAAAGGCAGACTTATAGCTTATCTGCTTTCTGTTCTTGCTTTCCCTTGGTCCCGCCAGTCTGACTCCTTTTCCCAATTAGGACTCCACAGTTAACTTGGTCCATGCCCAGAAATGAGAGAAGACAGCCAGCCCATGAGGCTAGAAGCAAGATGGAGTCAGCCACAGCCATGTCAGATTTATGCTACTGTCATAGGTTTGCAAAGGCAGTTTCAGAGTAAAAGGATTAAACACTTGTCCCTAATTGTTCAATAAATAAGAAAAATTATAAAAAGCAACAATATAGTGAACTTTATTGCTTGTTTAGGTGCCAAATATCCTTCTAAAATATTTTGTATACTTACTCAACAAGCTCTCCCATCAACTATATTAGGTAGGCTTATTACTATTTCCATTCCACATGTGAAGAAAGTGATGCCCATGGAGCTAGAGCAATTTGCTAAAGGTCCCTTAGCCATCAAATGTAGCAGCTGAGGTTTGAATACAGCCGATGTGACCTAGTTCAACAAGGTCCCAATCAAAATGAACAGCAGTGAGGTCCAAACATAGGGACAATTTTCCAATGTTTTACGTTGCTACTTATGATACTTAGAGTAACATAGTAGCCACATTGTGAATATTTCTCATTAAAAAGTAAAAAAACAGGCCAAGCGCGGTGGCTCACACCTGTAATCCCAGCACTTTGGGAGGCTGAGGCAGGCGGATCACTTGAGGCAGGAATTGGAGACCAGCCGGGCCAACATGGTGAAACCCTGTCTCTAATGAAAATACAAAAATTAGCTGGGCGTGGTGGTGCACACCTGTAATCCCAGCAATTCTGGAGGCTGAGGCATGAGAATCGCTACTGCACTGGAGCCTGGGTGACAGAGCGAGATTCCATCTCAAAAAAAAAAAAAAAAAAGGCAAGCATGCCCCTGCAAATGTCCTAATTTTTGTTTGTAGCTACTAATGGGTTTGTTGTTCATTAATTTCTTATCTTATGAATTCAATTATAGAGCTGGAGATTTTTAGAATCTAGAGAGATTTTATTTATCTGCATGCCTACAACAGTTATCTACATGCTTTAAACTGTAACACATTGTAAGTGCTCAAAAACATTTTACCACAGTTTAAAGCAAGACATACGAAATTGATTGAGGTGGGTCACATGCATTATTCTTTCGCACTTTTTGCATTTGCATTGTCTTCCTCCTAAAAATTTACTTTTTAAAAGTAAGGAATCTGAGCAGGATGCAGTTAAACAACTTGGGATTTATCCAGTTGTGTTCTACTGCTGTTAAGTTTGGTGAGAATGTTTGGCAATTAGTGGGAGGACGCAGTTCTTCGTCAAGAAAACAATTTTCAGAAACAGCTGATTTTCTCTGGAAAACATCAGGCCCCACTGGGAGTCGAACCCAGGATCTCCTGTTTACGAGACAGGCGCTTTAACCAACTAAGCCATAGAGCCACGCGGAAGCACTCTTTAGAGGTGAATCTATCTCATTTTACTTTGACAAAATGAGTTTAGTTAGTTATCTGCTGTCTTCAAAAAATATGTCAACTCGAGAAACACTTCATTTCCTCAGTATCTTTTGAAGACATACGAATACACGGGGAAACGTATTCGGCAGTCTACAGTGTCAAAGGATTTTTCTATTAATCCAAGAAAGAGCATTACAGAAAGCTATACAATACGTGAAGACGATTAAAAGGAATATATCTATACATAATTTTAAAAAACCTTTGAATCTTGAAAGTCACTCACTTAGGGTACGTGAAGCTGCCAAATTTATCAGAGAAGGAACAGGCATCTCTCGCATGGAGCCGTGGGCCTCGGCGTTAAGGCACTCTTCAGCTACAGGTGGCAGCCCGTTTAGCTCTTCTTAAGGTCTTGTGATGTCATTTTCAAGAGGCCAGTAAAGTTCTGTGTCACGTGGGGCCTCTCAGGAGGGGTGCGGAGGTGGGGGAGGGGCGGGGAGCAGGACTCCACTGCTTTGGCCTCAAGGAGTTTGGTCGACACTTGAAGACTGACCAAGAAAAAGTAATTTGTCCCAGTTTTCTCCCACCCTTTGTTTTCTTCTGCTCCTCTTGGGCTTGTTTTTTTTTTGGGGGGGGGGGTTCTTTCTTTTTTCTTTTCTTTTTTTTTTTTTTTTCCCGCAGTAAGTTCTGAAAATCGCCTCCCAGAGGAGATAACGCGTTCTCCTCTGTAACCCGTCCTTCCACGTCCCGGTGGTGGGGGGGGGGGTCCCGGTTCTCATTCTTTCGGGGACCTGCAAGGAGCCCCGCCCGCAGGCTTTGAACCGATTTCGGCTCCGCGTCCAGGAGCAGGCCCTACGTAGGGCCGGGGGAATTCAGGTGCGTCTGCGGGGCCCAGGGCACCCAGGGCAGGCGGGGACTGAGACGACTGAGGGTTGAGGGACAAGGAGGTTGGGACTGGGGAGGGGAGACCCGGGACCCGCCCAGAACGCTTTCGTGGGGTTGGAGAGGGCAGGACACAGCCTCTCTGGGCCCGGTAGTATGCGAAGACACGCATAACGCAAAAGGATTCCCGTCCTGGACTTTGGGAATTAAGGCCCTGAACACATTGAGCAAAAAGTAGATCTGTCTGTACAGACGTTTCTTTCCACGTCTTTCATAGTAAGGACTTTATTAAAAAGCAGGCACTCGAATCCTAGGTGGGTAGATGGGAGGCTGGGGCTGGGGATGGGGACGTCCTCTGTTTTCTGGTTGTGCACATTAAAAATAACTCTCTGCTGCCTACTCCTAAACGCAGCCGGCAAAAATGAGACGTCAACTAAGCGCCGTTTCAGTCCCAGAGCCAGGTCGTCCATGGGGGTTTTCAAGCGTTTTCTCGATGACTGATTTTTCTAGAAGCGAATGGATTTTATTCTCCCAGGTGTAAAGGCTACCTCCTGCTTCACACCCGGGTAACATAAAAGACAGCGCTGGGACCGAAACTCGGGTCTCCTGGGTCCTGGTTGGCTGGAGAGAGGGGCAATGAACGTCCCGAAAAGAATTCTGTCTTTTCTCAATATCTGGGAGGACTCATAACAGGGTAGATAATCAGGATGGATGTTTGGCAGGTGGGAATCTTTGAGACGGTCTGTGCACACAATTTTAACTCTACTTTTGCCAGTTTGGAGGACATGAAATTCCTGATGAGTGTATGTTAAAAGGGAATAGAGAAGGTAATATACACAACGTTCTAAAATAATTGCTTTTCGTGGAGGCAAAGTGGCTAAGCAGTCCAAAGCGCTGGATGAAGGCTCTAATCTCTTGGGGTGTGGAGGTTCTAGCCTGTTTAGCCACAGAAGTCATGAAACCACTATGTGGTATTTGTTAAATAATGAGTTTTGATACTTAAAATAAAATGGAATTATTGGAGTGAATTTTGTTTGGTTCTGTTGAATTTGTTATTCTTACACACACTAGCCAGATTCTACTTATTTGTGGGCGGCAAGCCACCCAGGCACCGAGGCAAGAGACAGAGGACACGAGCTGTTCCAGTATAATAAAATATAAAACAAGAATAGTTATACCAAATATAGATCTTAGATATGATTATATATGAAAATCATTAATCATTAGTTTGTAGCAATTACTTTTTATTCCAATATTATAATAATCCTCGCTCTATAATCATAGCCTAGGAAAAACCAGGCCTTACAGAGATAGGAGTTGAGGGAACATAGTGAGGTGTGACCAGAAGACAAGAGTGCGAGCCTTCTGTTATGCCCGGACAGGGCCAGCAGAAGGGCTCCTTGGTCTAGCGGTAACGCCAGCGTCTGGGAAGACGCCCGTTGCCGAGCGGACGGTGGTCTAGCAGAAGCCTCAGTGTCAAGAAAAAACACCGGCTGCTTAGCAGACCGGAAAAGGGAGTCTCCCTCTCCCCGGGGGAGTTTAGAGAAGACTCTGCTCTTCCACTTCTTGTGGAGGGCCTGACATTAGTCAGGCTCGCCCGCAGTTATCCGGAGGCCTAACCGTCTCCCTGTGATGCTGTGCTTCAGTGGTCACACTCCTAGTCCGCCTTCATGTTCCATCCTGTACACCTGGCTCTGCCTTCTAGATAGCAGAAGTAAATTAGTGAAAGTACTAATAGTCCCTGATATGCAGAAATAATGGCGTAAGCTGTCTTTCTCTCTGTCTCCTCTCCCTCTTTGCCTCAGCTGCCAGGCAGGGAAGGGCCCCCTGTCCAGTGGACACGTGACCCACGTGACCTTACCTATCATTGGAGATGACTCACATTCTTTACCCTGCCCCTTCTGCCTTGTATCCAATAAGTAACAGCGCAGCCAGACATTCGGGGCCACTACCGGTCTCCGCGCATTGGTGGTAGTGGTCCTCCGGGCCCAGCTGTCTTTTCTTTTATCTGTCTTGCGTCTTTATTTCTACACTTTCTCGTCGCTGCACACAGGGAGAGACCCACTGACCCTGTGGGGCTGGTCCGTACACTTATTAACATTTTATTTGATATGTTGATCTTTGGATGTATGAATTTGATTGTTCTCATTTGATTTGTTTTGTTTTTACTTTGGGTTCTATTTATGTCAGGTTTTGGTAACCTTAATGAATGGATTAGGCAGTTTTCCACTTCTTATGCCCTGAAACTTTTCAACCCAGAAGAGTTACCTGATCCTTGACAATTTGACAGCACTTGGCCTAAGAGAATGGGGCCTTTTCATGGGGCTTAGAAATGGAAAGAGACTTTTGACAGCCTCTTCATCTATTACCGTGGTTATTATTCTGTGAGGATGTGTCATTTGAGTGTGTCATATAGTGCCTCTGATTCTCAGTTGCTTATTTGTTGAGAGATAATGATACTGAATATTAAATGACTTACTGCTTTTAAAATTCTAGTATGATGCCTGGGCCATGCAAGCCTTCAATCAATGTTATTTATTATTATCACATCAATATTGGTAATTTATATTGTCCTAAATCCTATCTCATTCACTATGCTTAGATTATCAGGGATTATCAGATACAGAGGTAGAAAGTTGTAAAAAAATGCTTTTTATTTGAGATACACATCTCATCTCTATTTGTAAATGTGTCTTCTTCACTAATTTTGAATTCTAAGTTTATATTTTCCCTTAGACATTCCACAGATTTGTATTTCAGTTTTATTTACAAAAAAAACTTTCTTAGCTCTCCTAGCATGTAAACAGATTTTCTCTGTTGATTCCTTTCTTCTGCTTTCATTTGGTATGTTTTGTTGGTCTTTTACTTGCTTCTGAAGAGAAATACTCACCAGCATTTCAGTCATTTAAAGTCTTTCTCATTTACTTAAAAAATGCACTTAAGTTACAAATGTTCCCCTCTGACCTGCTTTTGTAGCATTCCACAGTAATGATATATGTTGTCTTATTGACATTCTATTATACCTGGCCTGTAATTTTAGTTTTGATTTTCTCTTTGAGCAAAGATATTTTTAGAAGCATTTGACATTAAGTATAACATTTTATACTTTTCTGATTATATTTTGATGCTGATTTCTATCTCTATTTTCTAGCACAGTATTAATTTTCTAAATTAAAAAGTATTTTGATATTTTCTTATTAGATCATTGTATAGTCAATTCTTTAATTTCTTTGGGCAATTTAAAAATTGTGTTTTCTCTATAAAGAATTTTATGATATCTATCAGGTCAATGTTTTATTCTTATTTGTCTTTTATAATATTACTTATTTCTTTGTCCACTGATATTTCTTGAACTTAGAGCAATAAATTGAAGTCAATTACTAAATTGTCTCTGCCTTTCTACTTGTGTCTCCACTGAATTTCTGCTGAATGAAAGTTGCTGCTTTATTTTGAGCATGAATATCAAAAAAACCAAAAATCTTTACCTCCACTTAAACTGTAATTTTTAGCATTTTGCAGTACCCTTCTTTGTTTTATTTAATGAGTGTTGTCCAAAATCCCACCTCACATGATTTTAAATCCTTGAGTCCTTTCTTTTTGTGAGTTTGCCTGATATTTTTGTCTGTTCTTTATTTTCAAACTTCCTGATTGTTTCCAAGCCTGTGGGTAAGTAGCAAGCTGTGGGGAGGCAGTGTGACAAGGTATATGCAGGAAACAAAGAGCTCAGAGAGACTAGTTTTTTTATTTTCACAGCATTTTAAAAGCCAATGACCCTAATTAAGAGATACTTAATCTTCCACTGGTTTATGTGGTCATAGTGAAAATTACAGTTGAGATATTGAATATAGCAAATGTGTAGCTCTGTGGAGAAATTGTGGCACTGGAATCTCTGATTCTAGCCAAGAACTTCCCAGAGGCATGAGTAAAATGTTCCCAACTTGAAAATCTAGTGCAAGTAGAAGATTCAATCTTTTAATGTTGATGTTTTCTAGGTTCCATATTTGGTTGCCCTTTTTTCTGAGATGGTATTCAAAGGAATATTCCACACACTCATATCTTTGAACCTTTCAAAATACTTCCAAATATCTTGCATATTTGGAATACTGATAACTTCCAAATATCTTGCATAAAACTTTTTAGAATGCCATATGATTATAGCCAACTGCCTACAAGACATTTCCACCTTAGTATCTCATAGACACCGTGGACTCATCAAGTTCCTCCTATTATTGCTTTTCTTTTTGAGTAGCACCACAACCTAGTCTGTTAAAGTGAAAACTGTGTGATTACTGTAGATGACTCTCTTTGTCCCCTCATGCATTTTTTTCATCAGGTGAATATGATGTAACTGCTGTTTAGATTCAAATAGTGATCCTTCCCTAACTAGCCATGGCAATTAGTATGATATTCTAAGCAGAACCTGCTGTTGTGAAAACATAATTTGATGGAATTGAGAGTTTTTGCTATTCAGTTAAACTCTTAGTGAGTCAAATATGCCAAATGTAAAGTTCTATTTTTAATTTAATATTTGTTTTGTCTCTCGAGAAGCTTTTATTCTAAACAGAGAGATACAAATCTGATGTTTTGATGCACACATTAAAAAATCTGAATCAAGTTTGGCATAAAGAGATACTTAAATTTGCCAAAATACTTATGAGAAATAATCATAAATGATGGCATATATTATGCCAAATTTATTTTTTTTTGCATGAAGGGAATTGTGGAAATTGACCTGATTAGTTTGGACTGTCAAGAGCAGAGTTGAACCATAATCCCCACAGCACCTCAAAATCCTGAGACAAGCTTTTCATCCCCCACATGAATACTGTTTTCTGTCCCTTCTGTCCCCCAACTAATGGGGCCCCTTAAAATGTAGGATGGGTTTGAGCTTTGGTTCTTAACAAAGGACCCAGTTATGGAGGATCTGGAAGTCTTTTTTTCCCCCTGGGCCTTATACCCCATACATATAATGCAAGGCCCACATCAGTTATCCATTCACTCTTAAATTGAGAGAAGACAAGTTAGAAAAAAGCGTTGAAAGTTTGTTTATATTTGGGACTTAGATAGGGTCTGTGAAAATGCAGTGCTGGTTTAGGAAGGCATGAAGTGGCTGGTTTCAGAATTCCTTGACAGCAGACATTGAGAGCTTGGTTTTTACATAATGTTGCAAATTATGAATATAGATTGAAGCCAGAAGGTACTCATGTGCCCTTATAACTCTTAAAATACAGTGATTTATGCAAATTTACTTTTTCAACTTTTTTTTTTTTTTTTAACAGAGTCTCGCTCTGTCAGCCAGGCTGGAGTGCAGTGGCGCAATCTCGGCTCACTGCAACCTCCACCTCCCGAGTTCAAGAGAGTCTCCTGCCTCAGCTTCCCAAGTAGCAGGGATTACAGGCACCTGCCAACATACCTGGCTAATTTTTGTATTTTTTAGTGGAGACGGGGTTTCGCCATGTTGGCCAGGCTGGTCTCAAACTCCTGACCTCAGGTGATCTGCCTGCCCCGGCCTCCTAAAGCGCTGGGATTGCAGGCATGAGCCACCATGCCTGGCCAATTTTTTAAACTTTATATTAGGCTTTTAAAATAGATTATTAAAGCCATTAATAATTCCTCTCCTCCTTTGGTGGGAAGTTACAGTCTGAGGACTCAATTTTTCTCTAATAAGAGGATAGAAAAATTGAATGTCATTTAGTTTTGATTACCATTCATCTTTCTGCTCCTTTCCAAATAACACTATTGTTTGTTCCATCATATATTCTATTTATTCTATCTGTAACATATCTTCCATGTTACTAATGTACTTGTATGTGTATTTAACACAACTTATGAATTCTGCTTCTGTCTCACAAGCTACTTATTAATTTATGTATAGTTAACACATCTTCTGAATTTTGCCTTATCTTGTAAGCTATTAGCTTACGTACTATCTATATTGGTTTTATCCATCCAATTTGTTTTCCTATTTCCTATATCTGAATATAATAAAATCATACAGCAAACTCATATTTCAGGAGCCATTGAACTTAGAACTCTTTGTTTTTGGAAGGGGAGCCCTAGAAAGTCAGTATTCTGAATAGAAATGACTCTGAGGCTCTACAGATAAAGATAAAGCTCTCTTTGCCAGGTGTAGAGTGTCTTCAAACATAACTTATTAGGTGATAATTCCATTTCTATTAACTTGTCTGGCTGGAGGCAAAGAAATACAGAGGAAATTGGAAAGAGAGAAAAGAATAAAGACCTGGAAAAAGGGAAGATCCTTGAGTTATCTTTGCCTTAGTTCCTCTGAAGTTATAATCTAAAAATTGGTATAAGCTCTACATACACTCTAGGTGGCACTCTGAGGTTATAAAATGGTTCATATGGTGAGTTGAGGCCACTGTGTTTTGTTTCATTTTATTTTATTTTATTTTGAGACAGGGTCTCACTCTGTCACCCAGGCTGGAGTACATGGTGCAATCTCTGGTCAATGGAGCCTCGACCTCCTGAGTTCAAGTAATCCTCCCACCTCAGCCTCCTTAGTAGCTGGGACTATAGGTGTGTGCCACCACACCTGGCTAATTTTATTTTTTGTAGGGATGGGGTCTCACTATGTTGCTCAGTCTCAAACTCCTGCCTTGGCCTCCCAACGTGTTGGGATAACAGGCATGAGCCACCACTCCTGACCCCACTGTATTTCAAAGGCCAAAAGGAGTCCAAAAGAATTAAAACTGGTTTTCTTTTCCCTTTACAAGGAATCAAGAAAAGGTAGACAGTCAATATGGTTTCATAAGGAAAATTTTAGAGGGGCATGGAATCCCTATCCAGGAACTTCACAGAGATTCAAAGAAAAGAAAGTTTGTAAACTAACACTTGAAAGAGCAAGAGAAAACTTGCAATCAGAGCAATGCCAGCTGGAGGTCAGGAAGGGAAGCGGTAAAGAAAGAAGAGAAAATGAGAACTTTTTATTTTACTCCAAATCACAATGTATTTGAAAATATATATTAAAGAAAGATTATTTTGGCACTTGATAAAGTGCTAGTAAAGACTAAGACTACTGCAATTAGCGAGAGAGACTGAACTCAATGGGGACAAATGGGGATTTAAAGCCAACAGGCAGAGTGAAGGTGTCGTAGATGATGGAAAATTACTAAGCACAGATATCAAAAGGAGGAAGAGTCTTGCTAAACTGGCCTAACAGGATTCTTGCTAATGGTAGGCTAAGGACTTAGAAATTAAGGGTAGAGGATTAATAATCTGTGCAGATACCAGACTTGGGGAGATTCTCAGTAAACTGATAGAAGGAGTCTTGCTGAAGGTAGTCAAAAGCCAAGGCCTACTTGAGAAGGCTAAAAGAAAAGACTGTGTTTCTATACTCTCACAATACTTCTGACACCATATGTGTGGGTTTTCCACTCCAAGCAATTCTCCAATTCTGCAGACACAAACTGGGTGTTGACACTGCAACTCAATTCTGACACTAACTACCTGTAATTAGTGCAGACCCTATAGGTGAAGGGCTCAGTTCCACAAGACTGCCCCCCACTTCACATGTCAATCATAAGTCCCAGGTTGTCACTCATATTTCTGACCAACTGCTGTAAATTGAGGGTTCCTATGACCTCCCCCTGAAGTTTGACAATTTGTTATAACAACTCACAAGACTCAGGGAAACATTTACTTACGTTCATCAGTTTATTATAAAGGATATGACAAAGGATATAGATGAAGAGATACACTTGGCAAGGTATGGGGAGGAATATAGAGCTTTCGTGTCTTCTCTGGGGGCACCACACTCCCAATAACTCCGTGTGTTCACTAGCCCAGAAGCTCTATGAGTTCTGTTGTTTAGGAGTTTTATGGAGATTTCATTACACAAGCATGATGGATTAAATCATTGGCTTTTGATGACTGGGTCAATTATCAGCTCCTCTGCCCTCCTCAGAAGTGGGCTGGGGTGCTGAAAGTTCCAAATCTTTAATCGCCATGGATGGTTTCTCTGGCAACCAGACCTCACTCTGAAGCTATCTGGGGACTTTCAGCCACCAGTCATCTCATTAACATACACAAAGACAGTTATTATTTAGGAGATTCCACGGGTCTTAAAAGCTCTTGTGTTGGGAACCAGGGACTAAGACCAAATGTAACAAAAGAACCTCTTATCATCCCTATCACTCAGGAAGTTACAAGGATTTTAGAAGCTCTGTGCCACGAGTTGGGAGGAAAGACCAAATAAACATATTTCTTATGATGTCACAAAGGCTCAGAGAACCCTGACTAAAGTTGGGTCAAGGAGGGAGTCTTTGTCAGATAACACATATTGAATTTGGACCTAAATGAAGATGATGTGGATCAGAGACTGAGGAAACTAATAAACCAAGGGCATGGCTGGATTGTCCATGTTAACCCTGGGGGCACCTAAGGACTGAGTGGGAGGCAGTGTGGCTTGATTGTGCAGAGCAGTCAGTAGCCACATGAAGTACAAGAGAAGTTCTCCTTACTCATCCTATGTCAAAATGACAATATTTTCTGCAAATTCTCCATTCCTTAGAGCAGTGGTCCTCAAACTTTAGCATGTATTAGGATCAACTGGAAGCCTTTTGAAAACAGACTGCTGGACCTACCCCAGGGCTTCTGGGTCAGTGAGCCCAGGAGAGATATGAAAACTGCATTTCTAAGTTCTCAAGTGATGCTACTGCTGCTGGCCAGAGGACTATGCTTTGAGAATCAATTTCCTAGAGACAGAAGTCAAGAAAGGGAAAATGATGACTGATTGTCAAGGTCCTTTTCTCAGGGCCTCTACTCGAGATTTCCCTCAATAATGACTCATTTGTGGAGGGTAATAGGTGGTCTCCACAGCCTTACCCAGATGGGCTTTACTGGGCTAGTGCCTGCATCTCCACTTGCTGTGAGTTTTGGCTGCTAATGGCTCAGAGCTGCTCCTTCTCCAGGGTATTAACTCTCAGTGGCCACCTTCTCCAAAGAATTTTCTTCAGCCAAAGGGAGCCACCTCGCCTGGGAGTTTATGCCTCTAGAGTTCAAGGGTGGGCCCATAAGCCAATGACTGACTCACATGGGCTACAAGAGGCTATGTCTCATCCTTCAAGATGGGACTGATTATAGTGTGATTTTTTCTGAAGCTAAGCTCCAGCAGAAATTGCATTTTAATTCTCTCTTTTCCTGGCCTTATCCTGCTTCACAGATTCCCTTCTTCTGAGACCATTCTTTCAATAAGCTATATGTGCCTCAATTCTTGTCTCAGATTCTGTTTATGGAGAACAGAAGCCAAGTCAAGAGGTGTTCATAAGACCACAGAAGCAATATTTGATGTGCTCTGGGATAGACTGTGTCCTACTTCTCATATTTTGAGAATTCACCTCCCAGAATTAACACGGGTACTCTCCAAGGCTAAGAGCCACCTGTGTCCACACAGTCCACAGAAAATATATTACATCCACAGACTAACTGCCACAGGGGAGACCACAGTGGTTTATTACCTCCTGCTATGGGCTGCTTTGCAAATCTGGGAATAGGTTGATTAGAGAGGGTCTGAGTCCTGGTTTTCTAGGACCTTAGAACCTTCCCGTCCTGCCTGAGAACTCTCTCCAAAAGTTTTGTGATCAGTGGAGCCTTAATGATTCTAGATGCCTGGTAGGTTGTTTGTGGGGTAGTGGATTTATGGACCCAATTAGCTCTAGTGTACCTGATTTGCGTAATAAGTTGTGGGAACTTCTGGTTAGAAGAAAAAAGTTCCACAGCAATAATAGTGCCTGTGATGGTAATGATGATAATCACCTGATAGTAACCTTTTAACTACTATGACAGACTGGAGCTCCTTAGACACTCCTGAGAAGTCGACCCACTTCCAGAAGGTTCTAAGTGTAACTTTCGTTGGGGACTAAGCTCTGCTATTGGGATTGGTTGAGGAGGAGAGAAGTGGAAATTTTTATGTCTTGATCCTCTCTTTATAAAGACATTTTACATTATTATTATATTTTACATTATTATTATTGCCATCATTATCATCATTGTCATCATTTGTGACATTCTGATCTGGACTTCTGGCCCCCAAACCTGCCCCTCACCTATGCCCACCTCCCACTGCAAGGACATTTCTGTTTCTCATTTCTATGGTCTTGGCTCTCTCCAGAAAAATGTTTATTTTCTCTTCAGGGACAGCCACTGGAAGGCATTAGGAGGATAGAACCTGGATTTTCAGAGCAGTGGCAGGATGAAGACCTTTCCCGCATACTCAGGCACAAAGCATTCAGGCTGAAGGCTGCAGTCCTCTTTCTTCATTACTATAGGAATGTTGGTCACCTGGAGCAACTGCAGGTTCCTGGGTTAGGCTGAACCAGTAACTGGAGAGAATTTTATACATTGTGTCAGCTCATCCTCTCCACCTACTTTCTGGACCTTGGTTATCCAGATCTTACCAGGTCTGGAACCCTTCTGAAGACTATTAAGGTCCCAGAGGTACTTAACCACTTCAGAGATTTAAAAGAAGCTAAAAAATGAAACATATTTCTTAACACCACTGGTAGCTGGTTCTGTAATCTCCTCACTGCTCTCACAACCGCCATAGCGGTTAGTAAAAGATTTATGGAAATCTCAAATCCTATGGTTTACAGCCAAGGAAAGCCCGATTTTTTTAACTCATTTTTTCTTACTAGATGTTAAGTTTAAGAAGAGAAAACATCCAAATATTTTGATAATATTTCCCATTTTTCATGTATCAAATATCCACCATTTATGAATTTTAAGGTCTTAAAAATCATTTTCCTAACAGTTTTTGGTTTAGTCAATTTTCATGTTGCTGAATAAAGATTAAGTCATGGATCACATTTCTTCTTTCTTCCTTTTTTTTTTTTTTTTGAGATGGAGTTTTGCTCTTGTTACCCAGGCTGGAGAGCAATGGCGCGATCTTGGCTCATTGCAACCTCCACCTCCAGGGAACAAGCAATTCTCCTGTCTCGGTCTCCCAAGTAGCTTGGATTACAGGCATATGCCATCATGCCCGGCTAAATTTTTTGTATTTAGTAGAGACGGGGTTTCACCATGTTAGTCAGGCTGGTCGCGAACTCCTGACCTCAGGTGATCCACCCTCCTTGGCCTCCCAAAGTGCTGGCATTACAGGTGTGCACCACTGTGCCCAGCCCATATTTCTATTTAGGTACACAGCAGGATTACGATCCCCATAATGTTTGAAATTACTCACTGATTTAAATTTCCTGCATTTTTTAAGTGCAAAAAATATTTTTAAGTGCTAATACCTATGTTCCAAGTAATTTGTAAAAAGAGAAAGAAAAACAGTGATTTTATTTTACTTCCTCATCTAATTTCTTTCCTTAATATCTGGTTTTCTGAAATCTGCTTGAATTATAAAACACTGTATTTTAACTATAAAACAGCACGGGGCAGATAGGGCTTCCTAGCAGGTCCTTTGCACCTCTGATTAGGAGTGGGTTTTGTTCCACTTTGTTTTGTTATGCTTTTTTACTTTTATGTGCTTTCAGATTTTAACAGTGAGCATGAATTAATTTTATAAACAGAAATATATGCCCTCTCCCTCTCCGTCTCCCTCTCCCTCTCCCCCTCCACCTCCCCCTCCCCCTCCCTTTTGCACGGTCCTCCTCTCCCCTTTGCACTGTCTACCTCTGATGCCGGGCCGAGGCTGGACTGTACTGCCGCCATCTGGGCTCACTGTAGCCTCTCTGCCTGATTCTCCTGCCTCAGCCTGCCGAGTGCCTGGGATTGCAGGCGCGGGCCACCACACCTGACTGGTTTTCGTATTTTTTGGTGGAGACGGGGTTTCGCCGTGTTGGCCGGGCTGGTCTCCAGCTCCTGACCGCGAGTGGTCTGCCAGCCTCGGCCTCCTGAGGTGCCGGGATTGCAGACGGAGTCTCCCTCACTCAGTGCTCAACGTTTCCCAGGCTGGAGTGCAGTGGCGTGATCTCGGATCGCTACAACCTCCACCTCCCAGCCGCCTGCCTTGGCCTCCCAAAGTGCTGAGATTGCAGCCTCTGCCCGGCCGCCACCCCGTCTAGGAAGTGAGGAGCGTCTCTGCCTGGCCGCCCATCGTCTGGGATGTGAGGAGCCCCTCTGCCCGGCCGCCGAGTCTGAGAAGTGAGGAGCGCCTCTTCCCGGCCGTCATCCCGTCTAGGAAGTGAGGAGGTCTCTGCCCGGCCGCCCATCATCTGGGATGTGGGGAGCGCCTCTGCCCCGCCGCCCCGTCTGAGATGTGAAGAGTGCCTCTGCCCGGCCGCGACCCCATCTGGGAACTGAGGAGTGTCTCTGCCCCGCCGCCACCCCGTCTGGGAGGTGAGGAGCGTCTCTGACCGGCCGCCCCGTCCGAGAAGTGAGGACCCCCTCCGCCCAGCAGCCGCCTGGTCTGGGAAGTGGGGAGCCCCTCCGCCCGGCAGCCGCCCCGTCTGGGAAGTGAGGAGTGTCTCCGCCCGGCAGCCGCCCCGTCCGGGAGGTGGGGGGCAGCCTCTGCCCGGCCAGCCGCCCAGTCCGGGAGGTGGGGGGCGCCTCTGCCCAGCTGCCCGGTCTGGGAAGTGGGGAGCCCCTCTGCCCGGCCGCCGCCCCGTCTGGGAGGTGGGGGGGCCCCTCTGCCCGGCAGCCCTGTCTGGGAAGTGAGGAGCCCCTCTGCTCGGCCGCCACGCCGTCTGGGAGGTGTACCCAACAGCTCATTGAGAACGGGCCATGATGACAATGGCGGTTTTGTCGAATAGAAAAGGGGGAAATGTGGGGAAAAGAAAGAGAGATCAGATTGTTATTGTGTCTGTGTAGACAGAAGTAGACATAGGAGACTCCATTTTGTTCTGTACTAGGAAAAATTCTTCTGCCTTGGGATGCTGTTAATCTATAACCTTACCCCCAACCCTGTGCTCTCTGAAACATGTGCTGTGTCCACTAAGGGTTAAATGGATTAAGGGCGGTGCACGATGTGCTTTGTTAAACAGATGCTTGAAGGCAGCATACTGGTTAAGAGTCATCACCACTCCCTAATCTCAACTACCCAGCGACAAAAACAGTGCAGAAGGCAGCAGGGCCCTCTGCCTAGGAAAACCAGAGACCTTTGTTCACATGTTTGTCTGCTGACCTTCCCTCCACTATTGTCCTATGACCCTGCCAAATCCCCCTCTCTGAGAAACACCCAAGAATGATCAATAAATACTTAAAAAAAAAAACAAACATATGCATATTTGTTGTAGAGAGAGAGAGAGGATTCTTTGAGAGGCAAGGATTCCTGTCATGTAGGGGCCTGGTCAAGAGACCTGAACGGGAGGGTGCAGAGGGACCTGACACGAAGAGATCTGTGCTCACGGTCACAGCAGCTCTGAGCAACCAGTTCCAGCCGTGCTTTTATATGTGCCAAGGAAAGTTCTAGAGCATTTTTGAGAAAAACAAAATACTGAAGAACAAGACAAGGGAATCAAGAAAGCAGGGACAAAGTGACAGAGAAAGAAGAAGTATGACTGGACATAATATGGGACTGGGAAAACACCACACAGAGCCAGGTTGCTGCAGAATTTTTAAATTTGAGACAGTGATCAAAATAAGCTTAAAGTTGAGGAGGCTCAGGGTGAGGAGAAAGCCCATCATTCAGAATACAGGGACACCCCTGCCCAGGTGCCATGACCTGAATGCACTAAGGGACAGGCACCAAGGAAGGCTCTGGCAGGGTGCGACCCAGAGGGGTTTTGGGATCCACCATCATGGAGATGCCCTTCCCTTCATGTGAGGTGGGGTTTCTGCTCTCACTCTGCCTTCAGAGGTCCTACATGAGAACTACTGGGTGGCAGGGGAATAAAGGAGAATTAAGGAGAAAAGAGTTTAACAATGCATGCCTATCTTAGAGGAGAGAGGCTATGAAGGAGGCCTAGAGTCTTGCGGCCAGCTCCTGCTTTCTTTAAAACTTTCAGGAAGGGGAAGGGATAGATGTCACAACTTCTCGGGATTGCTTTTTTAGGGACACAGGATAGTCTGATTCATCTACCCTAAAATATGATTTTCCTTTGGAATAGATATTTCAGGATCAGAGAGTTGGAGAGATAGGTGTTCTTTTCCTTAATCTTCAAACACACACACACACACACACACACACACCATACATACACCTATGCATATACCAACAAATACAATTCTACATATCCATACACACACACACACACACACACACAGCTACACACACATGCTAAGCAGGTGCTTGGGTAGTACAGGATGGTTTGGTCATCAGGAGGCTGGGTAGGCACGAGTGTGGAGCAAAGAAGGAGGAAGATGGATGCTTTGTTAGACATTCCTGCAGGTGGGAGACAGGGTAGTTATTTCTGTCAGTCGCTAGCCCTTCCTAGTGGGTATTGAACTGCTTTAGGTACTCCAGGATGTCTGACTTGACTGTGCTGACTGGAGCCTGGTGGAACCAATGCATGACAGGGACTCCATCGGGCCCCACCAGAAATTTCTCAAAGTTCCAGCGGATATCATGGACCTTCATGGGCTCCCAGAAGAGTTGGCTTGATGAGCCCAAAAGATCAGAGGTCGGAGGGCAGGAGTTCTGGAGCAGAGATATAGAAAGTAGAGATATACATTTATTTCTACTTTATTTCTACTTCTGTGTGGTACAGTTTTATCTCCAGACTAGAGAGTCTACTCACCATTATGTATTTTAATATATTAACTACTTTGCATGCTTCCAATCAACCACAGACACTGCAATGTATCAATACCAATACACCAACTACCAAATAACCGAGAGTTAGAGAGTATAATGGTAAATAGAAAGCATTCCTCCTTTCCCTGTCTTTCCTCTATTTCCATGGTTTTATCACGATGATTCAGTAAAAGACTATTTTCTGTTTCCTTGGGCAAGTCATATCATTTCTACAGTTCGTTTCCTTAGCAGAAAAAAAAAGAGATTGATTTAGAGTAGTGGCTCGCAGAGTTTGGGGCTTCATAGGCTTCATAAGCCAGTAAAATTTCAATAACTATTTCCTTGGATATTAACGTAGAATCACTAATACTCATTTTGCCAATAAGAAAAATTAAAAGTCTACTGTAAGCACACATTTAAAAATTAAGGGATTTTTAAATACTCAGTTGTACCACATAAAATTGATTATAGCACCATTTTTGAGTAAGTAAAGGGCAATTTATATGGGTAAACGTAATAGTAATTTAATGTCAGAATAAATGTTGGTCTTATATTCAATAAGTTGAGCTTTATGAAAAATTCTGCATTGTCTTTTTTCCCTTGTTTGCTGTGGATGAGTGAAAATTTCAGCAGGACCAGCATTGTTCTGCAGACCAGCATTTCGGGCTGAGTAGACAAAGAGACCCTCGGGGGTCCTTCTATCCTGGTATTCTGTATTTTTACCACTCTGTGACTCTAAAAGCATTTACCACATGGTATTCTGTATCATCCATGTCTGTCTCCTGATTAAATGTGAGTTCCTTCAGGGAACAGACTATGCGCTATTAATGTTTGTTAACTCATATAGCACATACTGGAGATCTGATAAATGATTGCTGAATGAATGAATCATTCCATTCAATACAGGAGGGTAGTCCATGTCAGAGCTATTGTCCATCATGGGTTTCCTCTACTTAAAGCTAAAGCATCACAGCAGATATTGCCATGAGCCTTGAACTTATCTGAGCATCTCTTTTCCAAGGAGTCCAACCACAACCCTAGACATGAGCCCCACTGCTTTCAGAGCATTTCTAGCTAACCCATCCATGCCAGGTTTATACTCATGCACCTTCAGGAAAGTAAAGACCTTCTGTTCTTTTTCTCCATTCACATCCCCTTTCTCAAAGAGCTGGAAACTGGGGACAAAGCCACTACCTGGACACACATACCTGCAGTGAACCAAAGTTGTTCCCAGCAAGATACAAATTAAGACATGGATGGAAAATAATGGCCACCACCAATTCACTACCACAGGAAATTCAAGATAAAGGGAAGAGGCTGTGCACAGGGAAGATAAGAAAAGATAGTCTGTGGGAAGCAGGATTTTATGCAATAGGCTTTATGGCGCCAATAGAGAATTCTAAGAAAATTGGAAGGCAATATTTTGAGCTTAGGTTTCCTGCTTCACTTCCATTTCTTATTTCTTATACTCCCTTCTTTTCTCTATGCTTCTTTTCCATTCAATCTTCCCTTAGCCTCACCATCAAATAATTCAAAAGTAAAGAGAATATTTGAGCACTGTGAATAGAATAGATTGAATTCAAAACATCATAAGGATATGCTTCAACCCATGTATCTATGGCCTATCCCAGAAGTTTCCAGAATAGGCAGGCATCTAGGTGGAATGAGGAATGGAAATCCCGACAGGGCATCTGCAGGGTCCCATGCAAGCACTCACTTGAGACCAAGAAGTATTTCTGAGTTTGTTCCTGGTTCTTGTTTTCCAAACTGGTTGCAGGGAAAGGCCAACACAATGACACCAAAATTCTTCAGCTCCTCCTGTAGTGCATTCAGTTCTGTAAGTGGACAATGAATAGCAGGGGTGGGCTGGTCAGGAGGCCTACCTCAAGCAGTGAAAGATCACTGAATGTATCCATTTATCACATGAATAAACCGAGGACTAAGAAGGGAAAGATTCAAGGTTACAGAGATCAAAGGAGTAGAGAAAAAAAAAAAAGACTAGAGCACACGTTTCCAGAAATGCATCTGAATGGCTGCTGTTTTTCTTATACAGTAGCTCCCATGCCTGGCTACACTTTACCATCCAATGAGAACTCTTATTTTTTTTTTTAAACACACACACACACACACACACACACACACGTTGGTAGCCTTGTGTGGGAGTCCTGTTTGACTCTAAAGAGAAGTCAGATTTGAATGCCACTGTCTTCCTTAGTTGATGAATTGATCAAAAAAAATTGTAAGGAAAAAGCAAACAAAATGGAAATCCTACCCACCTATCCCTGCATCCCCCCGGCCCCACTCATACAATGTCCCATGGTGACACAACCAGACACTCCAGTTCCAGTCCCATTCCCAGGAGTACTCCTTGGTGCTCCACCCTGGGAGTGGTAGAGAAAGAGAAATTCCAAGGCTATCCTCTACAGTATTCTGTACCCTCTCCTCAATTCCAGTGACCTAACTGATGCTGCAACATGCCCTGGAACACTCCCTGGGACGCCAGGCCATAAACTCCAAATTGCTCTTTACTACTGTCAGGAACCTTCCAGCTTGTCTGTTTAGACTTGAATCATAATTTCCATCTTCAGCTATTTTCAGGTAAGATTTATTCAGACCTCAGAACTTGTACTGGCCATTGTCATTCAGATTCAGCTCTGCCTGCTGGAATGTCCCCTAAGAACCTCCTCTTAAATAGAGAGTGCCTTCCTGTTTTTCTATAGTTCTTCGGTTGCTATCGAAACTCATCTCTCTCTTATCTTTGGCCATCAAGAATATTTCCTTTCTATAGCAGACACACTTAACAGACCTTGATTCTATTCCTTTGGCAAGTTTCTTTAATTCTCTCAATTTTCTCATCTGGAGTAAAATTTGAATGAGGTGCTCTTTAAAATTCTCATGAACTAATTTAATAAATTATATCACAGCAACACAATGGAATACTATGCCTTAAAATGAATGAGGAAGCTCACCATGTTTTTTTGTTTTGTTTTTAGACAGAGTCTCTCTGTCACCCAGGCTGGAGTGCAGTGGCAGGATTTCAGCTCACTGCAATCTCCGCCTCCCAGGTTCAAGAGATTCTCATGCTTTAGCCTCCTGAGTAGTTGGGATTACAGGCATGTGCCACCATGCCCAGCTAATTTTTTGTAATTTTAGTACAGACAGGGTTTCACCATGTTGGCAAGGCTGGTCTGAAACTCCTGATGTTCAAGAGTGATCCGGCCACCTTGGTCTCCCAAAGTGCTGGGATTACCTTGGTCTCCCAAAGTGCTGGGATTATAGGTGTGAGCCACCACTCCTGTCCCCACTGTATGTGATATATGTGAAAAAGCAATGTGCATAATCATTTCTGTGTGTATGTTTGTGTATGTGTATGTGCTTGAGAGAAAGAAAGTGAGAGAGAAATGTTTGCTTGTATATGCATAACAGATTTCTGGAAATATACACCATAAACTGATAATAATGGTTGCCTAAAGAGAAGGGAACATGGCAAGTGCCACTGTTAAACCTTTTTATATCTCTTGAATTTTGAATGTTGGAAGTATATTGCCTATTCAATATGTAGCAAATTTAAGTTAAAATTAAATTAAATTAAAACAAATTTAAGAGCAGCTTCACATTCCATGGAACTGCGTTTACACATCACAACTTTTAAAATTTACCATATTTTTCAAATTTAACTTTTTGAAGGGAGGAGAATTCTTGCCTGCTAAATGATACAAAACTGTCGTTTGGGCTCTAATACCTAGGTCCTGAGGTCCTATAGTAGACACAATTGGCAGAACTTGATTCTATTCCTTTGGCAAGTTCTTTTAACTTTCTCACTTACTAAATGATACTAAATTGTTGTTTGGGCTCTTATAATAAAAATTTAGTCTGTAGCTTTTCAGGTTTTCCCTAGACTTGAGTGTACATAAAAATAAAAAAATTGAGGCCGGGTGTGGTGGCTCATGCCTATAATCCCAGCACTTTGGGAGATTGAAGCAGTTGGATCACTTGAGGCCAGGAGTTCGAGAGCAGCCTGACCAACATAGTGAAACCCAGTCTCTATTAAAAAAAAAAAAAATTAGCTGGGCGAGGTGATATGCACCTGTAGTCCCAGCTATTTGGGAGGCTGAGGCAAGAGAATAGCTTGAATCCCAGAGGCAGAGGTTACAGTGAGCCAAGATTGTGCCCCTGCACTCCAGCCTGGGCGACAGAGCAAGACCCTGTCTCAAAAATAATAGTAATAACAAAGGGACCCCCAAATTATTTTAAATGTGTGATTCTTATCCTAATCTGTACTTTTGAGAGCATCTTTTTATGCATAATTTTACCATTAAATTGGAAAAGTATTCAGCTACTCTTGGTAAATGTGAGCCATTTGTACTTTGGAGGAGCCGGAATTTTATTAGAATTTTGGCTTAAATCATGTAGCATCCTCTGAATGTTAATTTTAAAATGTCAAAATTTGGTGAGCCAGATCTTTTAGACATGAGATTACAATATGCTTGACTTTAAGTGTTACTTAAAAGGGCTAAAATTCTGGGATTTTTATTACTGAAAATCCATTAAGAAAAATTGATAGGGTTTATATATTTTTGATCAGCTGAACAGATAATAGTGTCAATGTGTGGAAAATTTTTCTTAAAACTTGTTTTTGTATAGACCAGGTGCGGTGGCTCATGCCTGTAATCCCAGCACTTTGGGAGGCCAAGACTTGTGGATCATTTGAGGTCAGGAGTTCGAGACCAGCCTGGCCAACATGGCAAAACACTGCCTCTGCTAAAAATGCAAAAAAAAAAAAAAAAAAATTAGCTAGATATAGTGGTGCATGCCTGTAATCACAGCTACTCGGGAGGCTGAGGCACAAGAATCACTTGAACCTAGGAGGCAGAGGTTGCAGTGAGCTGAGATCACACCACTGCACTCCAGCCTGGGCGACAGAGCGAGACTGTCTCAAAACAAAACAAAATTTGTTCATGTATTATTTTGATCCACTTCTCTGTGGCATTTGGTGCAATAAATCTTTTAAATTTATCTTGAGCCATTTTTTAAAAGCATAAAATAAAGTTCTTGGCCCGTCCAAAGCTGTATCTATCTCTAGTATAATTGATCTAAAATTTTAAATAACCTTTTCTGGACCAACAGTAATGCAAAACTCTTCTCCAATAAGGGCACAAAGAAAATGGAAACACACCTCAGCTACCACAGAAGGTTAGGCCAAGGTTGGCGAGATGGAGCATTCTTCTACATTGCCAGTCACACTACACAGCCCTTGTACCAATCAAAGGCTGCCCAGACAGAAAACTTCATTTCCCTCTTGGTCATTTGCAGGTGCCTACAGAACCCAAGGGCATTTTCCAGAATATCAAAGATCACTCATCTCTCCTGTTTTTATCAGAAGTAACCGATGAGAAGCATAAAATCAGTCCTTGAAAGCCAGGTATCTGGCCTGGGAGTCACAGCTAGGCTTTAGCACTCTGCTAGGAAACATAAACAACTTCATAGAACAGTTTCATACAAACAATATCACATAACATGTGATCATGATGAATCAAGGCAAAAACAAGGCCACTGCATAATTGTAACTGAACATAGACAAAGCACGAACATTGTCCAAATCGCAACAATGACCAGGTACCACCCTATTCTTGCCAATATGAGTGACTGCTGCTTCTTTACCAGTTACAGCTTTAGTCTTCGTTTCTCTCCCCATGTAGATATGATTGATTAAGACACCAAATCATATAATTGCTCACAGTTCTTGATGGCATCCAATCCAGAACAGAACTTCAATTCCTTGAACTCGTCTCCAAATCACGTAACAAAAGTTCAGATTCTATAGTAAGTCCTTTCTAATACTTTCTTATTAAGAAACCCCATGGTTCTCTATAGAACATGTTCTCCTTCAGGGTACCGAGTAACACATTCAACTTGTTCAACTGCAAGTGTGCTCCTGGTGGTCTTTAAGTCTTTGGGAAGGTCTTAGTTCTCAAATCTGGAAATAATTATCCTGATATTCTAAGGAGCAGAGCAGGAGCAGCATTTAGGGAGGTAGAGTCACCTGATCAGTTCTCCCATCGCATCCTCCAATAACACATTGGTAAAACCTTCTGGAATTAGAATATGGCTATCTGGCAATGCTGCTTCCAAAAGAGTTGAAACGTGAGTTCTTACCAGGATACTGAGCTGCCAAGCCTCAATAGGCGGCCACATTGACAAACAGGACGTGCTTGCCTGCAAACTGCTTGAATTGGATGTACTCCTCGCCGTTGAGGGTGAGGGCTCCATACTCATAGATGGTGCCTGTTACCCCTTTGTTGCAATCCACCTGGAATTTTACAAAAATAACCATAACGATATAAGATAAAAAATAATTCCCAACATTTGTGGACTTTTTCAAAACACTCGAAGACCCTTCATGTAATATCTTGAAATTCTAAGAACTGAAGGGATCTTTCCAAGTAAAATTTTTAGTTAGAGCTGATGCCATAGCTAGAATTTATGTCTTCTAAATTACAAGCCATTTTTTTGTGTGTGTGGCAAGACAAGCATTTCATAATATTCTTCCCGTTTCCAGAAGATTAATAACATTTACCTCTGTTCCCTGACACTGCATTCTCCCCCGACATCCTAACACTCCGTTCAAGTCATGCCGTCCTCTCTCAGATACTCTTAACAGATTTTGCAGGATTTCTCATAAGTAAGTTTTGCACAAACTTCTCATCTACATGTTCTTATATTGTAATTCCTGTCCCCCAAAATCAGGCCCATAACTTCTCCAGATGCCACTGAAGGGCCTTTCCAGGCTTGCCAATGGGGTAATCACTGGTGATGGGGGAGGGGCGGCCGGGAAGTGCTGGGTAGAGAAAGGCGGGTACCTAACTAGGGCTCCACCCTCGGGCCTGTGCCTACGGACCTACATGAGGACAGGCACTCCTGCCTTCTCACTCAAATGGGTCTGTGCCTATAAAAACTCTGAGACCCTAGCAGCCAGAGGCACTGGCGCTGGATGTGGAGAGAAGCACATCAGCGGAGGAACACACTCAACTGGCTGGACGTGGAGAGCAATGCACCATCGTGGTGAGAGGTGACAACATGCTAGCAGCCCTCACAGCCTTTGCTCGCTCTCCGCGCCTCCTCGGCCTTGGCGCCCACTCTGGTCGCGCTTAAGAGGCCCTTCAGCCCGCGGCTGCACTGTGGGAGCCCCCTTCTGGGCTGGCCAAGGCCGGAGCCGGCCCCCTCAGCTTCCGAGGAGTTGTGGAGGGAGAGGCGCTGGAGGGAACCAGGGCTGCGCGTGGCACTTGCGGGCCAGCGCGAATTCCACGTGGGAGTGGGCTCAGCGGGCCCCGCACTCGGAGCGGCCAGCCGGCCCCGGGCACTGAGGAGCTTAGCACCAAGGCCAGCAGCTGCTGTGCTCGACTTCTCGCTGGGCCTTAGCTGCCACCCCGCGGGGCAGGGCTTGGGACCTGCAGCCCGCCATGCCTGAGCCTCCTCCCGCTCCGTGGGCTCCTGCGCGGCCCGAGCCTCCCCGACGAGCACCGCCCCCTGCTCCACGCCGCCCAGTCCCATCGGCCACCCAAGGGCTGAGGAGTGCGGGCGCAGGGCGCGGGACTGGCAGGCAGCTCGGCCTGCGGCCGTGGTGCGGCATCCACTGGCTGAAGCCAGCTGGGCTCCTGAGTCTGGTGGGGACTGGGAGAACCTTTATGTCTAGCTAAGGGATTGTAAATACACCAATCGGCACTCTGTATCTAGCTCAAGGTTTGTAAACACACCAATCAGCACCCTGTGTCTAGCTCAGGGTTTGTGAATGCACCAGTTGACACTCTGTATCTAGCTGCTCTGGTGGGGACATGGAGAACCTTTGTGTGGACACTCTGTATCTAGCTAATCTAGTGGGGAAGTGGAGCACTTTTGTGTCTAGCTCAGGGATTGTAAAGGCACCAATCCGCACCCTGTCAAAACAGACCACTCGGCTCTCTGTAAAATGGACCAATCAGCAGGATGTGGGTGTGGCCAGATAAGAATAAAAGGCGGCTGCCGGAGCCAGCAGTGGCAGCCCCCGTGGGTCCCCTTCCACACTGTGGGAGCTTTGTTCTTTCGCTCTTTGCAATAAGTCTTGCTGCTGCTCATTCTTGGGGTCCACACTGCCTTTACAAGCTGTAACACTCACCGTGAAGGTCTACAGCTTCACTCCTGAAGCCAGCGAGACCACGAACCCACCGGGAGGAATGAACAACTCCAGACGCGCTGCCTTAAGAGCTGTAACACTGACCGCGAGGCTTTGCAGCTTCACTCTTGAGCCTCTGCAGCTTCACTCTTGAGCCAGCAAGACCACAAACCCGCCAGAAGGAACAAACTCTGAACACATCCGAACATCAGAAGGAACAAATTCTGGACACGCTGCCTTAAAGAACTGGGTTTCATTCTTGAAGTCAGTGAGGCCAAAAACCCACCAATTTTGAACACAGTAGGAGCACACTGGAAGGCCATTGACAGCGGAAGGACATGGAGTTTGGCCGGGCTCCAGGGAAAAACCATCTCTCTTTTGGCTCCCCCATCTGATGAGAGCTACTTCCACTTAATAAAACCTTGCACTTATTCTCCATGCCCACGTGTGATCCGATTCTTCTCGTAAACCAAGGCAAGATCCCTGGGATACAGAAAGTCCTCTGTCTTTGTGATAAGGCAGGGGTCTAATGGAGCTAACACAAGCTGCCTATGGGTGGCTGAACTAAGAGCACCCTGTAACACACGCCCACTGGGGCTTCAGTTGTAAACATTCACTCCTAGACACTGCCTTAAGGTTGGAGCTCCACAATCTGCTAGTTTGTATGCTCCCCCTCTGCTCCCGTACAGGTTTGAGCGGCGGGGAACTGAAGCAGCGAGCCACACGCCCCGTCGCATGCCTTGTGAGAGGGACAAGGGAACTTTTCCGGTTTCGCTGGTACCTTGAAAACTCATCCTTGGCACCCACTTCTTTATATTGTGGTGAAACAGCCTGAACTGCTCATGAATTAAAGTTCATAAAATAGCACAGAGCGGAAAAACTTTTCTACCCACAAGCATGCCAAGAATAAAAGGCATACAGAACCTGGAACAAAAGGCTAACATGTTATGTGGTAAGAGAGGCTATAAGTCCTGGCCATATGAAGAAAAATCATAGAATTTTAGAGTAATTTAAACTGGGCTTCACAGGATCTCAGTCCATAAAAGCATACCCCATGCAGGGAAGGAATTGCCTGTGGGTGAGCTACTGTGGGCAGAGTGGGGCAAGAAACTCTTTATCATCTTCTGAGTCTGTTACCACGACACAAGGCCACAGCTTCTCCTTCATTATCCTTGGAGAGAAGGAGGCTTGACCAAGGGGCAAGCCCTTTCAAGTCCATATTTCTGTACACATCTGTGCATATACATTAGTCACAATATTTGGGAACATTAGCCTAAGAAACCCACTATGATGGAGTTATCATCTATATGCCTGCATTCGTTTTGCCTTCATGACACCTTACGTCTGAGCTAAATAATTTCCAGCATTTGTCTTTCTTGCTACTATAATAAAAAGTCACACGGAAATCACCATGTGAGCTGTCATTTGTATGCCTCCATTTTCTTGCCTTTGTGCTACCTTAGCTCTGGGTGCAACAACTTCCAAAGATTTGGTTCTCATGAGGATGTCACTCTGTGAAATGAGATGCAGAATCCCACGAAAACTGCAGACTCGAAGAGCTCAATCCTTCCTACCCAGTTTTCAGTTCTGCTCTAGTTTGCTTACATCTGTTTGAAGAAGACAGAATACCCTAGAACACAGCTTTTAATTCACAAGATGCTATTTTACATCGAGAATTCCACACCCAACCAGGCAGCAGTGGCTGACATAGATCTGATGACCCTTGGAGGTTGTCCGTTCAAGTGATCTGTTACCTTTCTGGAAAGTAAGTAAGTAAGCTGTCTTATGGCTTGTAATAGGCACCATCTTACACTTCATATGAATCCAGTAACAGAGATTAAAGCTCAAAGCTTCAGGTGTGGAGACCTGCATGAGTATCAACCGGAAGCATTTTAGAAATGCAAATTCCTGGGCTCCCCCTAAAACTTACTGAATCAGAAAGTCTTGGGTGGGGCCCAGCAATTGTGCTTTAACCAGCTATCTCTTAGGTAAGCTCAAGTCTGGGAATCACTGCATTATATGATAGGCATTGTACGCCACCTTTTATAGAGGACAGAAAGGAACTAACAAAAGATATATAATTGGCATATGGCCACCACTGAGGCTGCTTTTGAATAAATTCATCTGATTTTAAAGTTAAAATTTGCGGGTGCCTCAGGTGATCTGCTCAGTCCGCATCCTAAGACATATATACACATCTTTCACAGGGGTGACTATGGACATCCAGTGGGGGGACTTTTCTAAATGGCATCAGGAGATTTGGGAGCAACACCAAGATCTGAGAACAAAGCCTACTCTGAGCTGAGCTTTGTCTCTACCTCACCTCATGACCTTCCCTAAAATTAATATTAGTGGACAACCATATTGGCCTTATGCATTTTATTTTTCTAGGGGTGTGGTGGTGGGGAGCTCCTCTTTCTGTGACCTAGAAACTCCTAGTGCAGATCGCAAGCCCAGATTCTCTCACCTCTCCCTCTGGGTTTCTGGCTGAGCAGCCTCTCCAGGAGTAACCAGGGCAGCCTCCCTGTCAATCCATTTGCGACTTCATGCCTCATTTGTTGGGATCCACAGCGCTACTCCAAGTTATGGACCAGCATGAAGGGGACAGGCTCTAGGCTATCAAGGGGCCACCAGGGGGAAGTGGCAAAGGGGAATGTGCTGAGGCAGCCCCCCAACCCCACTCCACATACATTCAGTTCAAAGAGCTACTAGGTGCAGAGGAAAAGATGCAAGTAAGAGACAGTGGATTTAGGGAGAGCCTGCTAAGGATAGCAATGTCAGGATTTGTGAAGAAGGGCTGGGAATGCAGATCTTGTCCTTCGAAAGGGGAGAGTAGAGAACTCCTTGCAACTCTGGCAGCCAGGTTGGTCATCACGTGCTGGAATCAGCTCGGATCCCCTGCCCCATGCTCACCTTCCTATTTTGAGGCTTTAGGGTCTGCTGAGCAAAGCCAACCAGGAAAAACAGGACAAGACAGGAGGCCTGGAACTGCTGGAACATGGCTAGGAGTTTTAGACGACTCTGAGGTCCCCAGGATTTCAGCCCCTTTTGAGCCCCTGGCAGGGACCAATTTGAAGAAGCACCCTCCAATCGCAGAGTGGCATTCATACACACCCACCTCCACTCCCTACACACACCCCCTTCCTCTTCAGTTGTAAACCCCTCACCATCGAGCCTGCTCCACCTGCGTTGCCTCTGCCAGCTTCACACAAAAGGCATTCTCTGCCTCTTGAAACTAAAGTCTGGGTGGGGTTGAGTTCTTATGAACTCTCTTGAAAGACAAGCTTTTAGTTATCTCAGATTTCTGAACTCTTTTCAAAAGCCTATAATCTATGTCCTGATCACTGATACCTGATCCAGCTATGCAGCTCCTTAAGGCAGCAGGTCAGATGCTTGCCTCTTATGGAACAGACCTACACACATTCCCAAGTTCTTTACCCTTCTCCTGCTTTTAGCTCAAAAAAATGGCTGAAACTTTGACTACGAGGCTATAAAGACCATTGAATTCAATACCTGTCAGTGCCACTGACTAGCTCCTTGAATCTGAAATCAAAGTTAATGTGTCTGTCCCCAGTTTTCTCATCTGTGAAATCAGAATAATAATATTATCTACCTTGTAGGGCTGCTGTAACAATTAAATGTGATAATAACTATAAAGCACTTACCACATGGCCTGACAATGGTAAACAACTAGAACTGTATTCACATAGTTTCATGTATGAGAAAACTGAAGCTCAGAGAGAGAGATAACATATAAAAAGTCACAAGGTGGGTAACAGTGAAATGAAGGCAACTTCTGCGTCCTACTCCAGAGCTCTTGCTCTGGTTCCATTTGGATCATAATTACTGTGATGAAATCTTTACTATCTGGGACAATTTACATTTGCTCACCTTGTAGTAATGAGCCCTTGAGAGGTAAGGAGACATTTCATTATGGACCTCATCAGTAGGTCAAATGGCCTAAAACCCCAACTTCATAGGTTTTGGTGTTCCCACATTCTTGATAGACTTTTGAGTACCTTGGGTCCTTGCCTCCAGCAATGAGAAGTGAAGGTACAGGAGCACACATGGAACAGGAGGAAACAAGGAACATTTCATGTCCCTGGTGCACCTGAAGGTATCATGGGGCTGCAATTGCCCTTCACCCATCCTTCTTTGGAGCCTTAGTTCCCTGTTATCTCCTTCCAGGAATTTTGCTTTCATCCCTTAGCTATCTCCTCACTTCCAGGATCTTCTCCAGTCCCTGTTTCCTTCACACTCTGCCTCTATGACTTTTCTAAAGGTCAGGTTTGTTGATATCACTTATGTTAAAGTGCCCCAATTCCTCCTAAATTCTTACACTTTTAGTTTGAAATTCTCCCATGAAGCACTCAAGGTCCTTTCTGATTTGACATCGGCCAGATTTCCCTGATGTAACCTTCCCTCCAGAAATGTTCTGATTCTGGTAGATAGAACTGTCTTCATCACCAGAGTCCACCTATCTGGGGTTGACTCTAGATCAAATCTTGGCAAGTACTTTGGGATCATTCCTGAGATATTTTATGATATACAAATTACATATTTTTATTCAAAATGATGGATATAGCTTTATCAAACAAGACTTCTGAGGTAACTTTCTGAGACTTGAGTCACAAATCAGGGTTCTGGTGAGCTTGACCACGCCTTAATATATATTAGGAGCCAGTTCACATCCTCACCCTCCTCCTTAGAATTTGGCTTGATTTATTAATTTACATTTTAAAACCTATTCTGTCCACAGATAGAAACATTATTTCAGGTCTGATTTCATCAATCAAGAGCATACTCTTTAGATACTAATCAGTAGAGTCCAAGATGGCATTATTTTCTCTAGTATCTTTGAAACATTATTGGTTCACTTATTTTAGTTTTTAATTTTTATTGGTTCACTTTTAACTTAAGGTCAAATAAACATCAAAGTTTATATGAATTGCCCCTGCAATGCTGGTGCCTATTATTGTCTATCCACCCAAGCAATTGATCTTTTAAATCTGAATTCTATCATCTATCAGACTAGCTATATTTATCATCTATCAATGATCTACACATTTGATCAGCATACCTTTTGTGTCTTCCACCAAATACATTAAAGTTTATAGGATAGAAAGAAGCCAAGTGAAGAAGTTTCTGCCCAGGACTAGAGTTTAACTTACTCCTTATTTCTTAATCAAGATGCTTGTGGTTGATTTTTGGTTAAGCTATGTTCCCATTCAGTGATCAGCACTCACATATGTTCATAACTCACTTGTTTAAAATTTGTCTTAAAAAGTAGTAGAAGCGCCAAGTGGAGCTTTTTCTTAGGTTCTGAAGTTCATTTCCCCTGCTTTGGAAAGTCAAAACATTTGCATGTCTACCAAGACATCTAGCATTCATGCTTGCAGGCAGGGATGGTCCTCAGTGTGTATACACAGGAATATGCACGGCAGTTGTTGGAGCCCAGGATTTGTTCTGATTGGTTGTGCCCATGGCATACTTCTAAATATATATGTACACACACACATTTTGGGACAAGGTCTGGCTCTGTCACCCAGGCTGGAGTGCAGTGGTGTGATCTCAGCTAACTTGTAACCTTTGACTCCAAGGCTCAAGCCATCCTCCCACCTCAGCCCCCTGAGTAGCTGGGACTACAGTCGCATGCCACCAAACCCAGCTAATTTTTGTATTTTTGGTAGAGATGGGATTTTGTCATGTTTCCCAGGGTGGTCTCGAAGTGGTGATCTTAAATGATCCACCCACCTAGGCATCCCAAAGTGCTGGGATTACAGGCATGAGCCATCCAACCCAGCCCTGCTAAATATTTTAATATCAGCTTTGATTGCAGAACCAATACAGGCAATGTAAGGTTTTAATTTTTTATCTTGAGATCTGCTTGTCTGTGCTGTGTCAACAAATTCACATAGAACAAGTAGGTGACTTTTATTAATATCTCAGGTTTAACTTTATATTTCCTCTTTGTTCTACATTTTTTTCTTCTTTTAAATTTAAAAAATGCATTTTTCTTACTGGAGAAGAAAGAAGCAAAGGATGTGTTAAAGAGAGTAGCTTTTTATCATTGTCAAGGCGTAACACTCTATCATTTTACTCAAATTCTGTATTACCTCTTCCTTATTCCTGTTCTGTTATAATTTAGCTTGAGCACACACACACACACACACACACACACACACACAGACACAAGAAGTCAGTGCAGGGCCATCAGAGGGGAGGCACAAACATTTGGGAGATCATGGATCCTCCTGGTTGTTGCCACTGTTTGAAGACTATAAAATTTCTTGTTTCCCAGTAGCAAGTGCAGCAGAAGGCAGGTAATGAATTTTCTGCTAACTTGCCTAAAATGAAAGATTAATCATCCCTCAGAAGGGTCAAGGTTTGAGTAATGCCAGCCCTAGTTACCTTCTATTCCAGTGATAGCTTTGGAAGGCTTCTTAACTGCTTCCCTGATTCTGAATTCACTGAATCTCACTTTTTTCTTTTTTTTTTTTTTTCTCTTCTACACTTTTTACCCTTTGCCACCTCTCATTACTTTCTCCTTTTCTCTCTCCTCATTGTGTACGAGAAAAAGAGTTTGGATTCAGGATTTAAACAATCCTGGCTTTAAGTTGTTTCTTGCTACACAATTTTGGGCAAGTTATTTAATTTTTCAGTGTATCAAGTTCTTTTTTTTTGTGAAAGAACATAACAGTGTGACTTTTAAAGATTAAGTAAGAATTTATATCTGGAAATGCCTGGCATACACAGTAACAACTCAATAAATGCTGATATAAGTTCCCATTATTTCTTTTTCTTCTTTCTTTTTTCATTTTCCTTCCTGCTCCATTTATCTCTTATATATATTCTTATCTGCTCTATTCCTTTTCTATCCATCAGTTAAAGAAGGTCCCAACCTTGAAGCTCCCAGCTTGTTAGGTTTTAATTCAACTTTTTTATTAAGGAAAATTTCAAACATATATAAAAAGTAGAGAGGAGTATAATTAAGCTCACATACCTGTTACCCACTGCATCTATAATCAATACAACTCTCCGCTAATTTCATTTTACCTACATCTGAAAAAGCTTGTTACCACAGCCCCCACCCTTGCACACATACCCATACTCACTGAATTATTCCGAACTAAATTCCAAACAACATATCACTTCACCTGTAAATATTGTCTGCCCCTTCTGATCATAGCCAGGAAGACAGCCAACATTTGTCCCTGGGATATTTCTGGGATGTCTACAGGGTGTTTCTATATCAAAACCTGGTGTTTTATTACTGGCTTTGATGCCTTTCACAAGTTGCCACAGGCTGAGGGATTGCAGAGCGAGAAAGGAGAAGCCAAATTGTCTCAGCCTTTAATTTGTTCTAAATCAGATTCTGATTGCAACTGTTATGGGGACACAGTTGTAGATTATCTGCCTAGGCCTTGTGACTTGGATGAGACAATCTCTAAACTTTACTGAGCATGTGCTTCTTATGTATATTGTTGTGGCCTGAAAAACATGACCTATAAGGCGAATGTTTGAATTCAAAATGTATTGATTGTTACTCGTGTTTCCCAGTCTTCTAGGAGTAAGAATTGGTCAGATAAGTGCCAATGATGAGAATCTCTGAAAAGCTGAGAAAATAAACTGTCTGCCTTAAAAGGGAATTTGGTGATTTTTCTGATCCAACTCCCGCTTTGTGCAAATAGGTAAATTCAGGCCTGTAGAGGAGCGGCATTCTCCATGTTCCACAGTTCTATTGAGTTGTTGGTGATGGTCTGCAGTGTGTGCTGGTGATGTGAGGCATATTTATTCTTTCTTGGGGAGCAGTAAGGATCTGAGTCATAGACTGCAGAATTTCCAGGTGTGAGGGCATCTGGTTTGGAATGGTGTGGGTCACTCAAATTCCTGTGTGTGGGCAAGGACACAGTGCTCTCTCCCCAACGTCCTTCCGGATCCATTAAAGCAGGAGTAATAGGAACACCATCTAGGGGAGTGCACATTATTTCTCTCACCACCTCCCCACCCCAGCCTCCAAGAAGCAGAGTTCTTCCTGGAGCATGTTGGAGGAGGAAAGCTTGGCATAAACAAGAGACCCTTCAGGAAGTCTGCGTGTCAGGGCCAGCTGCCTCAGTGAAGGCTCAGGTTTAGGGCCAGAGCCAGCTTCAACCATAGGTGAGTCCCAAACTTCATCATGTTTGGGGAAGATCAGAAAGTTAAGAACACGTGAGAATGAAAATTAAATGCCAAAGGACATTTAGTGATCTCTCTAGAATTTGCTTCCATTTCCAAACACATACATTATGAATAATTGAGCCTTGAGGGTGAAGCAACTAGCGGATTTGAAATTGAAACTCAAGTTTATGGTCTACATTTACACTATTGTGAATCTTTGGCCAAGTCGCCTTTCCTTTCTGAACTTACTTTTCCATTGCGAATTTGAGCTGAAGATGCCCATGCTACCTCTGTAACTGGCTGATTGTGAGGGCTAAATGAAATTATGGATGTGAAAGAGGCTCGTAAACTATAAATTCTGTATAAACTTAAGTAATAGTAACTTAAAATGGCAGACTTGGAGTAGATCCTATGCTTCATGCTTACAAAACTAGAGTAAGAAAAATCCTGGAGGCCTGAATGGAGATGCCAGATGCCAAGGGAGATTTTCTAATTCACGGAAAATAGTCAAGTAAAACCAAAGGGTGGACAGAGTTCTCTAAGTTAGACTTGGGTGGTTTCAGAGGCTATGGTTTGAATCTGAATAAAGAGGTGTACTGTCCCTGAGAAAGAATCAAACCTATTTCCTTTCTAATCAAAGGAACTAAAAACAAAAAACTTGATGTTGACTTTCAGGTAGGATTAAGTCATTACCAGAAACTAGGACAGGGAGTCTGAAAGCCCTCATTTCAATTTGTAAACTGCCACTCACTAACTACGTGACCTTGGGCAGAAAACTTATTCTCATAAGAATACGACCTCAAGGAAAAATTGGAGTCTGGTTGAGAAAACTAGGCAGCAATTGAGACATTGATTTTTCCCACCCAGGTGTCCCACCACGTTTAAGATCATGAACTGCTTGTAATTATAGGATTTTTAAAGTCAGGAAGTGACAGACCTTATAGCTTAATTTAGGCCTGGATTGGCTTTTCAGCCTTAATCTATGGCTCAGGCTACAAACATTTTCACCTAAAATCTTGATAGGTAGGCCGGGCGTGGTGGCTCACACCTATAATCCCAGCACTCTGGGAGGCCGAGGCAAGTGGATCACCTGAAGTCAGGAGTTTGAGACCAGCCTGGCCAACATAGTGAAACCCTGTCTCTACTAAAAATACAAAAAATTAGCCAGGCATGGTGGTGGACACCTGTAATTCCAGCTACTCAGGAGGCTGAGGCAGGAGAATCTCTTGAACCCGGGAGGCAGAGGTTGCAGTGAGCCGAGATCAAGCCATTGCACTTCAGCTTGGGTAACAAAAGCAAAACTGTGTCTCAAAAAAAAAAAAAATCTTGATAGGTAAAATTTGATAAAATTGTATTTCCTGTCTTTCAGTGGGAATTCCTTCTCCTGTCAAATTACTTATATGTATGTATAATTTGCGTAATGTATATAATTTGGACCAGGGGAGGTGGGATCTCAATGTTCTCAGCACCATTGACCTCCAAGGTCAAAAATCTAAATCCAAGGAGGTGTGTTTTGAAGAATGGAAAGACTGTAGCTGTCTGAGAGATGCACATAGGGAGCTACTGGGAGTGAAAACTAGAAGGAGGTTAAGAGCACATCAGGAGAGCTTCGAATACCTTGCTGGAGATTCTGGATTTGATGCTATAATAAACTGGTTAGCATCGCTGGCTCTTTTTAGGGGGAAAGATATCAGATAGGTGTTTAGAGTTTCCAGTGGCAATAGGGTAAAGGAAAAACTGTAGAAAGGAAGAGTCTGGAAGAGAGAAGACAAGTAGGAGATGATTTCAGCATTCCAGAAAAGAGGCAACAGGGATTTGATATGTGGCTCTGGCTGGGAGGCAGCTACTATGTGAGACAATCAGGGGATGATGACAAGAAGTCCCTCCATGTGGCCTCCTGCTGAGCATGAGCTCCCTGAACAGAGATCTTGCCTCCAGGGAAACTGAAACAATGGAACAAGGGGCTTGAGAAGGCCATTTGATCTGACCATTGAGGCATAGTTTATGATGAAAGTTTCTCTTCTGCTCTAGAAGTTAGTTATTGTGTGACAAGCAAAGATAAAGTGGTGAGGAAAGTAAGGAATTTATAATAGCAAGGGAGGAGCAGCCATCTCTAAACACAGGCTTTGGGTAAATCAGATTTTCTATTTGAGCACCTGTTTGTTCATCTGTTGAATTAACTCTGGGTGTTTTTCTTGGGCTGGGTCCAGTGGTAAGTTTAAACTAATCTCTTTTTTTCCCCTAAAATTAGCCCTATGAAGTTCATATTATTCTAGCAGTTTTACAGATGAGGGCCAGAGGCACAGAGAGCAGCTTGCCCAAAGTCACATAACTTGGGAAGGAATGAGGTTTGATATTTTGATCTCCACAGTTCTTTGAACTGTGATAGAGGGGAGACGGGCAGGCGAGTCAGCATCTGGGGCCAGGAGGTACCACAAAGCAGGAAACCTGAAGGGCTTGGGGTGTTTTGTGGCAGGGTGAGGCATTGCATGGGCTCCTCCCCTTAGATTAGAGGGCTCTTAGATTAAAGGGCTCTAAGAAGAGATCAGAAATCTGAGATAACCAAAAGCTTCTGTTTTCCAAGAGAGCTCTTGAATGCCCAGACTCCCCGAGACTGGTGGAAAATTAAACCCAGTGAGACTTCAAGAATTAAACCTCACTTAGACTTCAGTTACAAGGAGGTGGAGGCAGGATTTTGTGTGAACCTGGAAGAGGCAGGGCTGGTGGAGGGGGCTGGTTGGAAACAAACTTAGAACTGGAGAGGAAGAATTTATCATTTCCTAAACATGAAAGTTCAGCAAAGCTGGGCTGGCAGTGCCAATCTTATGGGAGGAGGGGAGATGTGTGGGAAGAGCAGTGAGGGAAACAACCCTGAGCCTTTTCACTAATCCACAGATTTTTCAGCATTTCTTTATCTCATTAGAGCCCATTAAGTTCCTGAATTCACTCCTTTCTTGTAGTTTCAAAGCATTAGAAACAGCCAACGCACCAACACTTTCCAGTCTGTAATATCTGTTCCTTTGCCACTCCTTCTCTCTAAAAGGTAGGAAAATGCCAGTGGATTGGGGACAAAAAAATTTTTTTAATTAATGTGAGAGAATCCCTGCACAGCCTAATGACGACAAATGCCATAAATTTAAGAGTATAATTCAACCCTTTGAAACTCAGGTCCAAATAGGGGGAAAAAATGAGTAACTAATTTTTTTTAATTTTAAAGAGCTAATAATCTAATGAGGAATATATAAATTGTTCAAGAATACAAATAATATGCATATTAAACATATTAAATACACTTATGATAGTGAGGGGAAGGAAAGTGGAGTTTGGGAAGCAAAGGATATAAATAATAAATAAAACAAGAGAGGGGACTTGCAAGGACAAATGATTGTGAACTTAGGAGCATGATTAATTAAATATTAGTGCTAGGGGTCCAAAAATTAAAACTGTATGGTAGACAAAAGGGAAGAATGTCTTGGTCCATCTCCTGTGAAGTCAGCAGTGATTAACTATGTTATTTATGTGAGAAACCCAGAAATTCCCGGGGCTCCAGGCCTGCATTCATCAATTCATATAGTCTAAAATTTTAGCCAAGACTACTGAGAGGTCATTGGAAACTGTTGCTGAATGAATGGGGCTTGTATACCAGTTGAAAGGCAAAGCAACTTTATTTTTAGAGGGACTTGTGTCTCATTTCCATGATTCTTCTTGGGCTCTGGGCTTCCAGGCTATTAAGAGTAGTACTTGCCACTATCTATTCACAATAGCAAAGACATGGAATCAACCTAAATGCCCACCAATAATAGACTAGATAAAATATGGTACATATGCACCATGGAATACTATGCAGTCATAAAAAAAAACAAGATCATGTCCTTTGCAGGGACATGGATGGAGCTAGAGGGCATTATCCTTAGCAAACTAATGAAGGAACAGAAAACCAAATACCACATGTTCTCACTTATAAGTGGAGGATAAATGATGAGAGCACCTGGACACATAGAGGGGAACAACACACACTGGGGCCTATTAGAGGGTGGAGGGTGGAAGGAGGGAGGGGATCAGGAAAAATAACTACTGGGCACTAGGCTTAATACCTGGGTGATGAAATAATTTGTAGAACAAACCCCTATGACACAAGTTTACCTATATAACACACCTGCACATGTACCCCTGAACTTAAAATAAAAGTTAAAAAAAATAGAAAAAAAAGAGGAATGCTTGCAATTTTTGTAAATATATTATTTTTTAAAAGTTATTTACTTTTTTAAAGCACTGCATTCAGAATGTCAGATTATTGTCCAGAAAGTTGGCAACATTAGTATTCGCCATTCCCCCACCCATCGTGTAAGAGACTCCTATACCAGACGGAGCCCAGGCTGGGAATCACCATTCCTTTTAACTTTTGCCAATCTGATAAGTGTGGAATGTGTCTTTTCGTATTTATACTTCTTTGATTATTGGTGAGAGAGAACACTGTATCCTACCACAGATGCCATTTGATTTTCTGCCTCATGCCCATTTTTTTCTGTTGGTCTGGTAGTTTTTTCTTACTGATATATAAGCACTTGAAATCATTTCTAAGGATTTGTATTAATTTGCTGTCCTTCGCATACATTGTGACTATTTCCCCTCCTCGAGCCAGTTTCCTCCTAACTCTTTTTGAGAGATCCTAGATGGCCGGCCCATTCTTTGATTTATTTTTAAGCTCAAATAATATTAGAAATAACATTTGAAATGTCTAGACCAACCCTTTTGCAGTGACTTTACTGGGAGGTTGCATCAGCATCTAGACACTTCCATACATTGAGGAAAAACAGACAGCCGTGTTTAAGGACCTCAGAGGGCTTGCTATCACCCATTTATAATTTTCCCAGAACTTATGAGTCCCAGGTCCTCATTGCAGTGGTAAGCGCTGAGTGCTCACGGGGGTGTGTGTGGGACAGGATGTGGTTTGAGTTCTGTGATCCTCACCCCGACCTCATGCGTCGGGAATCCTTGCAGCCCTGTGACTGGCCTGTGGGGGCTTGGGCTAAGTCCCTGCCAAGATACCAAAAGACTGCAGAGGTGGGCAAAGACCTCAGGCCCCCAGACTAGCAATCTACAAACACTAGTCATGACTACACAGTTAAGGGTCGTCCATCTGCTTCCCCTTCTCCTAGCCTGCTTTGTGCAAACAAGTCCCAAGCAGGAGAAGATGAAGGTGAGTGAGCTTCAGAGAGGGCATGGTAGTTACTCTTCTGTCCTACTTCTAGACCCTGCCCTCCACTCCTTCTTGTAAGACTCCAACTCCTGCTTTCTTCTTCTTTGCCAGTTCCCCTAAACCTTGCTTTTTTTTCTCCTTGAATCTTCTTCATTCCTATGGATGGGTATTCCTTGCGTTGAATATGACTAGGGAAGAAAGGGTCTCCATATGACTAGGGAAGAAAGGGTCTCCATACCTTCTTCAGGTGGAGGTCCCCTGGAGACCTCTCTGGCCACATCAGTCTCTGCTTCAGAGCTGGGTCTGAGGCTGGGACAGCGATGGGCTTTAGAGTAGGTGGGGACTGGGGTTTGGAGGAGAAGCTGAGTGGACTTGTCTCAGACACAGCTCAGCAACAACCCCTTGAAGAGGAGGAAAAAACGAATGTGGAAGTTTTAAGGATGGATAAAATCAGAGAGTTATCAGAGAAACATAAAACATGAAAAAAAAAATCAGAGCCCTAAAACAACTGGATTTGGAGTCAGGCATCTTGGATTCTGGCCTCAGTTCTATGCCCAATTCATGGCTCGTTACCTTATTGATAAGACACATGTGTCTGGCAGCAGAAGGGGCAGTTTAGGAAAGGATAATAATGAATGCGATAACTTGGAGGCAGAAAATAATCATGAAGTTAGGTAAAGGCAAACTTTCATTTACATAATGGGTTACCACTTTTGACTTTGGACAAATTAACCTCTGTTATCTCATTGTAAATTTATGGGTAACAGTAACTACCTTATGGGTGGGTGAATAACAATTATTATGCATATAATACATTCTACAAAATGCAGTTCTAATAACATCTCCCCATCCCTCGCCTCTAAAATTAACTAGATAACATCCTGGGTGAACTTCTATTTTGAGAATTGATATGGTTTTTATGTTACCTGTGGTGCTTAATTGAGTGTGGAGACTCTGGGCTGCAGAATTTGCTTAATAAAAGCTGCGTCTAGAGATAATTGAGACACGTTATATGGACTTCAATAAATTTGAAACAGCAGTCAATATCAGAAGTAAACTGGACTAAAGGAAGTCTTCAAATTGAGAGTCTCTCTAAGCTTTTGCATACTGGTACCCAACATGACTGTGAGTGATTGTCATTGCAGTAGCAAAAGAAAAAAAAAAGGCAAATTCTTGCAAATGTTTAACTTGAAACTAGGTAACATGGAGATAGAAACAGATACTTTTACACAATATTCTCTTTATAGATCCCTCAATTTTGCTGGTGCATGTATATATGTATAAATTTAGGGAAAGGTGTAAAAACCTGCATAGAAAAATATCTTTTTCCTCAAGAGTAAGAAGTGAGTAGCTACAACCTAGTATGCTGGTGATAAAATCAGTGGGATAACAGGACTAGAAAAAAGTTGTGTTTTGTTTTGCTTTGTTTTGCATTACTCCTTCTCTGAATGGGGGGCAGATGATGTTCAACCAAAATCCTTACTAGACTACTGCATTTCCAGGAAGTCTAGTTTAATCCTAGTTTGTCTGGACATTCCTTATCAAATAATGCCCTTCTCTCTTTTCTCCAGCCAGTTCCTTTCCACCTTTTTCTCACCGGATGGTTTGGACATAGAGCTTCCTTTTCATATTCCTGTCATATATATTCTGTATTCCATGAGCAATTTGTGGCAGCTTCCCCAGTATAAGAAAAGGGATCAGCATGTGCTGGTGAGCACTGTGGCATCGGTACACTTGGGGTACTGCATGAACACTGTAAGGGTAGAGACAGAGGAGGAGTAAGATGAGACCTGCCTTGTAGAGGAATTTAATAAAAGAACATGCAATGAGAATTTCAGGCAGGGCTAATTTATATTAAGTGGAACTTAACAAATGTTGCATGGAAGTCTGCTCAAATATTAATATGTTCATGAGATTTGAGAAGGAATGGGATAGGTGGAATGGAATATGAAAGTGGATATTAGACACCTAGAGCACAATGGGCTGATGAGCTGGGTGATGCTGCCCAACAGATTTCAGGGACTCACTTGCAGATGGACTTTAGGGTTCTCCATCTCCTTTCTTGAGAGCTACCAAAAGCTGGGATTTCAGAGTATTGGCTTACATGACCACCATGTTAGTAAGAGAGTGACAGGAGAAATTTATTCAAGGTGGGGATAATATTAGATTCTAGAATGTTAAACATGGAAGCCCACTTGGAGTTCTAGTAAGAATCTAGATAAATATCTTCATTTTACTCATGGGGAAACTGAAGGCCAGGGATGGGAATTGCCCAGGTTCACAAAGGAATTTAACAATGGAGCTGGCTTCTGATTCCCAGGGCAGTGTTCTTTCTACTCTACCTGCTGATGAGTGGAGTAAGAGGTCAGAAGACCTGGGGAAAGATAAGCAACTAAGATATCCTAAAAATAGTTCAGCAATTTAAAACCCTCCCTTCTCAGAGAGTCCAGACAGGAGGCCTTCAATCCAGAGCCAAGGAGTAGCCTGTTTTTTACAGAAGCATGTAAGGCAAGTGTGCTTTTCTCTTCGGCCCCACTTACTTCCAGCTCCTACCATCCCAGCTTATGAATCAATATCCTTTTCCATTATCCGTGTATTTCCTGGTATCTCACAGCTTTCAAAATAATAGGAAACTTGATTCTTATGTGTGTGTGTGGAGGGGGGAGTGTACATAGTAAGTGTGTATATATATGTGTATATATATATATGTGTGTATATATATATATATATATATATATATATATATATATATATATATATATATATATATATATATATATGGTACAAGAGATGTTTTGATACAGACATGCAATGTGTTATAATCACATTATGGAAAATGGGGTATCCATCCCCTCAAGGATTTCTCCTTTGTGCTACAAACAATCCAATTATATGCTTTTAGTTATTTTAAAATGTACAATTAAGTTATTATTGACTATAGTCACCCTGTTGTGCTATCAAATACTAGGTCTTATTTATTCTTTCTAACTATCTTTTTTTTTTCTCATTAATCATCCCAACCTCCCTTCCACCCTCCTAGTATCTTTCCCAGCCTCTGGTAACCATCCTTCTACTCTCTATCTCCGTGAGTTCAATTGTTTTGATTTTTAGATCCCACAAATAAGTGAGAACATGCAATGCTTGTCTTTCTCTGCCTGGCTTATGAGACTTGATTTTTTATTTCCAAGTTACAAGAACCAAGTTTCAGTCTTGTCATTGACACTTTAGACAACTCTTATTTGTTTTCTAGATCTTGGTTAGAACATAACTATTCTTTGACTTCTTTGAAAGATTACACAGATGCCAGGAATTATTGTTACCAGTATTATCACTTAAAAAAAATCTTCCAGATGGATTGCCACAAAGACGAGAAAGGCACCATCTATGACTATGAGGCCATCGCACTTAATAAGAATGAATATGTTTCCTTCAAGCAGTATGTGGGCAAGCACATCCTCTTCGTCAACGTGGCCACCTACTGTGGTCTGACAGCGCAATATCCTGGTAAGAGAATTCATAGTTACTTCTCTTTGGGACTAAATTTTCCAGCTGATCATATTCTAAATTATACTTGGAATTATATTTTAATTATAATTATGTACCAAAATAAATACTCATAATCAAGTGACTTCATCCTCCATATCAGAAGTCAGCAAGCTTGGGTGGACAGGCCAAATTTGGTCAGCCTGGCTTTGTTAACAAAGTTTTATTGGAATGCAGCCGTCCCCGTTCATTTACACATCACCTATGGCTGCTTTCATGCTGTAAAATAGAGGTTAGTAGTTGTAGGAGTAGTGATGATGGAAACCATGTGGCCCACAAAGTCTGAAATATTTCCTATCTGGCCCTTTACAGAAAAAATGTGCTAACCCCCTCCCCATGCCCTGCCTCTGCTTTTTCCTGAGATTTCCAGGGGAATCAATATATACTTGAGAACTAGGAGCCTCTCAGAAGATTCCAGAAGTCTTCTTGATAAATACAGGACAGAAGACCCATGTTTTTGAGACTTTTGCAAGGTTTTACAGGTAACTTACAATGACAAGAAAAAGGAGTTTTATACCTGGAACTGCATTTGATTAGAGTGAGGGCTGGCGGATGAGGCTGTAATAGAAGCAAATACTCCCTCTCCAACCTCAACCCCTTTTTAGGATGTAGTTTTTCCTCCCTTTTTGTACATTATTCAGGGAAGAATTTTCTCATATTTTAGGGCATGTGGTTTAAAAATCAGTGAATAACAATCAGGATGGATTATACCAGAGACAAATGTACTTCTTATATTTGAAGTAATAAGACCTTCATTTTTTGTTTTTAATTATGTTTTGAATAAGCATTATATTCACAAGTCTCAAAGTTCAAAAGAAAAAAACTTTAGAACCAAAGGTTTCCACCTTCTTCCCCTCCCTTCAGTAGACCAATATTATCTTGTTTACAGAATACATAGATATTCTTGTTTCTGCTCCCCCCTCCCCAGCTGATAACACACAATAAATACTATTTGCTGCCTTGATTTTTTAATTAATAAAATACATTTGAGTTCAGATCATTTCCTCATTCTTTCTTAAGACTGAATAATATTTATTGGACCACAATTTATTTTCCCAGTTTATAGGGACTTTAAGAATCGATTTATTCAGTTTCCACCCTGCAAATAACAGATAACAGAAGGACATAGGGAGGGGTACTGAGGAACCCTGTGAAAACAGGAAGGCAATCTCTGTTTTTTAAAAAGGCCTAGAGGAGGTACCAGTTGGCTGAGCTGAATCTGAGTGGGACTGGTTAGTGTTTGTCAAGGGACTAAAGGCATCTGGCTCAGAAAGGGTTAACAAAGAAGATGATTATAAAAGTCTGAGCAGACAAGTTGGAAAACTTCCTGGTAGTGGACGAAGGCAGCTGAAGCTTGTTTTTCAGCATATTACTGAGGATTTTTAGTAAGAATGCATCTTCAGCATCTTAAGGACTGTTGAAAAATGTTAGGATTGTTGATTTCAGATTTCTCTGTTTGTCTTTGCCTTTGTCAGTTTTACTTCCACTCCACTCAGGGTGAGCCAGGCTGCACAGAGGAGAGAAGCTCAGTCCTGGCTAACATGGCGAAACCCCGTCTCTACTAAAAATACAGAAATATTAGCTGGGCATGGTAGCAAGTGCCTGTAGTCCCAGCTACTCGGGAGTCTAAGGCAGGAGAATCACTTGGATCTGGGAGACGGAGGTTGCAGTGAGCCGAGATCGCGCCACTGCACTCCAGCCTGGGCGACAGAGTGAGAATCTGTCTCAAAAAAAAAAAAAAAAAAAAAAAGAAAAGAAAAGAAAAGAAAAGAAAAGAAAAGAAAAGTCACCTGTTGAACTTTTGAATAATAAAGAAGACTAAGCCCCATTTCAGAGGAACAGAAAACTCTCTGAAATGGGACCTGGGCATCCCTATTTTTAGGAAAGGGCCTTCAGCTGATTCTGATGTGCTGCAGGTATGGAAAACACTGCACCATGACAAAGGGCTTTTGAGCGCACGTCTGAAGATCCGGCCTCTAACTTCAGCTATGCTACTAACAGCCCTTCTGATGCAGAGCTGTTTCCCTCCCTGGGCCTCTGTTTCCTTCTCTGTAAAATGGGTAACCCCAGGGAATCATCCTTGCACAAGGCAGAACCTCTACCTAGACCAAAATTGTTCCTCCTCTAACTGCAGAACTAAATGCACTCCAGGAGGAGCTGAAGCCCTATGGTCTAGTTGTGTTGGGCTTTCCCTGCAACCAATTTGGAAAGCAAGAACCAGGAGATAACAAAGAGATTCTTCCTGGGCTCAAGTACGTGTCTTCTTGAAATCCAATAGGAGGCGCCTGTGTACCTTTCCTCAGTCTCCAGAGGCCCTTCCAGCTCAGGAACTTTCTGGGGAGGTATGGATTAATAGGCTCAGGGGCATTACAAGCAGAGTTTAACTTTGGCCTACCGTGATGAGCGTCTGGCAGTTTCCAGACTCTCTCTCCATCCCTGGCTGAGACTTGGATGGACTATGGAGGACAGAAGGGATGGAGGAAAAGAGACAAGTCATGGGATAGAGAGAAATAAAGTGAGTCAGAGAGCCCAAAGTCAAAACATGGCCATATTCCTCCCCACCCACAACGATACTTCCCTCTTTCTCCCCTTTCTCATGACTTCAAATCCTAGTGTCCCATTATAATCTTTACTTGCATATCCTGGAGCTTCCTGGGAACATTATGGCTTGTTGCAGGTATGTCCGTCCAGGGGGAGGATTTGTACCTAGTTTCCAGCTTTTTGAGAAAGGGGATGTGAATGGTGAAAAAGAACAGAAAGTCTTCAGTTTCTTGAAGGTGAGTAAATTCCTGGCATAAGCCTCCTCCTCTTTTCTAATATTGCTAACATAGAGTTGGTGTGGCAGAAATGGATCCAAGGGCTCATGCCCAGAGGTGGGATTGGTCTTTGTGGAGAAAAATCTCCAGATCAGCATTCCACATTGCACATGCTGATCTGGAGATTAATCTGTGAGTATCTATGGGGCTCTAACTCTGTGTGGTGAAGAAAGTTGTGTGGAATGGCAACTTTTACTAGGACCACCCTCTTTTGCTCATTGACATTCATTCATTAATTCATTCCAGGTACACTTGATGAATGCCCGCTACTTATAAAGCAATCTAAATAATAAGGATATAAAGATGAATAAGGCATAGTCTGTACTCTTGATGAGTTTATAATGGAGAGAGAGTTAGAAACCATTAGCTATGTAGCTGGGGTGGTGGTTCATGCCTATAATCCCAGCACTTTGGAAGACTGAGGCAGGACAGGAGAATTGCTTGAGGCCAGGAGTTCAAGACTAGCCTGAGCAACATAGTGAGACCCTGTCTCTACAAAACAAATCAAAAAATTAGCTGGGTGTGGTGGCACGTACCTGTAGTCTCAACTACTCGGGAGGCTGAGGCCAGAGGATTGCTTGAGCTCCGGAGCTGGAGGCTGAAGTGAGCTATGATTGTGCCACTGCATTCCACACTAGGCAACCAAGCAAGACACTGTCTCAAAAAAACAAAAACAAAAAAAGTAACAAACCAACAGGTATGATACAGTGTAGTAGGTACCTTTTATGAAACACTGATTTTTAGACATAGAGAATGCCAGAGCTGAAACAACCCTAAAGATTACCAAAGTGAATTGTTCCTAAATGCTGGACTGTGAACCAAGACCAGTCCATGTTAAGACTTTATATATCCTCAATAAATTGAAGACAATAGAACAGTGTATCATGCCTCTGCACCCCAGCCTGGGCGACACAGCGAGACTCTGTCTCAAAAACAAAAACAAAAAAGAACAGTGTGGGAAGTTTTTTATAAACTCAACTCGTCTAACTTATAGGACTTCCCTTTATTCACAAATTATGACCCACACGCAGTTTATTCTTCCAATGGTCTTTTTAAATTAAGTGACAAAATGATGGTGTTTTAAAAATTTTTGTTATTTGACAAAATATTAGTAATTCAGTGTTGGTCCCAAAAGACAATTATTGAAATATTAGTGGCCCATGGAACCCTAAGACCTGGAAAACCACATTCCAATCCAAGCTATTTACTTTGAAGAAAAGGAAACCAAAAGCATAAAAGGTAACATGTCTTATCCATGGCAGCAAAATTTTGTTATGGGGCTATGGGGAGAAACCGAAAGAGAGCAGATTTTGCTATAATATCTATAATATTCTTGGTAGTTGGCATAGTGGTGATTCAAGAATTTATGGAGTTTTTTAGGAATATCAGGAAGTTAAAATATCTAGGTATAGGAGGGGGTGGATTACCTGTGGGTAAAAATAGCCTGGATCATCCAGGAGCAGAAATAACATTGTTTCTCTTTTCCATCTCTCTGGTTTAGCACTCCTGTCCTCATCCCTCTGAGATTTTGGGCACATTCAAATCTATATCCTGGGACCCTGTAAAGGTCCATGACATCCGTTGGAACTTTGAAAAGTTCCTGGTGGGGCCTGATGGAATCCCTGTCATGCGCTGGTCCCACCGGGCTACGGTCAGCTCAGTCAAGACAGACATCCTGGCGTACTTGAAGCAATTCAAAACCAAATAGGAAGGTGGAGTTAAGGGCAGGAGCAACCCTACTTCTCACCTAATGACTTGCTCTCCCCACCCCTCCAAAAAAAAGGAATACCCATCTTCTCACCACACTCTCTTCCTGCATGGGCTCCACCTGAGTAAATCACCGCCACATACTGCCAGAATTCCCACTCTCCACAAACTAGATTTATATTTGGAAGGCTACTGCTCTTTTGCCTCTCAAGAGTATGTGGGTGAAGACTGAAACAAATGGAAACCTAAAATCCCCAGACCTCTGTTACAGGTTGAATCATTCATATCCACCAGAGGGAAATCATCCTTCCACGACAATGGTTCAGTCGGCCATCACATCCTGAAGAACATTCCTAGACATTCTGACTCTTCCATCTCTCTCTACCCTGGAGGTGTAGAAATAGCAATGGGGTCACAGTCACACAATTTAGGTTCCACTTCATAACATTTTTTGTCTCCTAGGACAAACGTGTATCATCAGTTTCCAACTGTTTTGGCTCAGTTTTCATCCATGACACCTCCCCCTACCAGCCATTCTCCTGTGGGAGCAAGAACATTGCTTCAAAAGAAGAGAGGGCATCTCCATGCTTGTGGGACCCAAAACCTATCTCTGGCCCTACAAAAGTTTTCCTAATTGTCTGATCTTTAGTGCATTCAGGTTATGGCACCTGGAGAGGAATGCCCTTTATCTTTTGAAGGATGGGATTTCCCATCTCAACCCTGGATTCCTCACCTTCAGAACGAGCCCTGCCACTGTCTCCAATAAAATGTTTTCTGCAGCATCGACAATCTCTATGGTGGTTTTAAAATCCTGTCTGGTGCTTGAACTCATTTTATCTCCCTCCTCCTTCTTACTCTGTCACAAATGATGTATTGCCCACATGACCTGAGCCCCCCAGACAGAAAGATTTATGTTTGGAAGGTTGTCACCTAATGCCTCTCAGTTGTCATTCCTCTTCAGGAATTGCCTCAGCCTAAGTTTTTCCCCTTTCCAGGGCAGCCTGTATCCAGTTACTCATCCCTGAGAGGCATAGAGGCCAAACCCTGACTGCTCAACTTAGCACAACTTTGAAGGGCCATACTAGCTCTAGACATGCACAAGGGGTAGGCCGGTGGCATTTTGTGCTTGCACTGCACCCCAGTTTTTCCCTCTGACAAATTCTGCTCCTCTTCTTTGCCACCCCCCCCAACCCTCCACACTGATTGTCAGTTAATGCCCTAGTAAACTTTCTGAATGCAAATATCCATCTTAGAGTCTACTGTCTAGAGAATCCAACCAGTAATTATTGGTACCAAATATGATCTGAGAAAGAAGATACTAAGAGGAGATTTTTGAAGCTGAATTATTCACCGTCTGGTTGATGATGAGAAGATGGGTGGAGCACAAACAACTACTGGCACAAGTAGCAGTGCAGTTGTCAAAACTTTTGCCAAACCTGAACTGGCATGGTAAACTGGTGGAAGAATATGCACTAGCAGACATGAAGTTTTAGGTGCTTGAGAAACATGAGGGGAATGGTAATTATAACGTAATAGAATTGGATGGTCGTTGCCAGAGGAAATTGATGTTTTGGAGAGAGATAATTAAAGACTGAGGATGATATATTATTAAATTAAGGCTAACTGTGAAAGTGTTTCTCCATGGGATGTATAAAGGACCTCTCCTATCTGCAACTTAACAGCAGCAAAACCGAAAGTTCAGGCTCAAGACTTAATCATAGGAATAGTATGTACAACTCTAAAAGAAGTTAGCTTCCAGCTGTCACGGTGGTTCACTTCTGTAATCCCAGCACTTTTGGAGGCAGAGGCGGGAGGATCTCTTGGGTCCAGGAGTTCAAAATCAGCCTGGGTAACATAGGGAAAGCCCATCTCTGCAAAATAAGAAACAGAACCAGGCATAGAGGCACACACACCCATGATCCCAGCTGCTAGGGAGGCTGAGGTAAGAGGACCACTTCGGCCCAGAAGTCAAGGCTGCTGCAGTGAGCTGAGATCTCAACATGGAGACATCTGGTTTGATGTATTAGAATATCCAAATCTCCAAATTTTCCAGGACCCCCAAAACTTTTAGAAGTGGCCCATCCCTTCTTATTGAGGGTTAGCATATCCTTCTTGCTTGAAAACAATGCAGATGACTCTGTCTGGCCAAATATTATGTGCCTCTGCTCCCACTCAGAATCTGCCTCATGTCAAACTAGGTTCTCAGAGTTCGTGAAGAAGGGGAGTGCAACCTAAAGTTAGATAAGGAGACTTCACTGATATGGGAGCGCTCTCCCTGAATACAGAATTTTTACACTCTGTCAAGAAACCAACACACTGTTCGGATGGCTCCTATTCGGAAAAAAAGAAAAATGTCTCTCTCTCAATGTGGTAGAAACACCAGAACTGTTTCAGCAGGTGGTAGAAATAGGGGATCAAAAGTTCAGAAAAGTGGGCAGGTTCAAGTGGTTTACCATGCAGTGCTGGGAACCCCACTAGATAACTGTACATCACAGGAAGGCCAAAGGACATTCAGTTTGAAAAAACAAAAAAGGAATGTGCTGGTGAGAGGGGCCATTTTGTTATGTTGTTCAATTACTTTAACAAAAATTTTAAAAATATTTAATCTTTCTCTGTTAAACCTTCATAGAAAAAGCCCGACATGAAATATAACAAATGTAAACAATGGATTTCTCAAGATATGAGACTTTGGCAAATTTTTAAATAATTATATTACTGTTTTTCTGCATTTACTTAGCCTGCGTTGCATCTATACGTCGAAAACAGTGATTTTTGTAAAGGAAATATTCGCTCTCTGAGTGTTTCCGAGTAGCAAAGTATTTTAACATTATTAGATTTAAAATCAGCGAGTGTCTGGATGGGAGTGGGAGGTTGGCATTTCATGTAAAGCAGCAAATAGTGTAGCCGAACGCAGAGTGGAGAGACAGGAAGTAGAATGGCGAAAATGAAAAGCCCGCGGGATTCCGAAACAATGGAAAATGCTCTCGCTGGTTTTGTGCAGGCGGAATACGCGCTTCTTGGTGGAAACTTCACTCCGAATGTAGTGATTGACACGTCTATTTTACATGCAGCCATCTTAGCTTCCTGCTTTTGGTGAACCGATGTGACTTTCATTCAAATGTTTTTAAATTATTGTCTGACTTTAGAGAAGCCGTGGGAAAATCTGAGCAGAAATTCAAGGTACCGGTGACGTCAACCCTGAGTCCCTAGGGCATCTCTGAGTTGGAAGGAAAAGGGCTCCGGATCAGCTAATTCCAGGGTTCTCTTGATTGTTGCTTTTCATCCCATTCGTGGAAGTCCTGTATTAGAAGGTGCCTAAAGTTCATATTATTTAATACCTTAAAAAACAATGTTTAAAGAGTTCATCGTCAATCTGTAAGAGCATCTTCTCTTATACCTTTCCAAATCCTTATTATTTCTGTGGCTCCAGTGGCGCAATCGGTTAGCGCGCGGTACTTATAAGACAGTGCACCTGTGAGCAATGCCGAGGTTGTGAGTTCAAGCCTCACCTGGAGCAGTTTTACTATTCTCCGACCTGTAGAAATTCAAAAACAGGGAGAGCTTATTGCGCCTGAGATTTCTTTCAGCGATGTATGTACTCAGATTTAGACTGCACTCAGAACCCTCGCGTGATTTGACTTAAAATTCCCTGGTTAAGGTCATGGGTGATAAACGTCGTCACACGGTCCTTTTTGATGCTTGCCTTTGTCCAATACCTCGGCAACAAGTGTATGACAGTCGCTAAAACAGCTCTTCACAGTATTCATTTCAATAAGAAACTGACCGGGTGTGGTGACTCACACCTATAATCACAGCACTTTGAGAGGCTGAGGAGAGCTGGTCTCTTGAGCCCGGAGGTCAAGACCAGGCATGGGCAACATGATGAAACCTTGTCTCTACAAAAAAATGCAATTTAGCCAGGCGTGGTGGCGCGTGCCTGTGGTTCCTGGGTGACAGAGTGAGACCCTGTCTCAAACAAAGAAACCTGACCTTCACAGTCTCAGGCCCAGATAGATCAGGCATATATAAAAATTCATAACTAGTACTTCTGTGTGACTTTTCAACTCTGTGAAACAAGGACGATCTTAGGTTTTTAAAATCACTGTATTAGTGGGAATTTTCTTGTCTCTGAATCTGCTTTCCCTACCTCAGTTTCTTCATTCCTCTGGGATTCTTAATGAGCCTATGATGTCTGCAGTTATGACAGAGACACAGGTATTGAGTCTCAAAAAATAAACCAAACCATTACAGCCTCCGAGCTGAGCAGGAAGCCTACATGTGGGCCACTAATCTCACCCTCTGGATCTTAAACATCTGTGACATCCTGGAGACACAATACAGCTCTCCCTCTTCACAGATTTATGACTGCCCATGTGCAAATGCTCAGCACTACCTGTTCTTTTCTAGCTGCTGCTGCATTTTGAAATGTTTACATTCTCCCTGGTCCCATCCTGAGCTGCCCACCAGGTAAAAGTGGGTTCAAAACAAGACCTACAGACCAACTTGAATTAACACTTGTTTAAAAAAAAAAGTGATAGTGGATAATTTACTTAAACAAGATGTACAATGAACATATCAATAGGAGGGCTATTCACCGTGTTGTTTGATAATAAATTAACAATTGATTAACAGCTGCAAGTTCCTCCCATCCCTGTATGCATATCCCTCTGTAATGTGTGTGCGTATGTGTGTTTGTTTTGTTTTGTTTTTTCAAGACAGGGTTTTGCTCTGTCCCCCAGGCTGGAGTGCAGTGGTGCAATCTTGGCTCATTGCAACCTCCACCTCCTGGGTTCAAGCGATTCTTGTGCCTCAGCTGCTCAAGTAGCTGGGATTACAAGCATGCGCCACCATGCATGGCTAATGTTTGTATTTTTATAGTAGTAGAGTCAGGGTTTCGCCATATTGCCCAGGCTGTTCTTGAACTCCTGAGCTCAAGTGGTCCGCCTGCCTCAGCCTCCCAAAGTGCTGCGATTACAGGCGTGAGCCAGCACACCAGGTCTGTAATGTGATTTGGCAGCAGCTTTCATCAAGAGGCCAAGTCTGTTTCCCTCCCTGTTGTATGTGAGTTGACTTTGTGATTTGCTTTGACCAACAGAATTCTGTGAAATGATGTAGAAATGGTGGTGTAGGAGTTCTAAAATTAGGCCTCAAGAAACCTTGTCACTCACCTCTTAGAACCTTCATACCAAGTTGGTACAAGATGCTGGAAACCTCATCAAGCATCTTAGGTGGAAGACCACATGGAGAAAGAGTCTCAGCTATCTCAGCCATCCCAGGCAGTCCAGCTGACACCCCACACATGTTAGTGGGACCATCTTGGACCATCCAATCTCAGTCAAGCTGCCAGATGACTACAGTCATATGAGTGACCCAAGACAAAATCAACAAAAGAATTGCCCAGCTAAACACAGCTCCAATCATTGACCTGAAGAATTATAAACAGAAGAAACAATTGTTGTTTTAAGCCACTAAATTTGAGTAAGGTTTGTTACACAGATATAAATGATGGATATAAGCACTAAGCACAGTTCTGAGCACAAAGTAAGAGCCTAGGGTAAGTTAGGAGTTTATGACTTTTGGGGATCTTCTCATTGCCCCAAGAAGTGGGTCTTCTCTCCTCTTGCCACAACACGGAAACTCCAGAATTGTTTGGAATCCTGGGTTGTTCAAATTGATCCTTGGAGTAAGCTTCTGACTCCTTGTGTCCTTGCACCAAGCTCAGAGTTCCTGCTCTGAAAGACCTAGAGCTTCCAGATCTCTAGAGTGAGTTGAGGTATGAATGGATAGAGGTGTCCTACAGTCCTTGCCTGATTTTGTAAACTAAACTGCAGAGTCCACAGTCCTTTCTAGCTGCATTTTCCTAGTGCTGGCTGTTCTTTTGGTAGGTGTGCTGATTTGCCTTGTCACCCGTGACAAGGAGAAAAGGGTTTGATATCCATATTGAGAGACATTTGAATATTTATTTTTAAATAATTGTAGTAGTTTAGAGATGCCAGACAGTCATACTTGGTAGCTTGTTTCCAGTTTGCCTAATATTTTTTTCAAGAAAATTCCATAACGGACAATTCTTATGTGTCACATACTTGTCATCATGGTGGCTAGAAGCAGAGTATACAGTTCTGTTTTCCAGAAATTCCTGAGTAGCTTCCCACCAGGCAAGATACCAGAATCAGGCAAAAAAAATTTTCTTTTTTGCTTTGGATTTTAAACTAAATCTGAACAGAAAGCAGCATCTGTGTATTTTATTTAGAAATGTTTCCTTTGATAGAAGGAAGAGTTGAAAATGACAATTGAACAATGTCATAAATTATGACAGAAAGAATTTCCTGTCTAATTTATTAGTCAAACTATCAATCAAAACTGAGTATGTTATAAAGCCATTTGTAGACAGAGTCACCCTCTCAGAAAATTCCTAGAGGTTATTCTCCATCAAAATGATACAACACTAAAAAAAGGAAAACATAAGGGTCCAAAACAGGAAGAAGGCAAAGTATATCCCAGGTCGGTGGAAGAAAAGCCCCAAGAAGACACCTGTGTAACATGCCTAGAGAACAACCAGTCCAGATTGAAGCAGGGATACAAAGGCTCCAGAGAGGAGACCACTAAGGAAAATATTAAAATTGATAGGTTCTTTGAGGTATTTCACTATATTGAGAGTTGCTTAAATTCAAGGAAAATCAGTTGAGAATGAATTGGTTACATGATCATAAAAGATAAAGAAAAAGTAAAAGGCAGTTAATAACTTTGCAGAAAACTAAAAGGCACATAAGAAATATAATCATAGTACTATATAGCACAGCTGTGAATAATTTTTTATAACCAATAAACCCTGAATTTAGAATTATGATGAAATTAAGTAGGAAGGATGAGGGAGGGGAAATATATATGCAGGGATGAGTAATGTATGAGAGGTACCTCCAGAGATTGACTTTCAACATGAAGTGAAAAGAGCTCTGCAGACCAGCTTCCAAGTGAAACTGGTGAAAATTATTTTTTTCAAATCAACCATTTAAAAGTCTCTGGCAAAGTGCTGGCCGTAGTAGCTCACGCCTGTAATCCCAGCACTTTGGGAGGCTGAGGCGGGTGGATCACGAGGTCAGGAGTTCGAAGCGAGCCTGGCCAGCATGGTGAAACCCTGTCTCTACTAAAAATACAAACTTATCTGGGCACGGTGGTGGGTGCCTGTAGTCCCAGCTATTCAGGAGGCTGAGGCAAGAGAATTGCTTGAACCTCAAAATAATGATAATGAATGAAAGAATTTTTTTAAGAGTCCATACTGTATGATCCCACTCACATGAAATTCTGAAAACTATGAACATGTAATGATGGAAAGCATATCTGGTTGTAAGAGGGGAACAGGGCTTACAAGAGGGCAGGAGGAAGCTTTTGGGGGTGATGTCTATGTTCATTATCTTTATTGTACTGGTCGTTTCATGATTACACATGTTATACATATATGATTGCATATATGTGTAAAACTTACACATAGTTTAAACTTGTGCAGTTTATTGCATGGGAATTATGCCTCAATAAAACTGTTTAGAGTACATTGTCTGGAAAAATATCATGAAGCCATTCTGCAAGTATAGTTGTGGGTCTTTTCCCTCTTTTTTCTTTTTTCTATACTATGGAGGAGATCGTGTCTTGTTGGATTTCTTGTTTGTTTGTTTTTGTTTTGAGAAGGGGTCTCAGTCTGTCGCCAGGCTGAAGTGTAGTGGTGCGATCTCGGCTCACTGCAACCTCCGCCTCCCGGGTTCAAGCGATTCTCCTGCCTCAGCCTCCCCAGTAGCTGAGATTACAGGCGCCCGCCACCACGTCCAGCTAGCTAATTTTTTCTATTTTTAGTAGAGAAAGGGTTTCACCATATTGGCCGGGATGGTCTCAGTTTCCTGACCTCGTAAACCCTGGGTAAGTGATGGGACATGGGGTTTTCTCAGTAGGAAGATGTTTGACAACTTTTTCAATTTATTTCGTAGTTTAACTATTCATTATTGCTATTCCTTCTTGAATCGTACTTAATAGTCATGTCGTCCTAATAATTTCTCCATTTCATAAAAGTATTCAAATGTATTTGGCCAGATTCTTTCCCCTTTTGTTTTGTTTTAACGTTTACTGGTTTAATTTTTTTTGTTGTTCTATTTTTTATATCTTCCTGACCAGACAATTGTTTTGACTTTCACTGGTTTATTATAAAGGGCATTACAAAGGCTCTCTTTCGCCTTTTGGAGAAACTGCTTCCTCTTCTTCAAGATCTTTTCCTGGCTCGCCTCTTCTCCTGTTTTCAGGTCTCTGTTAACACCTTGGTTCCTCAGATATTGCGGACAGTCTAATTCGCCCCGCGACGTGAGGGAGAACCCAGGAGCGGGCTCCGGTAGAGAAAGAAGCTTCCGGTCAACGACCACATCCACCTGAATCATGAGCAGGTTTTAAGGCGTGTGTTTCTTCAGCTCCTCTAAATTTTAGAAAGGGGGCGATATTTAAACTGACCTCAAAAAGACAAGGCTCTCAAGTTACACTCTTTTGTGTGTCTGCGAGTCAAACTTGTAGCGCCTACTGGGGACCAGTGGAAACGTGATGGTCGCCCCCTGCGGGACCAGGTGAATAAAGCTCCTTAAGATGCATTCAACTGAGTTCCCTGAGCCCATTCAACAGGCGGGAAGAGGATACTCCCGGACCAGGGCTCACGCTTTCTCCATCCCACCCCGGACTCCAGGCACCTGTGTGCCAGCCTGGCCAAGCGTTTCCTCCAAAGTACAAACAGCTGAAAGGTGGTGTGCTGGCCCCACCTGAATCACTCGCAACTCCAAAGAGGTGTGTGATGCAACTTCCCATTTCCACGGGAAAGGACTGCAGAGAATTCACGTTCACTTTCGGAAATTAATTGGATGCTATAATTTTGTGGTGTGGGAGGTTGTGCAGTCTTGTTTTAGAGTGAAAAAGGGAGAATCAACCACGAAGGGATTCGAACCCTCAATCTTCTGATCCGAAGTCAGACGCCTTATCCATTAGGCCACGTGGTCCCATGGCTTAGCAACTGCAAAAAATATGAGAAATGTTGTAAGATTGGCTATTAACCTGGATTTTATATATATATTGTATGGTTCTACTTATATGACATGATTTCTGTTGTTAACCTAATTTCAAAGATAGTGTAAATTATACAAAAGCTAAATAACTTGCCAGTGTCACACAATAACAAGGTAATGCAAAGTGAGTATTTGGATTTTCTCCAAACTCCTACCCTTAACTTGACACCAAATGTTACACCAAATTTTGCACATGCACCACGTTGCTTCTCTCAGCTGGTGACAAAAAGTTGTAAAGAAAGGGAAAAAGAAAAGCATTGAATGTCTCTCTATAATCACTACTACACATGATCAGTTTGCATTCAGCATTGAGACCCTCTGGAAATAAATGAAAATCACCAGGTGAACGAGAAAGACCCCCTCAGGCGACCTTCTCAGCTTGGCGTCCAATTCAGCTGCAACAGCTGCAATTAGCATTAAATAGAGGCATCTTCCTAGGCCTGGCTCCGCTTGGTAACCAAAACTAGGCCCTGCTGAATAGTCTCTAGTGAGACGTTTGTTAAAAGCCCAAGAGTATAGCGGGCACTTAGAGAATAATGTAGAAAATGCGTATCATCTTGTGCAACCACTCGGTGGTGGCGCTGAGTGGTAGAGGGGGCAGGAGCCAGGCTTTAGGCCCGGAAAGTTGCAGTTCGAACCACTTCGTAGTGGTTGTTTTCATTTCAGTTCTTCATTTGACCCAGCCATCCTTGACTGGCAGCATTCTGACCTCCCACTAGTGATGTGCCGGTGGGAAACACACAGGAAGGAAAGGCGCGCGCGAGGCCTGCCCCCGGAACGAACGACGCCTGCGTGGACACCCTCCTGTGAGTGCCGGAGGCGTGGTGAAAGCAACGGGGTGCATTTGGTGGTCTCATTCCCCATTACTGGGAACTCTTTGAGAGCCTGATTTGAGTCTTTATGGGACCTCCCTCTTCATCCTGGCTTCCGGCTCTCTCAAAGTCTGTTACACAGATTTTTCATATTCCAGAAGGGCTGGAGAAACATATATTTACTGAAAAGCTCTTCTATTCAGCAACTGCATCCTGAGGAGGCTGCGCTCTCTTTCTCTTGCCCTCCACGAAAGCACCACCCGGATTCTCTCACCCACCTGGTCAAAGTGTCAGCTTGCAGGGATCTGTTCTTAACCCAGCCTGAAGGGGTTCAGTGAACACCTAGGAACCAAACTTACTCTTGAGACCTAAAAGATAAGAAAGAATTAGTTTCAAAAGAAAAAAAGTGCAGAAAGAGGCTGCACGTTGTGGCTCACGCCCGTAATCCCAACACTTTGGGAGGCCAAGACGCGGTAGGGGGGTGGGGGAGTGGAGGGGAGAGTTGGAGGGGGAAGTTGGAGGGGGGAGTTGGAGGGGGGAATTGGCGGGGGGCGGGGGGGGATTGCCTAAGGCCAGGAGTTTGAGACCATCCTGGGCAACATAGCGAAACTTCTCTCTCTCTTCTCTCTTAAAAAAAAAAAAGCCAAATAGATGATCCAGCAGATGGATCAGTATGTGCAATGGTATAAAAAATTTTGCCCAATTAATTTGAAAATTAAAACAGTAAATTCTGCAAAAGTTATCAGTTATGAAATTCGATTCAAGAGGAAATAGCAAGTAACTG